>NC_000015.10:83276874-83607938 GCF_000001405.40 Homo sapiens | reverse complement strand
CCCTCTATTGCAACCAGGTCCAATGTGTGTGGGTTGTTTTTTTTGTTGTTGTTGTTTGTATTATTATTATTATTATTATTATTATTATTATTATTATTTGCCACTCTGAGTTCTGGAAAATGGAAATGCAAACAGCTGCCTTAATTAGAGTTGGCTTTCTGGCCATTGGCATAGTGATCAGCTTGCAGATGATACCTCGTCTGGCCTGCTCCTTGCTTTTTTACAATGTGGATTAGTTGCCAACATCTAAAAGTCAGGAGATGTCACATAAACATAGGGTTTCTGGCTTCTCTTGAAAAATCAGAAAGGCTAGCTATGATGGGCTCACATTCTCAGGCAAGGGGCGCTTGCCGTAGACTATCGGCCACCCCCTTCAGAAAGAACAAGTGTTTTCTAGTTGTTGAAGACACACCTCCCTCTGTCATGATCCTGACTTGGAAGCTTAGAGTCAGCCATTTATCACCAGCCTTGCACTATTTTCTTACACTTTTCCTATGTCTCTCATTCCTAAAATCTGGCATTCAAGTTTGCACTTGCAGCCACATCCACTGGACAACTCTAGGGGCTGTCATTCATATGGACTCAGAGTCCTCTGGATGGTGCAACATCACTGTTGCCTGGTTTGTAATCCCAGGAAACAACTGACTTCTACCGTATTTTTTAAAACAAGTACATAAATTAATATTTAGATGATGGTATTTTACATTTTAGCTTATGGATCAAATGTATCATTATAGAGTATATGTTAAGATTTGAAAATATGCAGCACTTGAGATCATTTCAGCAAAGTCAAAATTCCCACAACTAAGTTAGAATTTATGTCTTACGGCTTTTCAAAACTCTTTTTACAGACTGTTCAGAATAATTACAGAAAACCATTCCCTGCAGTGAGGAAAACTTCCCTCTCTAAATCTTCCTTCAAATTGGAAAATAAGAGAGAGACTCTTCCTGTTCACCGCACCAATGGCTACTGATCAACAATAATAATCATATTTCACACTTTAATTTTTAAAACATTTTTTAAAATATAGAAAATATTTAAATGTTCAACCTGTCCACATTTCAAATTATTAAGAATGCTAAGTACTCACAAAAGACAACTACTACAGCCACAGAATTTAGAGCTAGAAAGTACCTTGGAATGTATTAAGTCCAATCACTTCCTCTAGGAACAAGTTCAAATCGGTCTAGAGGTGCTAAGAAACTCACCCCAACTCATACAACTAAGAAGTTCCAGAATCTGAACTATAACATGGGACTCTTGTTTCCTTATTTATTTCTCTCTTGTCAATAACTCTGACTCTGAAGCACTACTTATAATATATAGAAATGGATCTGGGGGGAAGGCTATTAGTGGAGAAGGGGAATAGAAGAAAAGAGGAGGAAGGAAAGAAGAGAAATGTAAGAAACAACCTGCTGACCGAACAATCACCATTGTCACTGTTCTGTGAAATTTTAATTTCCTCTTCGGAAATGTAGGTTAAAAAAATTGCATATATTTCTATTTGCAAAGTGTTCATCTTTAATTTTCAAACTTCACATTTCACTTTTGAATAAATGTTTATTTTCTAATGTAATCCTAGACATTTTGTGCCAATGAGGGGAAGGATTTAGGCTCTAGAAATTATTTCCAAGCTGCCTTAGAAGTGTGAAGAAATTTATAAAAGTCTCTTTTATACCTAGAGAATTAGAAGGTCTTAATACAAGCCATTTGGGAGATTTATTTCAACTCACTCTGATGTGCCTGTAGCACACATTTGGAATACATATTTGTTAACTAATTTCAGCCTCCTATATGTTTAAAGCAGGTCCCAGTTTGGGGCATATTAACCCTTAGTTGTGATTACACAAAGTGGTACCCCTTTTAAGAGTTTCAGCAAGAAAAAAAAAAACTTCATAAAAAATGAGTTGATAAAATACACTTTGTCCTCTAGTCTTTAAATATATAATTCAGGAGGTGACAACCTGGGACCTGATACAAATTCCCCACAAGTGGGGAAGATACTTGAGCATGGGTCACAAATTCCTACACTATTTTCTTCAACATCAGTGGTTTTCTGGGAGCTACACAGGCACATGTTTCAACTCAAGGATGTTTCCTGGCCTCCTTTTCTCTTTGGGGACAGAGG
Organism: Homo sapiens; assembly: GCF_000001405.40. NCBI lineage: Eukaryota > Metazoa > Chordata > Mammalia > Primates > Hominidae > Homo > Homo sapiens. The sequence continues at coordinate 83,605,809 of NC_000015.10, read as the reverse complement.
GGCAGCTTACACTGATGAAACAGCATGACCCCACACTCGCGGGCTTGGACAGGCACTCGTTTCTCCCAGCCAGGACCTAGAGTTGGATTTTGTCTGCAATCTGTCATTTCAAGATGTGATTCTCCCCTTTCTCCATTTTGGCTCACTTTATTCATTCTCTTAACTACCTAGCAATGATATTATCAAAGATTCCATCTCAGTCCCACGATGCATTCTGCTTAATTGACTTATGTTCTTTCATCTCTCTCTTTTTTTCTTTAGAAAGAAGAAATGATGAAGAAAATGTTCTTGGAATTCATTTCTGGCAGAGTCTCATGAGCTTTGCTTTCATTTGTTAGTGAAATGCTTGACATTTTTCCTTCACTTTATAAACATTATGTGCAAATCATTCAGAATCCTAATGGAAAGTAATTTCCCATTAATGCAGGCTATAAATGTCATTTTCTTTTGAAACTGTGCCTCAGAAACAAACAGTACAGGACCCCCTTTACACTGGCAAATTCCACCCACAAATCAAGGAAGCCCAATGCTGGGTGTGTGAGACGGGAACTTGAAGCTACTACCGAGGGAAACTTAGAAGAAGCAGCCTGGGACAGGCACAGGCAAAAGACACACAGTGGCACACAGTAGAGTTTGCTGCAGTGGAGAATATGGGACACTGAGCCTTCTTAAAAGCCAGCTTCTGCACGTCTGTGATCTCTGTACATCGCCCTTCTAGGAACTTAATCTGTCTAGGGACCCAGCTACTGGCCAAGAAAGAGGGGACAAAGCACTGACATGCGTGGCCTCAATGAGGAAGCCAAAGACCTCACTGTCCTCTGTTTTTCCCTTCCAAGTCAGATGCATTTAGTGGGCTCCCTGTGCAACCACCTGCTGACCACAGATTCCCTGTAATCATGAATCTTGGAAATAAATCATTCCCAATGCTCTTGGCCATTTCATAACATTCCCCTAGTATTCCTTCTTAATGATATAACATGAAATATCTATAAGGTAAAGTACCCAGCTCTGCTACTTCCTGGCTCTGTGATCTTGAGAAGATCTCACTTAACCTCTCAGAGCCTCTACTTACTCATCTGTAAAATGGGGACTAAAAATAGTACTAGAGATGTATACAAAGTATTTATACAATATCTAACCCATAGTAAGTAGCCAATAAGTGTAGTTGCTATTGTCATTATCTTATTATGTGTTACTTTTTTTTATTATCACTTCCTTGGAGTACGGTTATGAGGATGAAATGAGTTATGTCTATGTCTACAAAGCACCAAATAATAACTCCTGGCATACTGTTGGCCCTCAAAGGCTAGGTCCCTATGACCTTAAGGGATACTTTAATTCAAATACCTTTTCATTTTTATAAGGCTTAACACTCTCTACACTGCCAGTCTGTGAGCTCAAATCAAAGGAAAGTTGAGTTCTCTTTGGTGGCAAATGAGAGAATGGTGTCTTGGGAGCTTGACCTGAGGTCCTGTCTCTAAGAACTACTCGGGTGCAAGCTGGAAAGATAGAGACAGTGGGGCAAGGACTGAGCCCTGGGGTCCTGGGTTCTCATTTCCTCAAATATAATATACTGGCATTGAAGGAGGGAGGCTGAGGTTGAACTCACTGTCAAAATTTTTAGTTAATTTGCTTATACCTAGCTTCTTTTTTTTTTTCTTTTTAGACAGAGTTTCACTCTTGTTGCCCAGCCTGGAGTGCAATGGTGCGATCTCGGCTCACCACAACCTCACCGCAACCTCTGCCTCCCGGGTTTCAAGGGATTCTCCTGCCTCAGCCTCCCAAGTAGCTAGGATTACAGGCATGCGCCACCATGCCCAGCTAATTTTGTATTTTTAGTAGAGATGGGGTTTCTCCATGTTGGTCAGGCTGGTCTCAAACTCCTGAACTCAGGTGATCCACCCGCCTCGGCCTCCCAAAGTGCTGGGATTACAGGCGTAAGCCACCGCACCGGGCTGAAACCCAGTGACCTGTTAGATTATGGCAAAACATTTGAAAAACTTTTTGCCTATAATAACTCTTAAAGCAGACCATATACCAGTAGCTCTAAAGAAAGAAGGTGAATAAAGCCAGAAGGTTGGATGTTAGCTAAACCTTGGTGTGTGTAGCAAGTTACTATAAGAAAGACAAAAGTTGCCCAGTCTACAAGCAAAGATAAAAGAAAGAGCAGAGGTTGGTTCCTAATGCATTGGAAAAGCAAACTGTTTCTGTACCCCAAAGAAAACAAGATAAGCAGATTGCTCTTCCAAATCATTCTCAGAGACCTCCCTAAACTAAAGGAACTCAGCTGTGTGGCAAAGACGCAACGAAAGGTGTCACCTTCCTACTCAAATCTGCTGTTTCAGGTGGTCTCAAGGTAGCCTCTGTAAGTTAAGAAAGCGAAGCATGGGTAAGACAAGGAAGGAAAGAAATGAAAGTCTTAAGAGCTATATCTAAGAAAGAACTTTGAATGTGTTTACAGGCACATGGAACTGCCTGGAGGTATATAGATCAGAAGCTCATTACGTTTTTTAAGAAATCAAGTTGTGGCCAGTGTGGTGACAGCAGTTTGGGAGGCTGAGGCAGGTGGATCACTCAAGGTCAGGAGTTCAAGACCAGCCTGGCCAACATGGTGAAGCCCCATCTCTACTAAAAATACAAAAATTGGCCAGGCGTGGTGGTGCATGCCTATAATCTCAGCTACTTAGGAGAGTGAGGCACAAGAATTGCTTGAACCTGGGAAGCGGAGGTTGCAGTGGGCCGAGATCCCACCACTGCACTCCAGCCTGGGCAACAGGGCAAGACTATCTCAAAAAAAAAAGGAAATCAAGTTGTGAAAAGAAGCATAAGCCTAGCCTGAAGACATCTGTGTCTACTAAACTGTAAGGAACCCACAAGGTCCCTGAGCAGCAATAAGTACAGATGTCAAAGAAGGTAGCCCTCCAAAGCCCACTTACAATGTGGTCTTGGAAGACACATTTCTCAGAGAGCAAATCTAGGAGCCCACAGAATAAAAGACAAAAGAGTCTCCCTGATCCAAAATCCAGAGAGCAGAACCAGGGTCTAATCAAGACACTTTCTTCACTGCCAGGGTAGGGGGTCCTTGAAATTTCTGCCCAGCAGGAGTCCATCATTGTTATGGACTGGTACATGCAGTGTATTTCCTATTTGCTATGGCCTGAATGTGTGTGTTCCCCCAAAACTCATCTGTTGAAACTTAATCTCCAATGCAATAGTATTAAGGGCTGGGACCTTTAGGAGGTGATTAGGTCATGAGAATTAGTGACTTGGGGGTAATTAGGTCATGAGTAGGATTTGTGCCCTTATAAAAGGGACCTGTGGGAGCTTGTTTGCCCCTTCTGCCATGTGAGGACACAGCTAGAAGGTGTCATCTATGAGGAATGGCCTCTACCAGGCACCAGTTCTGCTGGCACCTTGATTTTAGACATCTCAGCCTCCAGACTGTAAGTAAAAGCTACCCAGTCTAAGGTATTTTGTTACAGCAGCCCAAACAAACTAAGATGCCATTACAACTGGATAGCAGCTGCCTAGCTAGAGGTTGTACTTCCCAAGTTGCTTTGCTACTAGGTGTGGCTGTTTGAGCGCTCATCCCTGGAATGTGTGTGTCATTTCCACCTTGCGGGTGTAAGAGGAAATATCTAACCTAAATGTTTGTTCTTTCTCCCCTTCCTGCTGGCTGGAGTGGCAACAACTAGGAAGCCATATGATGAAGATGGCAGAGCTGCCATCAGCCTAGACCCCTGAGAGACTCTATGCATTAGAACCACCTATCTTCTTGGAATATTCTCCCTGGACTGTGGCAGGAGTGAGGAAATCCTATTTTACTGCATTTCGGTTTTATGTTTTGTTTTTTTTTTTTTTGAGACACAAACTAGTGTTAGCATAATACAATATAAAAAGTCTTCAGAGAAACCCTGAACAGACCAATAACAAGCAGCAAGACTGAAATGGTAATTTTAAAATTACCAAAAAAAAAAAAGTCCAGGACCACATGGATTCACAGCTGAATTCTATCAGACATTCAAAGAAGAATCGGTACCAATCCTATTGACACTATTCTACAAGATACAGAAAGAGGGAATCCTCCCTAAATCATTCTATGAAGTCAGTATCACCTTAATACCAAAACCAGGAAGGGACATAGAAAAAAAAGAAAACTACAGACCAATATCCCTGATGAACATAGATGCAAAAATCCTTGACAATATACTAGCTAAATGAATCCAATAGCATATCAAAAAGATAATCCACCACAATCAAGTGGGTTTTATACCAGGGATGCAGGGATGGTTTAACATACGCAAGTCAATATATGTGATACACCACATAAACAGAATTAAAAACAAAAATTACACGATCATCTCAATAGACACAGAAAAAGCATTTGCAGAATCCAGCATCCCTTCGTGATTAAAACCCTCAGCAAAATCGGCATACAAGGGACATACCTCAATGTAATAAAAACCATCTATGAAAAACCCACAGCCAACATAATACTGAATCGACAAAAGTTGAAAGCATTTCCGCTGAGAACTGGAACAAGACAAGGATGCCCACTCTCACCACTTCTATTCAATATAGTACTGGAAGTTCTAGCCAAAGCAATCAGACAAGAGAAAGAAATAAAGGGCATCCAAATCGGTATAGAGGAAGTCAAACTGTCACTGTTTGCTGATGATATAATTGTATACCTAGAAAACCCTAGAACCCTAAAGACTCCTCCAAAAAGCTCCTAGAACTGATAAATGAATTCAGCAAAGTTTCAGGATACAAAATTAATGTACATAAATCAGTAGCTCTGCTATATACCAACAGAGACCAAGCTGAGAATCAAATCAAGAACTCAACCCCTTTTATAATAGCTGCAAAACAAAAACTTAGAAATATACCTAACCAAAAAGGTAAAAGACCTCTACAAGGAAAACTACAAAATACTGCTGAAAGAAATCACAGATGTCACAAACAAATGGAAACACATCCCATGCTCTTGGATGGGCAGAATCAATATTGTGAAGATAACCATACTGCCAAAAGCAGTCTACAAATTCAGTGCAATTCCCATCATCAAAATACCACCATCATTCTTCACAAAACTAGAAAAAACAATCCTAAAATTCATATGAAACCAAAAAAGAGCCCACATAGCCAAAGCAAAACTAACCAAAAAGAACAAATCTGGAGGCATCACATTACCTGATTTCAAACTATACTATAAGGCCACAGTCACCAAAACAGCATGGTACTGTTATAAAAATAGGCACATAGACCAATGGAACAGAACAGAGAACCCAGAAATAAAGCCAAATACGTACAGCCAACTGATCTTCGACAAAGCAAACGAAAGCATAAAGTGGGGAAAGGACACCCTATTCAACAAATGGTGTTGGGATAATTGGCAAGCTATGTGTAGGAGAATGAAACTGGATCCTCATCTCTCACCTTATACAAAAATCAACTCAACGTGGATCAAGGACTTAAATCTAAGACCTGAAACTATAAAAATTCTAGAAGATAACATTGGAAAAACTCTTCTAGACATTGGCTTAGGCAAAGACTTCATGACCAAGAACCCAAAAGCAAATGGAACAAAAATAAAGATAAATAGCTGGGACTTAATTAAACTAAAGAGCTTTTGCAGAGCAAAAGGAACAGTCAGAGTGTACAGACAACCCACAGAGTGGGAGAAAATCTTCACAATCTATACATCTGACAAAGGACTAATATCCAGAATCTACAAGGAACTCAAACAACTTAGCAAGAAAAAAAACAAACAATCCCATCTAAAAGTGGGCTAACGACATGAATAGACAATTCTCAAAAGAAGATATACAAATGGCCAACAAACATGAAAAAAATGCTCAACATCACTAATGATCCGGGAAATGCAAATCAAAACCACAATGCGATATCAACTTACCCCTGCAAGAATGGCAATAATCAAAATATTAAAAAAAATAGATGTTGGCGTGGATGGGTGAAAAGGGAACATTTCTACACTGCTGGTAAGAATGTAAACTAGTACAACCACTATGGAAAACTGTGTGGAGATTCCTTAAAGAACTAAAAGTGGAACTACCATTGATCCAGCAATCCCACTACTGGGTATCTACCCAGAGGAAAAAGAAGTCATTATACAAAAAAGATACTTGCACACGCATGTTTATAGCAGCAAAATTTGCAATTGCAAAAATATGGGACCAGCCCAAATGCCCATCAATGAGTGGATAAAAAAACTGTGGTATATATATGTGGTAGAATACTACTCAACCATAAAAAGAAATGAACTAATGGCATCTGCAGCAACCTGGGTGGAATTGGAGACTATTATTCTAAGTGAAGAAACTCAGGAATGGAAAACCAAACATCATGTGTTCTCACCCATAAGTGGGAGCTAAGCTATGAGGATGCAAAGACATAAGAATGATACAATGGACTTTGGGGACTTGAGAGAAAGGGTGGAAGGGGTAAGGGATAAAAGGCTACAAATTGGGTTCAGTGTACACTGCTCGGCTGATGGGTGCACTGAAATCTCACAAATATCACCACTAAACAGCTTACTTATGTAACCAAATACCACCTGTTCCTCAAAAACCTAAGGAAAAAAATTAGAATACCAAAAAAATAAAGAAAGGAAAGGGGGAGTGCTTCACATGGGAAGTTGAAATTCTCCCCCAACTACAGAAATATAAAGCGCAAAAAAATAAGTAAATAAGAAGAGATAGAAAATTGGCACCAATGAATTCTACCTTGAAAATATATCTGCTTCATCAAAATCTTTAAAAACAAACAACAAAAAATAGTCTTCAGAGAATTGTACCTAAGTATCCTCTTGATACGTTTTTTATAAAATCAATTTTATTCAAATAACTTTCACTGAAACATTACATCAAAAAATGTAAACTGAAAACTAGTACCACATGCTATAGAGACTGTAAGCATGAAAATAATTACAATGGAAAATAGACAATTTTATTACATCCAAAAGATACATTCTGTAGTCTGTAAATGACTTTTAACCGGAGGCCTCTCCTCTCTGTTAAAATTGAACATTAAAAATACTCCAGCACAAAACTGTAGCTTATCTCCTTGAAATTGGAATGAATATAAGAGAATTGAAAAAAAGAATATTTTCTCATCATATGAGTCAAGATTCTTTGTCTCTATCCATTCAGCACCTAAAGCCATCCTGGGGAGAAGCAAAGATGCAACCAGTGAGATAAGTGGCATTGAATGTCTTAAGGGAAATTTCCATTAATATGGCACAATGAAGTACAGGACTGCAGCCTTCCTTTCATGTACCAAATCCCTATCACTTACAAAATAGGACTTTTTAAGGTTGCAAATAATGTTGGAAAATGAGACTAAATACTGCTGGTAGACCAGAAATTATGAGGAATACAAGAATGCCTGGAAGATGGAAAGCAGCAGATGGAGGAAATGAGGTTCAAAATGGCTCCCAAAGCGGAATGCTGTGACAGTGAAGTCTAAGGGCGCTCAAAACTCAGTGTAAGTGGATCCTGAAAGCTGGCTGGCTTTCTGAGAAAAGAGCAGCCAGGTGAGTCCACTCATCCTGGGTTTGTACCAGTGCCAGGAGCCCTGGCAACTGCCTTCAGGAAGGGGTACTGAGTGAGTGTGGGCATCTGAAACAGAAAGTCAGGGCAGTGCCATGGATGATAGAAACAATCAGAAAAACAGAAACCAGTCCACTGCACTCAACAGAACATCCCTTATTTCCCCTTAACCACAGGAGGCAACCTCATAAGCACTCTCAAATAAAAAGTTGTGCACAGAGCCAAGAATCATCAATGTATGAGAAACAACTTCATAAAGTAGACTCCAGATCCCAACAAACACTCAAGGAGATAAGAATTAAGTGGAGACTTTTTAAAAAGCATAATTAAGGGCCAGGCGTGGTGGCTCACGCCTATAATCCCAGCACTTCGGGAGGCCGAGTTGGGCAGATCACGAGGTCAGGAGTTCGCAACCAGCCTGGCCAACATGGTGAAACCCCGTCTCTACTAAAAATACAAAAATTAGCCAGGTACGGTGGCAGGCACCTGTAATCCCAAGTACTCGGAAGGCTGAGGCAGGAGAATCGCTTGAACCTGGGAGGCGGAGGTTGCAGTGAGCCGAGATCGTACCATTGCACTCCAGCCTGGGTGACAAGAGCGAAACTCCATCTCAAAAAAAAATAATAATAATTATAATAAAATAAAATAAAACTAAATAAATATAAAAATAAAAAGTATAATTAATATTCTCAGAGGAATATGAAAGGTCTAGTTACTTGTAAAATTTTTTAAAAATGTAAATTTGAACACTATCATGGTAGGCAGAGCAATAGCCTCAAAGATGTCCACTTCCTAATCCCCAGAACCTATAGCTATGTTACCTTACACAGCGAAAGGGAATGTGACGATGTGATTAAGTTACAGATTTTGAGATGGGGAGGTTACCCTGGGTTTATGTGGGTAGGCTCAGTATAATCACAAGGGTCCTTATAAGGCGGAAGCAGGAGAATCCAAGTCAGAGAAGGAGATCTGACAATGGAGGCAGGGAGATCTGAAGATGTCATGCCACCAGCTGGGAAGCTGGAGCAAGGGGCAATGAGGCAAGGACTGCAGGCAGCCTCTAGAAGGCAGGAGAGGCAAGAAAACAGATTCCACCCTGTGTGGAATGTGAACACCTTGATTTGAGGACTTCTGACCTCCAGAACTATAAAATAGATCATACATTGTGTTATTTTAGACCACACAGTTTGTGGTATTTCATTGCAGCATCAATAGAGAACTAATACAATTGGAGTAAGAAATTCAATAGATATGCTAAATAAATAACTGGATCAAAGAATAAAGTAAGAAGGTGAAATGTCCTCAGAGGGCAGAATAAAAAAACAGAGGTACAGAGAGCAAGGAGGAAAAGACTTTTTGTCCGAGGAAGGACAAAAAGTTTCAACCTCTAGTAGTTGTTTACAAGGGCAAAAAGAAAGGGAATAGAGGAGAAGGATATTTAAGATAGTAAAAAAAATAAATAAATAAATCAGTGGGGGTGCAGTGGCTCACGCCTATAATCCTAGCACTTTGGAGGCCGAGGTGGAAGGAATGTTGAGCCCAGGAGTTGGAGACCAGCCTGAGCAACATGGCAAAACCCCGTATCTTAAAACAAACAAACAAACAAACAAAAACACACTTTCCGTGTTTTAAAAAATGCAAGTAATCAGACTAAAAGGGTCAATGCGAATGAGGAATACGGAAGGGAATGTAGCCAACTTCCCATACTTCTGGATACAATTGCCAGGAGAAATAGACAAATCCATAACTATAATCAGAGATTTTAATACCCTCTGCCACAAAATTAATAGGAAAACATAGACCAAAAAATCAGCAAGAATATGGAAGACTTGAAGAACTCTATTAAATAATTTGACCTAATTGACATTTATAAAGCACCCTACCCAATAAGAATAGAATACACATTCTTTTCAAGTGTACACAGATCATTTACCAAGATGGATCATATTCTGGCCCATCAAGCAAGCTTCAAAAAATTTAAAAGGGTATGATTCATACAAAGTATCTTATTTGATAAAAAATGGAATTAAATAGGTATCTAAAACAGAAAGAGATCTGAAAAATATCCACATATGTGGAAATGATATAACACATTTCAGAAGAAACCAAGAGTTAAAGAGGTTATCAAAAGTAAAATTAGAAACAATTTTAAAGAGGATGAAAGGGAAAACTCAACACATCAAAATGCATGAGATGGTGCTCAAGTGGTACTTAGGGGGAAATTGATAGCGCTAAACACATATATCGGAAAAGGCGAAAGGACTCAATGACAACAGAGAAAACTCAATGAGACAGAGAGCTGGCTCTTTAAGATCAATAAAATTGATAAATCTATAGCTAAAATGATTAAGAAAAGAAAAAGACAAAAATTACCAATTTCTAAAATGATTGAGAGAAGTAAATCACTACAAATTCTATATATCTTAAAAGGATAATAACAGAATATTATGAACAACTTTATGCAATAAATTTGACAACTTAGATGAAAGGGATAAATTCCTTGAAAGACACCAACTTCTAAAGTTCACTCAGGAAGAAACAGATAACCTCAATTGCCTTCTATCTATAAAGACGTTGAATTTATAGCTTAAAGCCTTCATGCAGGAAAAAAAAAAAAAAACAAGGAGTAACTTTACAGAGAGCTGACAAATACTGCCTCAGCCAGCAGACCAAGATCAATATCAGCAGTGATTAATCTTGTTGATAGGGCATATTCTTTTTTTTTTTTTTTAACTTTTAGGTTCAGGGGTACATGCACAGGTTTTTTATATGAGTAAACAGTGTATCACAGGGATTTGGTGTGCAGATTATTTCGTCACTCAGGTGATCAAGCATAGTACAGGGTAGGTAGTTTTTCAATTCTCACCCTCCTCCCAACCTCCACCCTCAAGCAGGCCCCACTGGCTATTATTCCCTTCTTTGTGTCCATGTGTACTCAATGTTTAGCTCCCACTTACAAGTGAGAACATGCAGTATTTGGTTTTCTGTTCCTGAGTTAGTTCACTTAGGATCATGGTCTCCAGCTCCACCCATGTTGCTGCAAAGGACATGATCTCATTCTTTTTTATGGCCGTGTACTGTCCCATGGAATATATGTAGTACGTTTTCTTTATCCAGTCTGCCACCGATGGGCATTTAGTTTGATTCCACGCCTTTGCTATTGTGAATAGTGCTGCGATGAACATACACGTGTATGTGTCTTTATGGTAGAATGATTTATATTCCTTTGGGTATATATGCGGTAACGGGAATGCTGGGTCAAATGATAGTTCTGCTTTAAGTTGTCTGAGAAATTGCCAAACTTCCTTCCACAGTGGCTGAACTAATCTACATTGCCACCAGCAGTGTATAAGCTGTCTCATTACTCTGCAGCCTTGCCAGCCATCTATGATTTTTTGACTTTTTAATACCAGCCATTCTGACTGATGTGAGATGGTAGGTGATGGGATGAGAATGGCACTTTACCTCTGTGATCTTCTTCCCAGAAACTCATAACTCCAGTCTAACCATGTAAAGACATCAGACAAATCTCAACTGGGGGACATTCTACAAAATATGTAAACAGTACTCCCCAAAACTGTCAAGTTCATTAAAAACAAAGAAAGTCTTAGAAGCTGCCACAGCAAGAGAGGCCGAAGGAGATGTGAGGACTAAATGCAACGTGCTATTCTGGATAGGATCCTAGAACAGAAAAAGAACAGCAGGTAAAAACTAAGGAAATGTGAATGAAGTGTGGACTTTAGCTAATATAAATATATGTTCATTATATAAAGTAAATGTGCCATACTAATAAAATGTTAATATAGAAGAGTGGAGGAGTATATGGGAATGCCCTGTGCTATCGTCACAACTTTTCTGTAAGTCTAAAACTATTCTAAAATTTAAAATTAATTTAAAAAAACTTTCCCACAAAGAGTTTATCCTAGGGATGCAAGGTTGATTTAACTAACAATGTAATTCACCATATTAACAAACTAAAACTAAAAAATAAACGATCATCTCAACAGATACCAAAAAAAGGCATCTGACAAAATTCAAAGACTGTTTCTCATTAAAACTCTCTTCAAACTATTTATGACTAGAAGGGAACTCTCTCAATCTGATTTTTAAAATCTATGAAGGCCAGGCCTAGTGGCTCATGCCTGTAATCCCAACACTTTGGAAGGCCGAAGCAGGCGAATAGCTTGAGCCCAGAAGTTCATGACCAGCTTAGGCAACAGGGTGAATCCTCATCTCTACGAAAGATACAAAAATTAGCCAGGCTTGGTGGTGTGTGCCTATAGTCCCAGCTATGTGGGAGGCTAACGTGGGAGGATCTTTTGAGCCTGGCAGGTTGAGGTTGCAACAAGCTGCGACTGCGCCACTGCACTCCAGCCTGGGCAACAGGGCAAGACCCTGTCTCAAAAAGAAAAAAAAAAAATCTATGAAAAATCTACAGCTAAAATCATCCTTAATTATGAAGTATTGAATGCTTCTCCCCTAAAATCAGAGACAAAGCAAGGATGTCCACTCTAACCCTTTGTACTCAGCATGTTCTAGCAAGTGAAAAAAGGCAAGAAAAACAAAGGCATGCAGATATTGAGTAAAACTGTCTTCATTTATAGATGACGTGAACATCTATGTAGAAAAACTATGGAATCTATTAAAAAACTACTAGACCTAAGATGTAAATTTAGCAACATGGCAGGATACAAGATCAATATACAAAAATCAATGGAATATTATGAATGCTAGAAACAAAAATTCAGAAATGGAAATTTTATTAAAATGCTGTTTGCAATTGCATAAAGATATAAAATACTTAGAGATTGATGAAAAAATTTAAAAGACCTGTATATATTCTAAAAATAGTGAAACACTGCTGAGAGAAATTCAAGAAGACCTAAATAAATGGGAAATACAATAGATTGTGTTCAAGCCTGGAACACTCAATATTGTTAAGCTATCAATTCCTCTTAAATTGAGTTATAGATTCAACCCAATCCAAATAAAAATCTGAGCAGGATTTTTTTGAAACATTGAAAATTTGATCTCTAAAACTCACATGAAAATGCAAAGTAACTAGAATAGTCAAACAACTTTTAAAATGAAGACCAAAGTTAGAGGACTAACAGGGCCTGACCTCAAAACTTATAAAGCTACAGTCATCAAGACAACAATTGTACAAGAATAGAAATGCAATGATAGTGCACTATGTGATACTGCTGTGAATATTATTTCTGTGCTCATGACATTGTAAATAAGTGTTAGGCGATGTAAAAATGGAAGTTTTGGATGAGGCCCCAGAACTGTTTTTTTTTTGTTTGTTCTTTTTTATTAAACCGATGTGCAGAAGACAACTTATGCAGGATTTGGAAACAAACAAAAACAGAAGAGATGAGGGTAGCCAGTTTTATAACTTTTAATCCCAGCCTACATCTATGGCATAAATAGGTCAGAAGATGGAGATTAAAAAGGATTTTTAGAAAAATGTTGGAGAGAGTGTGGAGGAGGCAGGATGTGTTGTGATCTTTTCATTTCACACCAAATCAAGAGAGAAGAACTTTTAAAAGATTCCTCAGCGAGCTTAAAATACATTCTCTGGGGACTTAAGAACAGAAGGGGTAGATGGGGAAAGAGAAAAAGCCAAATACAACCTCTTCCCTGACACCAATGTTCCCACGGCAACAGGCCAGAGCTTGGGGAGGAGTGAAAGCCAAACTTTAAATCAAGATTATAGCTTTGACCATGACATGGGTCTTAGCATTTTGACTACTGCACGAGCCTGCACTTACACATTCAAGTGACTGGAGAACTTATGTGACCCAAGAGTAGTCAGAAAAGTCATGCAGCCTGCTCACATTTTCATCCGTGAGTAGGCAATTTAAAATAAGAGCAGGGAAAAAAGGGGAGGAGTGCATTTTAAGAGTCCCACATGATGGAAGTGATGATTACACAATGAATATTTATTTAACAAAAATAGTGATTATAAGTAAATTGGAAGGGTGAAGGGAGGGAGAAGTCTATGGAAGACCAAGGGTTAGGAAGCTAAGCCATTATCTTCCATATCAGGAAATCAATACATTTATCCAAACTGAAGAATCAGAGTAAAAAAAGAAATAGTAAAAAACAAGCACCATGAAGTTAAGTACCAAATAAATATGTAAAAGAGTTGAAAGTGTTTCCTCTGAGAGCAGAAAATAAGCACTGGGAAAGGAGTTGATGGGGAAACTGCCATTTCTCACGAAAAAGCTTGCACCATGTTTTTTTTAAAAATGTATACACATGGCCCGGCCTGGTGGCTCACAGCTGTAATCCCAGCACTTTGGGAGGCCAAGGCGGGCGGATCACAAGGTCAGGAGATCAACACCGCAGTGAAACCCCGTCCCTATTAAAAATACAAAAAATTAGCCAGGCACGGTATCGGGCGCCTGTAGTCTCAGCTACTCGGGGGGCCGAGGCAGGAGAATGGCCTGAACCCAGGAGGCGGAGCTTGCAGTGAGCCGAGATGGCGCCACTGCACTCCAGCCTGGGTGACAGAGCAAGACTTTGTCTCAAAAAAATAAAAATAAATAAAATAAAAAATAAAAAAATGTATACACATATACTCTGATAATTTGTAGTTTTAATAATGAGAAAATTCATGGGGCCTGCCCATGTTTTCACACAGAGGTAGAGGTAACTACATTTGCCTTTTTAAAACCACATACGTATATTACCATTTTCTTTTTAAACTACATACACATATTACTCTGATAATTTTTGTTTTTAAATGAAAAAAAAAAACCTTTAAGGATAGCCATAAGGTTGGAAGAAAATTCACACTGTGCAGCTTATATGAGCAATGTGTGTTTGAAAGGGCAATTGGACATCCATAGGCAAAATAAATGACTTAAGTCTCACATTTATACAAAATTAACACAAAGTGGACTTAAGAAAAAACATAGGAGAGGCCGGGTATGGTAGCTCAACACCTGTAATCCCAGCACTTTGGGAGGCTGAGGCAGCCAGATCATTTGAGGTCAGGAGTTCGAGACCAGCCTGGCCAACACAGTGAAACCCCATCTCTACTAAAAATACAAAAATTAGCTGGGCATTGTGGTGTGTGTCTGTAGTCCCAGCTACTCAGGAGGCTGAGGCAGGAGAATTGCTTGAACCTGGGAGGCGGAGGTTGCAGTGAGCCGAGATTGCACCACTCTACTCCAGCCTGGGCTACAGAGTGAGACTCTGTCTCAAAAAAAAGAAAAAGAAAAGAAAATATTTATTATTTAGGGCTAGGCAAAGAATTCCTAGACTTCACACAATCTATAAAACTAAACATGAATACATTGGACTTCATAAGAATTAAAAATTTTGATCTGTGAAAGACCCTATTAAGAGGATTAAAAGATAAGCTACAGAGCGAGAGAATATATTTGCAAATCACATATATAGAAAGAACCTGTATTGAGAATAAATCAAGCATTCTCAAGACTCAACAGTAAAAATGTAAACAATCCAATTAGAAAATGGACAAAAGACATGAAGAAACATTTCACCAAAGAGGATACACAGATGGCAAATAAACACATGAAAAGATATTCAACATCATTAGTCACTAAGGAAATGCAAATTAAACCCACAGTAAGATTAATTACACACCTATCAAAGTGGCTAAAATAAAAAACAGTGACAACAGCAAATGCTGGCAGGGATGTGGAGAAACTAGATCACTAATATATTGCTGGTGGGGATGTGAAATGGTAGCACAACTCTGAAAGATAGTTTGGGAATTTCTTTTCATTTAGAAAAATAAATCCTTATGATAAAGATCTAAATATTAAGAAAAGATTATTCAAAGTAGTAGAAAACTGTAGAAGAATAACTTCAGGGATAGGAAGACTTTTCACAACAGGGCACAAAATGTAATCATGACAGGGCACAAAATGTAAAGTCACAAGCAAAAGACAGACACATTTGACTACATCAAAATAAAAGCTTCTGTATACTCAAAGCAAAACTAAACAAAGCAAACAACAGCAAAAACAACAAAGGGACAAGGCACTCCAAAAACAAAGTTTAAAGATAAATGACAAACTAGGAAAAAAATTATTAATATCCTCATATGGAAAGAGCTCCTATAAAACAATAAGACAAAGCAAACTACTCCCAAAAAACACAAATAAATGACATAAACAGACAATTCAGACATAAGGAAATACAAATTAAAATATAGAAAAGAAAGTTCACCCTCACTAATAATCATGAAAATGCAAATTAAGACTGGATACCATTTTTTTCTCATGAGTGCTTGGCAGAAATGGAAGTCTACTGGCATGGGTGTGGGGAAGCAGGTGTTCATGCTTTAATAGTAATGTAGCCAGCACAGTGATAAAGGATACTCACTGTAGCAAATAACTGGAAAAAACCTTAACGTCCACCAATAGGGAAATGGTATAATAGAAAACTATGAAGCTGTTAAAACAGTGGGATAGATCTATATGCATGATATGGAAATAACTCGAAGAAACAGTGATACATTTTAAAAAGCAAACTGCCAAACAATATGCCTAGTATAATCTCGCATTTAAAAAACAGAAAAAAGGCTGGGTACAGTGGCTCATGCCTATAATCCCAGCACTTCAGAAGGCCGAGGCAGAAGGATTGCTTGAGCCCAGGAGTTGCAGGCCAGCCTGGGCAACAAAGTAAGACCTTGTCTCTACAAAAAATAAAAAAATTTGCCTGGCAGGGTCACATACACCTGTAGTTCCAGCTACATGGAAGGCTGAGGCAGGAGGATTGCTTGAGCCCAGGAGGTCAAGGCTGCACCGAGCCATGTTCATGCCATTGCACTACAGCCTGGGTGACAGAGCAAGACTTTGTCTCAAAAAAGAAAAAAAGAAAAAACAGAAAAAAATCCAAAACGCTGTTTATGTGTATATTTATGTACCTCAATAGATATGATAATAGTTATACCAAATTTTTTTAACAGTGGCTACATCTAGGAAGCGAACTGCGATGGTGTAGGTGATCACAAGAGACTATAGAATGACTTATACCATTAAATTTTTTTTTCTGTTTGATTATTTTACCAATTTTTTTCTGTTTGATTATTTTACTAAAAGACACATTTGCATCACTTGTTTAATAAAAAATAACGATGCAGCACTTAAGATAGTATCTAGCATATAGCAGTTGCTCAAAAATGCTAATTTCAACTTAAAAATAAATTAAGAAAATATTTTCAAAGAGTTAAAAAAATAAAGGATGATGTAGCCATAATGGTTCTATGGCCAAGGTTCTAAATGCTACATTATATAAGTGATAGAATTCTTCCCCAGGGAACAGAAAAAAGGGGCACGTTTAGGGGAAAAGGGAATTTACCAAACAACCAAAGAAAGATATCCAGGGTCTGTGTGTATTCACTGACCCAGAAACAAGCAGTAAATAAGTGTTTCTAGAAGTGCTTTACTAAAGGCACACTTAGCATATTAGAATGGTCAACTTACCTGTCGTCTTCACTACAGAGGTGGTGGAAACTCCATTGAGCTCACTAGAACTCCTTTTCACAGGCCTTGGCTTGTATTCTCGTCTGGGGACACTGGATGCAGCTGATATTCTGTAACACACATCGTAAGATGAGCCAGACATCTGATGTTGAAAGCTTTCCAAACACACATCCTCTCTGCCTTGTTGAGCACAGGAACTTAGGTTACAGCCAGTGGTCATGAAAGGGACGATTTTTACACACTGACTCTTGAGTAGCCCGAAGTGATGGAGGTGATATCACAAATGCAGTTTTTCAACTCCCTATTTGAGCTTGTGAGTGAAATTCATCTTGAAGAAGACTAATTGGGCCAGCCATGGTGGCTCATGCCTGTAATCCCAGCACTTTGGGAGGCCAAGGTGCTCACCTGAGGTCAGGAGTTCGAGATCAGCCTGGCCAACATGGTGAAACCCCATCTCTACGAAAAATACAAAAATTAGCCAGGCATGGTGGTGGGCGCCTGTAATCCCAGCTACTCGGGAGGCTTAGGCAGGAGAATCTCTTGAAACTGGAAGGTGGAGGCTGCAGTGAGCAGAGGTTACGGTGAGCCAAGATGGCGCCACTGCACTCCAGCCTGGGCAACAGAGCACGACTCCATCTCAAAACAAAACAAAACAAAACAAAAGACTAATTTTCTTCATCAAGTCTCTGAGGCATCCAGCAAGTGCCTGGGACGCGGTCGGCACCCAGTGATGGGAGCTGCCTTCTCCCTCACTCTACTCTTATAGATTATGATAGAATTATGAAAATACACTCCTGTCAGTAACAGGTAAACTATCTGCCTGCAGAAGTGGATGCTTCAGGGACTGAACACATCTTTGTCTTCCCTAGGTAACTACGTCATTGATTTAAGTAAAAATCCCTCCAAATTTATGCATTACCATAATCCTGTGTAAAACAATTTTCTGTTATCAAACCTAATTTAAAATATTTTAATAAACAGGGTTGCCATGCAGACTATATATAATATTACTAATTTTCAGAAAAGTATAGACTACATCTATGATTAAATTCACAAGGAATGCAGAAACCTTTCTTTGATTGTTCAGAAGATATTTTTGACTCTTTCAATACCTGTCAATATTATGAACACAGCCTGAAATTTGTCAATATTTTGACTCTTTCAATACTAGTCAATATTATGAACATATCCTGAAATTCGTACTGGTGAAGTGAAGGCACTACCTTTTTTTTTTTTTTTTTTTTTTACAGATATTTACATATTTTCCATACAGCATCTCACTTTTTTCCATAGCTCTGGATGTTTTCCATCCCTTTGTGAATGGGGAGTTAAACTCTCATCAAATCAGCAATGAAGCCAGGGTAGTTCTGTAGGGGTTGATGTCCCAGGTGGGAGAGCAACTTGGTTAGTTGCCCTAAACACGGGTCACAAAAAAAAGGGATTTAATGAAAAGAAAAAGGAGAAAAGCTGCCAGGTCCCTTTTCCCAGTTCTATCCTACTGGCCAAAGCCAGTACTTATTATCTCAGTCCCATCCCACATCCAACCATGAAAGCCAGTGAAAGAAAATTCAAAACAGAATGAGGCAGGGGAAGGGGGAGATGGAGAGATGGAGAGACAGACAGATGGATTTCAATAGATGTTACCTCCGCAGCCCTTGGCTTGTAAGAAACGTGGAGGTGCTTACCGCATCTGTAGCTTGCTCTGCAGCTCCTGCAGAATCTCTGTGGACTGTCTGTGATAGTCTAATGCTGCCTCTATGAACACAGCCAACTGGCTGACTTGTTCTACCTGCAGCAGAAGTGCAAAATTATTCCATGGAGGCCCGAGCCTGTGTAATGTCCAGAGAGAGAGGAGACCAGCAGCAAAGACCTAGCTTTGCAGGGAAGACCAGTGTCTGCCTTGGTCCATTTCATTTAATTTCATGTAGGAGCTCTGTATAATAATCATACAGGTCATGGTATGGAGCTATAAATGCTGGAAAAACATGTTCAAATTTATTTGTGATTATGAATTTGATTTAACTCAATAAAATGCCTGTTTTTCCAATTAGATGATGATTTTTCTCAGCAGATTTTCTATGCTATAAAGCTCATGGATCTGAAAACAGAGAGATAAAGCTCTTCCAGTTACAAACGAAGCCAACATTTAGCAAAAGAACTGCCTACTTTGTCAAGTGTCTCAACACGCACTTTCTAGCTAAGCCAAATCAAGACATTAAGTACATTAAACAGTTAAGAACTGTAAATGAAACAGATAAGAAAGGGGGCCAGGGAGCAACATGTGAACTGGGGCAAAGATTTCCCTGTCCCCTCTATGCGTTTTGTTGCTATCCACTCAACATATTTTCCCTGAAACATAGAGCTAAAGGGAATGAACTATAAAGACACTGGCATCTCTGTTTCCCACAAATCAAGACATTCATGAAATTAATGACTAACTTACAATGAATTTTTTAGAGCTGTGTCTCATAAGGAAAAACCTGGATGATATGGGGCTGTATAATTTGAGGAAAAGCAATCTAAGGAAGGCCTGAGAGCTTTCCTGCTCCCCCACGTGTCTGAGGGGCTGCTACAGGAAAGAGATTAATTAAGCTTATTTCTGAAAGCCCCAGAGGCAAGCTCCAGAGGGTTGAGGTGATGGGCCTCCCCCAGCAAGAATCCAATCAACTCTAGAGCTGGACAAAGACACAAATCAAAATCAATCCTACACTTCCCAGGCTTCCCCAAAGCCTATGCATCATTTCCATACTTCATTTTCTACTCAGCTTTAGGGCAAAGTCTGCCTGCTGATTCATTTATGCAATCTCACCCTGCCTAACCAACCATGGACTTAGCCTTCAAAGATCCAAGCTACTTTCATTTGTAGTTGCAAATCATTCTTTAGTTGCCTGTACTTAAATTTTTCTTACTCACTTATACTATTTTAAACACGGGCTCAATATGCATGTAAGAGACACATTGAATTCCATGTGTGCCAAGCTGTGATCAGCATCCGAACAATGAAATCCTGTCGGGTTTCATTTACTTTACCATGCTCTGTGGCTGGAAAAGCAACAAGCCTAGCCTTAAATTTCCAAAAACCCAATAAACAAAACAAAGACAGCCTGGCCCCTACTAAATCCTAAGGATTTCTTAAATTTCATCTCTTTGGCTTTTACACGTACTTTTAAATAAGTCCAGGGCCATGGCCTAGCACGATCGTAGTAGAATTTGTTACAGAAACAATTTTTCTTCCTTACAGTGCTAGAGTGGTGTGCTTGGCAAAATCTATGCTATGCCTCTCTGCCTTTAGTAAAATTTATTTGCCCTGTCTTATTACCCACTTTAAAAAATGCTTGCATTTTATAATTTTTAAAGAAATAGTGAAAGATAGCTAAATTAATATTTCTTGAAACATATTTGGGGTTGGGGAACAGGAAGGGGGCAAGGGGATTACCAGCTATCCTCCCTGTCGTGGCTAAAACACAAGGTGATGTAATCTAGAGATGCATTCGTAACTGCTCATTGGGTGGCTGACTTTGGGAAGGAAATGAATCCTGAAAACCCTTAAACCTTGGGAAACAATGGCAGCACTGCCCAATGCTTGCACCTAGCAGGTGCTCAGTACAAGTCCTGAAGGGCTGGCTACTAGGCTGTAAGTCTCTTGTTGACAGTAAAGACCAGGTGTGCTACGATAGATTATTTTCCTCTTGATTTCAGAAAATTGAAGCTTCCAGCTGTCCCCCAGGTCATGAGCATTGAGCTGTGTGCTGGGGACCATGGGGACCAACACAGGTACATTCAGCTTCCTGAACCACGATTAGAAATAAATACCTAGACAGGCAGAACCAAGATAAAGCAACAAACTCAGGCTTAGCAAGAGCCAAAACCTGACCAAAAGGTAAAACATTTCTTCCATTGTTGGAATTTCAGCAGTCCATCTGTTGAATCAGAGAAAGTCACCTGGGGTGGGAAGAAAGGTTTAATTCCACTTCCGGGTTGAGACCTGGGCTGACACTGTGCTGGTGCCATCTTGAGAGCAAAGTGTGACCTCACCCATGAAAATGTTCACGTGATATACGCCAAGGAACTGGATTTCCAGAGAATCCACTCCCTTTTCTGAAAGTGAAGCACTCTAGCTCCTACAGATGGGCTCACACTCAGCTGATGTTTGAAGTGAGAAACTCATAATGCAAGCTGACTTCCATGTAGGTTAGAGGTCAAGGAGGCACAGGCCTCGGTGGTTGACAAATGTGTGAAGTGAGGGCTGTGAAGAAGCAACTTGGGAGACACACAGAACCATAAAACCAGAGGGGGCCTGAGGTAGACAGAATCATGGAACCTGCAAAGATGTCCAAATATTAATTCCCCAAACCTGCAAATATGTTACTTTACATAGCAAAAGGGACTTTGCGGTTATGATTGAGTTAAGGATCTTAACATGAAGAGATTATTTTGGAACGTCTGAATGGCTCAATGTAATCACGAGGTCCTTTAAGGGGGAGACAGGAGTGCCAAGGTCAGAGAAGATATGACAATGGAAGCAGAGGTCAGAATGAGATACGTGAAGATGCTGTGCCGCTGGCTGTGAAGAGGGAGGAAGCGAAGAATGAGCCAAGAAATGCAGGTGGCCTGTAGAAGCTGGAAAAGGCAAAGAAGCAGCTTCTTCCTCAAGAGCCTCCAGAACAAACATGGCCCTACCCACACCTTGATTTTAGGACTCTAGGCTGGAAGACAATAAATGTGTGTTGCTTTAAGCTACAGTTTGTGGTCATTTGTTATGGCCCCAATAGGAAACTGATACAGAGCTGCTTTAGCCCATCCTCAAACTATGCAAAAACCTAACAATGAGATTAGTGCTGCCCAGGGACCCCCATTCATGGTGATGGGAGTTGTTGCCTGGAGACGCATAAGAACCAAGCTCAGGGGGTAATGGGCCCATCGTGGCTGGGCCTGGGGACTTCATTGTTGGTTTGGCTGTATCCCAGGGCTCCTCACTCTCTTCTGAGGGATAACCCCAAAACAGGAATTAACTCAATTTATCTCCCATGGCAGACTATACACAATAAACAATCCACAAGTGACACACGTGTGTCACCTGTGGATGCATTTCATTCCAAACCTCTCTATAGCTGGAAACCAATGGATGATTAGCAGCATATATGGCCGTTGGGAGTATCTTAGTCCTGGGGATGGAAACAGAGAATAGATGTCCCCAACTACAATGGACTAAGGATACTAGAAGTTTCTAGGAGTTATGGAAACCCCAGGGACACTTGCATAAGATCTGAGCCATTGGCCTGGCCTTGTGAGCCAACTGCAAAAGGCTTAGGCTGTACCCAAAGGAAGAATGGCTCAAAGGACTGCATACTGTAACCAAGGCTGTCTTAGGCCAACTCTGCAAGAGGACTATGGAAACTGGGGTGCCTAGAAGGAGCAGGGCTGGGAACCCTCCTCCTCTGACCCTTTAGCAATCCCTTACCAGGGGACTTGGTGAGCAGCCGGGTGAGTAAGCAGAGAGTAGCACACCCTGAAGCCCATGGCGAGGACAGAGAGAGAACTGTGATGTGAGTAGCTGATGCCTGTCCAGACGCCTGGGGTCTGCAAGTGTGTTTGGCATGCAGGAATAAAGAAGTGTACATCTTCAAAAGACGACAAGCCATTCTCTTTCACAACTGAAAAGGCACATTTCCCATAGAGGTCACCTTCAATTTACAGTGTAATAATACCAGTAATTTCTTGCTCTATCATATCAAAGACCTCTACTCTTTTTGGATTCCTCAGAGAAGCTGTGGAAAATTTCTCATGTATTTTGCAGTCTGGTCATAAACAGATGACTTTTCCAATGGGGCAAAAGCCTTTATTCAGAGTTTCTGAGAAAGTTTGAGTAAGGCAATTAAATTAATAACATGGATAATAATCCCTTACACTTTTATTCTCCACTTTATCCTTCTAAAGAATTTCTCAAATGCAGTTGTTAATTTGCCTGATACCAGTCAGGTGAAATGATTTTCCCAGAGGCTTAGCAGAAACAAAATCAGAAACAGAATTCAGGTATCTCACGCCTTGCTGGGTATGCTTTCTACAAGTTCAATACTTCCTAATGCATCTTATTCCACACATTACAGTCCTGAAACATTAGTAATAATATAATAATGTGACGGAATTCTGCGGTCAAATAAGTTTGGTAAACTGCCAACTGTATTTTCTGTTAGGAACCGCTTAGAGATTAATCTTTCATACTGTCAAATAAAGACTCTGAAAAGTCTTGTGATAAAGAAACTGTTTAGTTTTATTTAACCCAGGGTTTCCCAAACTTATGTGACCACAGAGACATTATTAATGCAAAACACACTAACATCCCATGGAATGGATTTTGGAAAATGCTACTCTAGACCAATGGAAAGACCTCAGGAATCTGGAATCTAGTAATTCCACTGGTCTTGGGAACCCATGAATGGAAGGAGGATCCCGTAGCTGGTGAATGTATACCAAGACAGCCAGTACTGCAGGTGCCTGGACTCACTGGACTGAAATAGGCATCTTCTATGGAATATCTCTGATTTCTGCTAATGTCAAAGACCTACATTTGCTACTAGTAAGTTGTGAGGAATAATGAGGAATAAACTTCTCTGCAAAGACAGAAGAGGTGACAGTGTGTTAACAAGCCTATGGGTGATATAGTGTTCCCAAGATACGGCAATGAAGGCTGGTAACCAGTCTGCTGACTTTCCCACACTTTCCTCCAAGAGGAGGGCTGCCCTGGTTACTTCTCAGGACCCTGCCAAGCCCAACTTGGCCTGGTGAGAAATCAGTCATGGGACTGCCCCTCTTGGATCCCTGGAAAGTTGGAGAACCAAAACACCTCCTGGCTTGCATCACTGCCTATAGAATAACGACACTGCTCAGCCTCAGGCAAGATGTGAAGAGATGCTCAATGTCTCTAATCCAGCTCCCATTCACAAGACAACCAAAGGCTACAGTGTGGGGCCGAAGGAGACTCTTCTTCATTCTCCCATTCCCAGTTCTGCCAAAAATAGATGAGAAAATAGATAAAACTTCTGCTTAGGAATGTTAGAGTTAGCATGTCATGTCTCTCTACCTCCCCTTCCTTTGGTGATTCATCTAACTGGTGAGATTACGGGAGTGGCACCCACTTGGCCCTAATAACCAGGGTACCTAGACACTGCAAGGAAAGGCAGTAGGGGCCTGGCTCTGGGCTCCGGATTTCTCAAGAAAGTGGGTTTGTGAAGTGGCCACAAGATCGTGTGTCATCTGGCTTTGTGGTCTCTGCACCCGCTCTCTCTGCAGGGGCTCCAAGGTCTAGACTTCAGGCCAGGAATAGCTCACTGGACTTCTACTGTGGGCCCAGGCCCAAGCTGCCCCT
Organism: Homo sapiens; assembly: GCF_000001405.40. Lineage (NCBI taxonomy): Eukaryota > Metazoa > Chordata > Mammalia > Primates > Hominidae > Homo > Homo sapiens. The sequence continues at coordinate 83,581,405 of NC_000015.10, read as the reverse complement.
TCCAACATGGCTTTCTAGAGAGCCCTGCTCTCTGAGCAAGGGGCTGGCATGTGATCTCATGTGGCTCCCTGGGTTTGTTTCTCAGTTGGGAGAATGCAGAGGTGAGGACAGTGAACAACCACACCCTGGAAATCCCTGCAAATGGCCTGTTGGCCAGAAAACCCTAGGAAGTACTACATCTGGAGACCCAGGAAAGACCAAGTCTGTTAACTCCAGTCAGGGTTCTCCTCACATCAGTCAGAGTTTTGGCAAACAGTTTCTTTTGAGGCATTCCCCGGTGAAGCTTTTATTGCGTCTTAGCCAGGATGATGAGACATGAGGGCTGGAGAAGGCACCAGCTCTTCCCCCAGGGTGAGATTTTGGTCTTTGAATTGTCAGTGCCAAACAGAGATGGACAGGTAGCACAAGAGCACCAAGCACACCCATCTCAGAGGATTTCCCTTCATTTGCTTCTCTGCTTATTCACTTTCTCTTTGGAGCGAATGCTTCTAAGTCCTCTCGCCAGGCCCTCCTCTTCCTCCTCTTGTGGATGAGGTTGGGGGTGCTCCCTAGTTAGTAGGATGGGTTGCTCTGCCTCAGTCACTGGCTCTGCAGGGTTGGGGCCAGCAAGGCTCCCACTCACCCAGCTTCAGCGTCTCAGGCTGTATCTGGGTGGTAAGACAGGCGGGCTCTCCCCTAGAGCTGGCTGTCATCCACCGAAGGTGCAAGGAGGGGAAAGTGCCAACAGGACTTTAGGCCCAGGCCATGTCCTTCAGCACAGTTGACCAGGAGGTCTGTATTTTACAATTTTCAAGCATTCTCATCAGTTAAAGAGATGTCCCTTGATTCCAATCCGGCTTTTTTGTCACTTCCTCCATTGGTCAGAACCCAAAGGGTGAATGGCTGTGACTGACATCCCCAAACTTCCCACCACAGTAACAGAAGCATGTCCCACTTGTGTCTGGAGGAAGTGTCAGGGCCTCTGCTGCCTGCCACCAGGCTTCCCTTGCAGCCACTCATTTGACAGTTTGTGCACCTTGTCTCCAGCAGGTACCAGATCAGGTAGAAACACCGTCCAATCCATCAGGCAGCAGCACCCAAAGACCCACTGTGTTTGACATGGCGATTAGAACAGGTCCCAGCCATCTTTAGTTTCTGCCAGGAAATCCAGCCCTCCCCAGCCATCCCGAAGCACAGCTCCTCATGCAGGACTTCCCCACCAGGAAAGGAAGCAACATGGCAACAAGAGGTTGAGTGACCAAGGTTGGACGTGCGGGTTGTGACTCACAGGGAGCAGGAAACCAGAGTCCCATGGGCTACAAGGCCACCAGCTCTGGCCTGGTTGTTGGAGATGGGCCAAACACAGGGCCAAGGGTTCAATGTATGCCCCATCAACCATGTATTGGCATTTTGTCTTTCTCCCAACTAGTCACATTCTCTGTTTATCCCCAAGCACCAGGCAGTATCGGCATTGGCATGTCAGGTCCAAGGAGTGACCAGCAGGAGATTTTTCTCTAGCTTGTCTGGTCAACAGGAGAGGATGGTCAGACCACCTGGCTATGGCACAGACACACTGACATGGAAAAGGATCAGGTGATTCCCTCTGATCTAACTGCTGTTGACCCCAAGAAGAGAGTAAGATGGGCTTCTGAAGCCTAAACAATCATCTCTGAGTCTCCTCAGCTATAAACCTGGGTAGGAGAAAAGGTAAACGCACATGCACCATGACAGGGACCATCAACAGCACCCCCTTAGCCTCTTTATCATGGGGTGTCAGTGAATGGTAGCTCTTGTCATTGTCATCATCATTATCACCACTGTCTTTATCATTATCACGATCACCACCATTACCGCAAGAAGCAGCAGCCAGAGCACACCTAGCAGCCATTGCAGCTACAGATGGCAGGAAGCAGGAAGCAGGAAGGAGGGAAGAGCCTAGTTCCCGGGCAGCCTGGGCGGCCCATCTCCGTTTCATAACGTTGGTCTCCTCCCACCTCAATGGCAGAAGTAGAAGCCAGACAACCCCTCCTTGTGAAGGTGAAGACCCCAGGATCCAGGCTGAGGGAGCAGCCCTGACTCCCCAGAGCTGAACAGGGGAAACCTCCACTCACCTGCAGGTCAATTTCCCACAGGAAGCCTTGGAGGAAACACTGCAACCAGGCCGGAGCAAGGCCAGCACCAGAGCCCCTGCGGAGCTTGGGCTAGGAACCAGCTCTTACTTCTGCTGGGGCAGGGTGGGAGGACTTAACCCATTTGTGACAGGCAGAATACGTGTTACTGTCAAAACATGGACAAATGATTGAGCTTTTATAATGAAGGGATCCTTTTTGACTTTTGACTGATACTGAGGGGGAAAACTGAGGTCTCTTGGGTCAACTGCTAAGGCCGGCGTGGCTCAGACAGGCTTCCCTCATGGAGCACTTCGCAAAAACCCATCATTGTGGTTCCCGCATGAAGGCAGTGAATGGAACAAATGGGTCAGACGGCGCATCTGACACACAAGACACAATCTCAGAGTTTAAGCCATGAATGGGCCTGGAGCCAGCAGGGCAACATTCCATATGGCCCAACAAGGAGTATCTGATACATGTCACACTTCAAATACATTTTCTAAAGACTTCAAAACAATACGGCAATCTGAAACAAAACAAAATCGCTGTTGCTTGGGGACAATTTCAAGAGGAAATTTATACATTTAAAGAAAAACAGAGATACCAAACTGTCACACCTCCTCCTATTTCCCAAAAAAAATGTAAAAAAAAAAAAAAATTAAAAGAAGAAACACAGTAGAGTGTACTTTTCAGGCCTCAGTGGTTTAATGGGCATGGGAAATTTCAAATTGGCATTTCCAGTTGGGAGAATAAATTCTCCAGGATGAATGTCTTGTTAGTATTGGACATAATTCCTCCATACATCACCATGGTAAATAAAGGGTGCTCAATGCATTTTGACTTGACTCAAAGGATGTAAGACCTCAGTGTACCTTTAAATAAACTGTTATAAGGACGACATGGTCTTGAGGATAAATAAACCTCCTGACTTGTTCCCACAGGTTTAAAAACTTAACAATTAGGTCCCATACTAATGCTGGGGCTGAGACAGCTCCTGGCATCGCTGAAGCCAGGCTGAGGGCAGGGGCTCCGGAGGGAGGCAGGTGGCTGACACCTCTTCCACTCAGGCAGTCAAAGTGCCAATGGCCCCTTAAACCCAAGGCCGAGCAGGGAGGCCACCCCCAGCTGCGTGTTGCCTGGTCAGGAGTCACCGTCCTCCTTAATTCCATTTCATTTGACTTTACTTGGACAAATCAAATCAAAGCAAATGGCAGGAACCACAGTACAATAGAAGATTGGCACTTCTGAGGGATAAGATCCGAGACCTTCACAATTCCCGAGCCCACAAGCACCACTATGGAACAGCTGAAAAATTTGGGTCATGCTTTTGTGTCCTCAATGTGGGCTATGACAGGTAAAGGCACCAGAGAGCTGGGGGATGACAGCGGCTGTCCGCCCCCCAGATAAGAGAGCTGTTCTCCCTTAACCATCTGCCTTGCCAAGTACTTTTCAGTCTCAGCAAAATGGCAAATTACTACATGACCTCGACTTTTCATTCTCCTGTGAAACCATAAATCCTATGGCCTCACATACAAAAGCCAGTCTACTTAGCAATCTTCAGAGACAACCTCTGAAGCAATCCTGGGATAAACAGGACTCCTCAAGATTTAAGATATTGAGTCAGGGGCTGGCGTGGTGGCTCACACCTGTAATCCCAGCACTTTGGGAGGCTGAGTCGGGTAGGTGGCTTGAGCCCAAGGGTTCATGATCAGCCTGGGCAACATGGCGAAACTCCCATCTTGACAAAAAATTATCAGGGTTTGGTGGCATGCCTGTGATCCCAGCTATCCAGGAGGCTGAGGTGGGAAGATCGCTTGAGCCTGGGAGGTCGAGGCTGCAGTGAGTCACAATCGTGCCACTGCACTCCAGCCTGGGCAACAGAGTGAGACCCTGTCTCCAAAAAAAGATGTGAGTCAGGGCTTGCTGGATGTCTGAAGCAATCAATCTCTCAGGCAGGAGATAGGAGAAAATTCTAGAAACTTGCATAACAACTAAGGCTTTAGAGCAAGTTTGTCCAACCTGTGGCCCACAAGCCACATGTGGCCCAGGATGGCTCTGAATGTGGCCCAACACAAACTCATAAACTTTCTTAAAACATTATGAGATTGGACGGGGGTGGTGGCTCACACCTTTAATCCCAGCACTTTGAGAGGCCCAGGCAGGCAGATCATGAGATCAGGAGATCGAGACCCTCCTGGCCAACATGGTGAAACCCTATCTCTACTAAAAATACAAAAATTAGCCGAGTGTGGTGGTGCGTGGCTGTAATCCTAGCTACTCAGAAGGCTGAGGCATGAGAATCACTTGAACCAAGGAGACGGAGGTTGTAGTGAGCCGAGACACTGCACTCCAGCCTGGTGACAGAGCGAGACAGCGTCTCAAAAAAAAAAAAAATTATGATTTTTTTTTTAAGCTCATCAGCTATTATTAGTATTAGTGTATTTTATGTGTGGCCCAGGGAAGCCAAAAGATTGGACACTCCTGCTTTAGAGTTTTTCAACATGCCGATCATAGTCATATATTCAATGTTTCATTCATTTACATTAAAATCTCCTATTTGGTTTAAATACTTACATCATTTTCTAAAAAGTTAAACATGCTTCTTTCAGCCAACTCCTTTGACTCTTCAAATTTTTCTACCGCTTGTCTGACTTCTTCGTCTGGTATCTTACCTACTCGTTTCTTTTTATAATCGTAATCCAGGCGGCGGCCTTCCAGCTTTTTCAGGTGATGCTAAAAAAAGAGAATGGAGTCCCTCAGAGAGGTGCTACATTCAAAACCTGGCACAAAAAATTATTTCTATTAAAATGGTCATTGCTTTTTCTCGGCCTAGATTCCAGAGGGCAGGAACCCACCTTACACTGCTGTTGGGAGCACCTCAGCACCTGATGGAGGCTCCCCTCACTTCAGGTGCTCCAGGAATATTTGTGGAATGAATGAATGAATGGACAGATCGGTGATAGAATGAATGAGTGTCTTTATGGAATGTAATGATGCAGTAGCCATGCTCAGATATTATTTTCCAACGTTCTTTATACGATCCCTCACTTCAGCCTTCTTAATGTCCAGATAATTTCTAACCAGGTTAACCAAACAAAACACAGTAGGAACATTTCTTTTGGTACTATTGTCAACTCCTGACTAAGTAGTAGACTATAAAATCACAAACTTCTACAATCCCTTAGAATATTAACGGATCTCCGTAAAGTTCCCAAACAATCAAGAAATAAGTTGCGTAAAACGCTGTTAATGAATGCAAAGGAGAGAGATTCACAGACAACCTCTGAAACAGTAAAATTTCTAAACAATATTATAACCGCTTTAACAAAATATAACAGTTAGAACTGTCCACTCATGGAACAGGCTGCCTTGCGTAGCAGTAGGTTTCCCATCACAGTTTGTGTCCAAGCAGAGAGACCCCGTGTCAGAAACAGTGCTGAGTGGGATAGCTATACAGGACAAGGGAGGGGTCCCTGGAGAGTTTATGGCTATAATCCTCGGAAATCAGATACCAGGCATCGAAAGTGTATGTAGAAACTGATCATCCCACTGAAGCATGGGGATAGCTCGCACTATTCATTTTAGCAGGAAGCACTGCTTCTAACTTCCATGACTCAGTGAAAAGAGCACACAAGACCCAGAGAGTCAGAAACATCTCTCTCTTTGCTCTGTGACTTTGGGCTGGTCCCTAATCCCTCTGTACCTCTACATGAACACCTGAAAGTCAGCCGTATGTCAAATGAACAGGCCCCTGACCCCTGATTTCTGAGCGACACAGAGCATAGCTGAGACTATGAAAGGCTTCCTAAACCTTGGACTCTTAACTTTCCATCATCCACATAATTTAAGTTTAGATTTACAGTTCTGTATCAAACAGCAGCTGAGTAACAAGATGGCATTTAGAAAACTATTTTGTTGCATAGAGAACTGCAACATTTCAGAATAAGTGTGTTTTACACATTTCACCCACTTACTACTCAGGACCACATATGTGTCTGTGGTTGGCCAGGTGGAGGAGCAATGCTGACTTTTCATATGACCTTCCTCCATGATGACAGCACAAGAAGAAATAAAACTTGCTATATGTCAGCAAAGGAGGCATTTGGTTTTACAACTGTGCATTTGGGGGAGATGTTTTGGCATCCCCAGAACCCAGACTGTCACTTCTCTAGAATCAACCATTCAAAAATAATTTGCAAAAACATCTCCTGTACCCCACCAACATATACACCTACTACGTACCCACAAAAATTAAAATTAAAAAAATAAAATAATGTGTGAGCACAAACCACGTGGGAGGCTTGTGACTACAAGGAACAAACCACGATCACTCACCCCGAGGAATGGACTGCCCAACATGAGCAAAAGGTAAGCAACGGTGCTCATGACACAGAGGCACAGAAGGGATACCCCACGAAGTCTAGCGAAAGAACAAACAGCTTCCCAAAGGAAAGCACATCCGAGCTGAGGGGTGAGGTGACAGCCAGGAGAAGGGGTGAAAGGACAAAGACAGCAAATAGCGAGAAAGCACAAAGCAAAACGTCACCAGGGAGCTGGAAATAATTCAGTGAGGCTGGGCAGAGTTCATGTGGGGAAGGGGTGGCAATAAGGCCACAGAGGAAAGGAGGGGCCAGGCTGTGAAGGGCTGAGGGTCTATATCTTCACCCCACTGTCAGTGGGCAGCCAGGAAGGTTTGCAGCTCAGAAAGGGTGCCCTGGCTGTGGGCTGGAGAATGGACAGGAGGGAGTGAGATGTGACACCAGGGGTCAAGGGCAGCTGTGCTGTGTGTAAATGTTAACAGGAAGAAGCCAACAGACAGAAAGGGAAAGAATGAAGATACACCAGAGAGGACGATGGATGTCACAACGGCCCTGAGGAGGTGAGAGGTGACAGACCCTGCGGCCCAGAGGAGGACTGGCTTGAGAGCAACAGGGACATGTTTCCCCTGAGATGGAAGAAGAGGATGGTATGAGTGTCGGGGCCAAGGGGTGTGCAGGTGGGGAATGGGATGTTTAGGGAGCTCCTGAATGGATGCTTTCATTTCTCACTCAAACTTCCTGAATTCTCCCTCATACCCTTTGCTTTCAGCAGAAATTCTAAATACATTGCCTGGACAGGCATCCAGGGCTTTCCGTGACTCTCAGCCTTTCCTCCCTTCATTGCACCCCCACCCCTACACACCCTATCCCCTGGCCATATCACACAACCGAGGTCCCCGAGCCTGCCTGCTCTCACAGCCCTGGCCCTCTGGTCAGCTTGTGCTGGATATTTTGCCCACCCCAGTCTCCCAGTCTGCATTAGCCAGCTTCTCCTCCTCTGAGAAGCCTTCCCTGACCCATCCAGGCTGAAAGAGGTGCTTCTCCTTCATGTCCCTGGGCTCATCTCTCCAACAACTGTCAAAGTGCATGGTATCTGTTTACTTGTCTCTCTACCCTACACCTGTGAGCTTCACAAGGGCATGCACCAGGTCTTGTTTAGCCACATATGGCCAGTGCCCACCACCACTGTAGCAGGGCAGAGCAGGCTATACACAGTTGATGGATGAATAAATAAATGAACAAAGGAAGAACCAATAATCTGACATCCATCAGTTCCTTCTCTGGCCCCTGGAATATGGAGCCACCTCAAGGCCCACGGTCCAAGCAGGGAAGGCCACCCAAGCTCACACATCCCACCAGCCTCATCTCTGTCACATAGGCTAGACCAGTGGGGGTTCACACTTCCCCCTCGAGTTCTGGAAAGGATGGGCTGGAACAGTGGTTTCTGAACATTAGCGTGCATCAGAATCACCTGGAGGACTTTATAAAACACAGACTTGCTGGGCTTCACCCATAAGATTTCTGATTCAGGAGATAAGGGATGGGGCCCAAGAATTTGCATTTCTCACAAGTGATGCTGATGTTGCTGGTCCAGGGACCACACTTTGAGAATCAATAGGTCTGAAGAAGGGAAAACAGGATATGCCCAAGGCTCAAATGACCTCCAAGCTGAGATCATGCTGAAGGCACCTGGAGGAACATCTTCTGTACATATCCATAAGACGGTGCTTGTACCTCCAGAGTGGAAGTCACTGGTGGGGTAGAAGTCTTGGGGCTGTTTTTGCACATCTACAAAAATGCCACCATGCAAGTGGCATGCAATTATCTCCAGGTACCTGAAAATTCCCATGCACGCCATTTTTAACAGTTTTCCAAATGAAAAATTCAATTTCTAGGTATTGATCTTCTTGAGAAGTAATGGAAAATAATGACCACCAGGGCAACGCATCAAAACATGCAACTATGGTACGATTTTGATAATAAGAAATCCACTATAAAGTTATGTAATTACTTTGTTTAGCCTGGCTTAGAGCTGGCTTCAACTAAATACAGAATTTCCAGCTGAAAGAACATGGCTTACATTCCCTCCCATTATCCTGCTTCATCTCCAGGGCAGATAGGACTAATGGATCCTGGCACTCTTTCCCAGTGAGCCCAGGAAAATAGAACTGAGTCATTTTTACCCTACCCACAAGCATCATAAGATGATGCTTTCAGTCTGCTGAAACGTTCTAGTGATTTTAAATATAAACATCATCTTATGTAGCAACAGGTATATTTATACCCTGGAAGACTTACCCCGATCTCTTTTAAATCTTTATCTTGTAGTAACTGAAGTGGATCAATAAAAGTTTGCTTTACATTAATATCAAGAGAGTCTTTCACCTCAGCCATTAGCTTCATGGATTCACCAACTTCTATCAATGCATTGCCTTGAATAGAAAACATAAATACAAAAGGTTCTTTGGGAACACTACTCCAGGTTAACAGTGCTATTTATTTCATTCTTTACCAAAAGTGTGTGGATGATGGTGTAGCAAGGTCCTTGCTCCGGGACCTCTGAATCCTGGATCAGAATGAAAAAGAAAAAGCAAGGCTTCCTATTTTCTGTATTTTCCTCTCTATGGTCTGCACTTTCACCACTACAGAAAATACAACTGAGGCTAGCAGACCGAAGTACTTACCATTTGGACCACTAGATGGGGATAAAGATCCTTTCTAAAAAACTGGTAATTTGGGAAACTGGCACGGAGGGTTCCTTAGAAGCTTGAGAATAAAATCTCTTTGTAAACAATGAAAGGATTCACTCATGGGGCTAAGTGTTAACCAGTAAAAATTACAATAGAAATAAACCAACAAAACATCTCAGCTTCTAGCCGTGGGATCTTCTCAAGGCTACTCCCCGTATCCTTCTAGAAGGTTCTAAGCCTCCCTGCCCTCTCTGATGTCAAAGAAAGCCTGCCAGTGTCACATGGGACATCCTGTCAGCAGGGTGGGGTGGGGGTCTGCTGGTGCGTTGGAGCCCAGGCCAGCCTTCCTGGCTCGGGTAGTGGCAGGTAGTTTTTCCTGGATTACAGTGTGCTATCTCAGTCCGGTTAATCGGCAGTAATTTGCCAGATTACTGCAAACCAGGTGCCCTCTAGTTCTCTGTACAATGAGGGTTGCAGGGTCTCTAGAAAACATCCCTGGGAAATGCTGCACTAGAATGAACTATTTTTCCTATATTTGGGTTTTTCCAAATTGATCTTGTAAAAAGATGGAGATTGGGTTGCTCCATTTCTAGGCTTGAAGAAGACCGTAAAGCCCAGCCTAAGTCTGACCTTTGAGTTGTTTCACCCACCAGGTGAGGGCATGGACAACTTAATTACCTGTAAAATAGAGATGGCAACATGTGCCTCACCTCCCTTAAAAAAAAAACAGAAAGATACTAAAGAGGACCTTGCAAAACAGAAGTAGGAACCGTTACTCTAAACTAAGGCTTCCCAGGACTCCATACGGACCCAGTGGTAGCTTCATTCCTCCTTGGAAGCTACATTTCCTTAGCTCAACTCTCCAAAGTGTGTCTAAATAATTCCTAAATGAAGACGAAATGTCCCTTCCTAGCCTGTGGACTCTTTCCTGCCCAAATGGTGAGAAATGGTATTGCCTGACCCCCTACACAGCCCCTCTGCCACCAGTGCCAGTGTCTCACAATGTCAGCTCATTTCGCCTTGACAGAAACATTTTCAAATACACTGTAGACTCCAAAGATGATGCTCTGAACATGGGCCGCCACCTCCCTGGAATCAACATTCCCTCTCCTTGCCTGAGACTGGCGCTGTCGAATTCCACGGGTGTGGGGCTCAGCCTCCACCCACTGAGGTTTCTGTACTGTAGGAGGTCCCAGTATGTGGCCCCCCAAAAGAAAACATCCAACGGCACAGCCTCTTCCTTGGAAGAGCAGAAATCCATCTGTTCCTGATGCCCTGCTGACATCAGCTCTCTTCCTCATCCCAAGTTTTTTTCGGTTGCCGAGCACCTGGGAAGCTACCAAATTGTCTGGCTGTCGCCAAGGCCAGATGCACGGCAGGAGTGTCCTTGGATTTCAAGGCCTGCCTGGCAGTTTCACCTGCTCCCTTCACTGATGTGCCTTCAGAGTAAGAAATAGGCCATCTTGTCCCCATTGGCCCTTAGAATAAAATAAAATTCACATTATACTGCTCTGAGGGATAATATTACCCTTTGTCACTAATTAATTCGTGTTTTAATGCTTGAGTTTTAACATTTTTTTCAAAAGATATTTCCTCCAATTTCCTAGAATGATTACTGTGGCCAAATATTTGATTTCTCAACTTCCATCTCTTCCATCTCCTGCCTTGTTACCACTATATGAATAGCAAATATGCCAAATTCTTTGGGAATACTTAATATATTAAATCCAATTCATCCTCAATTTAATGTATTAATTTAAATGAATCTCAATCAAAATTTAATGACTTTTTTAAATAAAAGGGACTTAAGTTTCACCTGGAAAAATAAAACCAGTAAGTGTGTCTGTGAACTTTTTGCAATACAATACCTAAATTTTTAGTAAATAATATATTAAAGTATGTTTTAAAACTTCAATACTTAAAACAATATGACACTGAATCAAAACAGGATACAGATCAAGAAACGGAAGAGAAAGACCATAAACAAATTTAATGTATAATAATTTAGCCTATAATAAAAGAATCATTTCAAATCATCAGGAGAAAGTTGGACTTTTCAACAGTACTGAAACAAGCTATTTATTTGTTAGAAAACAAAATTAGAACCCTATTGCACTGTAGCTCCAATAAATGCAGGAGCTTGGAAATTTAAAGGCAATAAAAGAAAATACAGGATTCAAAAACAAGTATAAATAAACGTTTATATCATTTGCCAGGGAGTGGGATGAAAAAGATTTTCTAAACATGATTCCAAAAAGCTAGAAACCATATAGGAAGACTAAAGAGCTTCAGTAAATAAAAAATAAAAATCTCTCTCCATTGAAATGACCTTCATATACAAGGTCTGAAGGCAAATGCTTACCTGGGACAAAGCTTCATCAACATACAAGACAGCCAATGAGCAAATATCCTGACCATTTAAAGAGCTCATGAGACAGGGGGGAAAAAATGGACCTCCTGATGCAAAAGCAGGCTAAGGACACAAACACACAATTCACAAAAACAATGACAAACACAAATAAAAATTCCACCTCACACGTGATCCAAAAGATGGAGTTAAAACAGCAATGAGATATCATTTTTGTATACTACATATCAAATGATCAGTTATTTAAAAGTAAACTAAAAAGATAATCTCTAGGGTTAGGAACTATGTAGAGAAATATACCCTCACTCACTCCTGGCAACAGTGTCAAATGAGTGTAACCCTTCTGAAGGGTAGGTTGGGAATATGCTTTCAAAACCTGAAAAATAAGCATACTCTTGACTCAGCAATTTTATACTAGACATGTTATCTAAATTATGTCAAAGAATATAATTTTGGATATCCCCAAAGATTTACCTATGAAAATGGTTATTGTAAATGCTATGTAAAATGTTTTTACATAAAGAAACATTTATTTAGTAAATGGGATTGACTGAACAAACTATGATACATGGAATATTATGTAGCCATTAAAAACAATATCATGGAAGATTAATTATTTTACGATATGGATCATTATATAGTCAGTGTTACCAAAGAGTATATGTACTATAGCCTTACTGTAGTTTTTAAAAGTACATATGAATACATATAAGAATAAACAAGGCATAAAAGATACACAACAAGCCAAGTGCAGTGGCTCACTCCTGTAATCCCAGCAGTTTGGGAGGCCGAGGCAGGCGGATCACTTGAGGTCAGGAGTTCAAAACCAGCCTGGCCAAAATGGCGAAACCCTGTCTCTATTTAAAATACAAAACATTAGTCAGGCATGGTGGCTTGAGCCTGTAATCCAGCTACTCGGGAGGCTAAGGCACGAGAATCGTTTGAACCTGGGAGGTGGAGGCTGCAGTGAGCCAAGATCGCGCCACTGCACTCCAGCCTGGGCATAGACTTTGTCTAAAAAAAAAAAAAAAAAAAAGATACACAACAGAGTTTAATTGGGCCTATCGGTGGATATGGGATTATGGGTGATGTTAGCATTTTTCTTTATTTTACTTACCTATGTTTTCTAAACCTCCTGCAATTAACATGTATTACTTTGGTAATATGGAAAAATAACAAAGGTTGTTAGACTGAAGGGTTTGTGTATAACCTAAAACCATACTGGAGGAGTTCTCAGCTCCCCCAGCTGATCTCTGAATAACTCACCAAAGGTGGAGTCTTCCCCGAGCTCCTTCCCGTATTTCAGCATACAGTCCCCCAGCAAGCCTTCCGTCTGCGGGTATCCTGTGGTCTTCACCTGCCCTCGGATCTTCGACACAGTGTTCAGCATTCCTAGCTTAGCTCTGTATGCTTAAAAACATTGTCATTTGTAATTCTTTAAAGTTACAAGGTGGAGTGACAGGTACATAGAATTTAATAAACGCAGCTGCCAAAACTGAGGTCACCTTAAACAAAATGCCAGAGACCTGAGGCCTGAAACAATTGTGTGTGAACTATTTAATTTTCTCAGGTAATTTTCTAGGTTCTTTACCAAGGTGGGTGCTAAGTGCACTGTTCCGCAGCCACGATGAACCATAGAAATGATGGTGCACATCGGCTGGGCGCAGTGGCTCACACCTGTAATCCCAACACTTTGGGAGGCCGAGGCCGGCAGATCACCTGAGGCCAGGAGTTCAAGACCAGCCTGACCAACATGGAGAAACCCTGTCTCTACTAAAAATACAAAAAATTAGCTGGGCGTGGTGGCACATGCCTGTAATCCTAGCTACTCGGGAGGCTGAGGCAGGAGAATTGCTTGAACCCGGGAGGCGGAGGTTGCAGTGAGCCAAGATCGCGCCATTGCACTCTAGCCTGGGGGACAAGAGCGAGACTTTGTCTCAAAAAAAAAAAAAAGAAAGAAAGAAAGAAAGAAAAAAAAAAAGAAATGATGGGGCACATTGCTGACTTGAAATAATAGTGACCAGGCTTTCCTGAGCACCACCCCTCGAGTGAGACCCTTTGGAAAGCTTGCAGTTGCTGACACGTGAAGTCAGACACTGACACCTGTGTGACACTGACATGCTTTTTGTTTGTTTGTTTAAATGTAAACAAAAATAGAATTGCCGAGGAGGATATTTCAAACAACCAACTGGTCATTAACACACACCACATGCGCGCGCACGCACACACACACACACTCTGCTCCCAAGGACTGATTGAGCCTAATGATTTTCAGTATTATGGCAGGCAGGTGCTGCTGTTTAGGAGGCAGAATCATAGGAGGGGACAGACCACCCCACCCCTAGTGAACACTAGCCTTGTGTGGCTGGTCCCAAGGTGCAGCTCAGCCTCTGCTCCCTAGGGAGGTGATGCGCATCACTGCGTCTTACCTTCCTTTCCTTCCTCTGACTCAGGCAATGAGTATTTACTCATTGTTGCACTGGGCCCTGTGCAACAACACACTGTGCTCATTACTGGGACTCCAGAGACAGGCTTTGCCCTCAAGGAGCTCAAAGTCTAGTTACTGGGAGGCAGAATATACAGGACATAATTATGAAAATAAAGTCCAGTGTGGTGCAGGGCAAGGGAAAGGCGGCAATATGCTGAAGAAAGATGGAAAGATGCCCTAAAAAGTACAGAGAATGGTGTCAGTAACGTGTAGAAGAGGGAATACTGTGGCATAATCAGTGGACAAGGAGTAGGCTGGTTTGACCTAAAATGCTATTAATACAGGACAAAGTGGGAGATAGCTATGGGAAAATGTGACTATGAATTGAACACCAAGCTAAGGATTTGAGATTTCATCCTGTAGGTGAGAGAGTGAATCACATACTAGTTTGTGGTATTTGAGATACTTTTAGATAGTCAAGAGATACACTTTTTTTCCTACTTTAATAATTTTGTACTATTTTTAATGTATTTTAAATCAATGCCTCCAAAACTTTAATGTGTATGTAAATAACCCAAGGATCTTGTTAAAATGTAGAGTGATTCCATCGGTCTGGGTTGAGCCTAATTCTGCATCTCCAGCAATAGAATGCACTGTGAGTAGTGACATTCCCGTGCCAGCTGTGAGTGCCACTCACATTCACCTGACATTCACAGTGCCAGCCTTTTTTGTTGTTGTTTTGAAACAACAACTGTTGCCCAGGCTGTAGTGCAGTGGTATGATCATGGCTCACTGTGGCCACAAACTCATGGGTTCAAGCGATCCTCCCACCTCAGCCTCCTGAGTAAAAATAGGACTACAGACGTGTTACCACACCTGGCTAATTTTGAAAATGTTTTGTAGACATAGAGTCTTGCTACATTGCCCAGGCTGGTCTTGAACTCTTGGCTTCAAGCAATCATCATGCCTTGGCCTCCCAAAGTGCTGGGATTACAGGCATAAGCCATTGTGCCTGGCCAGTGCCGGACTTTTGAACCTCACATTTATCCTCAAAGCATTTATCCTCCAGGTCCCCAAGCCCAAAGGCTTCACTCTCACACACTACACACACACACACACACACACACACACACACACACACACACTCTCTCTCTCTCTCTCTCTGCCCATCTTTCCCACTGTTGGAGGGGGATGTGGGATGCAGCAGGTATGTGGGTGAGAGCCATTAAACTGGATAAGAGGTTGCTAGGGCTGCCTCTTCTCTAGGAATAACCAGAGACCTCTAGCCAGTGGTGACACTTTTATTGTTGGCCAACACTTCCTTATCCCATTCAAGAGTCAGCTGGTTGAGGGTGAAGTATCTGTCTGATTTCATAGTGTACTCCAGCACCCCGAAATCCTCTAGTGCAGAGAAAGCACATATTAAATATTTGTTGACTGATATATCAGGAAAAGAAATTTGTGTGGCTGATTTCAATCACTGATGTGGCCAGGGAGGAGAAGATATATTTTTATGGTTTTCAAAGCTATTATCATCAATACAATTGTAAAGAACTTTAGACCTGCCTGGATACACCTGATAAAATTTATATTCTTAAATTTTTACTTTCTCAATTTTCAAATGGTTAGGTTTGTGCTGATTCCTACAGTCAAGGGAATCACAGGAACTCTACGCAGATAATAAATTCCTAAAAAGGAAAGGTGGCTTTAGAAATCCACAGAACTCAAAGCTTGGGCGCCCTCTATTGGTTCCTATAATTTACAACCTGGGAAAATCTCATCAATAGATGCTGCTTGGGGACCTAGAAACCCAGACCTTCAGTGGAGAAGCTGATGTGACACTGGATTTAAGCAGCCTTTCGTATTCACCACATCTTGTTTCTCCAGCATTTAAGCCACAAAGAGAAAGCTTTTTCAAATTAACATATACCTTTATGTATATAGTACACAAGGGCAGAATTTTTAAAAAAATTATAAAGAGGAAATAAGGAAGAAAATATTTGCCAAATGTTTAGTGGCTTTCTGAAGCAACTCATAAAACCTTTGCTCAGTGCTCTCTTGTTGCTATGACCAGCACTCCATTCGGATGATGTCAACTGAAATTCACAAAAATAGCTGTTCTCTTTCTCATCAGTAGGACCGAATGCAACTACCTTTGGTCACTGGAGACTCAGCTTTAAAAACTGAATTTCATTATTGGGACACAGACGACATTGTTTCTACATTATGTCAACTAAACACCAAGTAAACATGGGTTATTAGAGTCTGTGACAGCAAATGAACAAGAGAATATTTCAACTTTACCTGGATTTGGCTGAAGATATTCAGTGGTTTTTGAAAGAATTTCTGCAACAACTTTATTGGTAACATCTATTTTCTTAAAAGCAAAATTTAAAAAAAGTTAGTAAATGACAAACTCAATAAAATCACAAAAGAGCAAATAGAGGAGGAATTTTCATTAATTTAATTCTTCTAACACGATTATGATGATTTTAATCCAAATGAACGTTTTCAACATTTTTGGGAGAGGTGATATTTTCTCACTTTCTGATTTTTGGAACATCATTTCCTTCAAGTGATGTTGGAGAACTTTACTTTCCCTTTAAACATTAAAATGAATATTAAGGTAATATTTAGAAAATCTGGAAAAGTTATTATGCTCCACTAGATTATTAGATATACTTGGAAGTCTCTCAAAACTAACACTAGATATGAACCAAACTCTCCTTATCTGCTAGGTGAACTTGAATTTCTATACTTATATAAGGATGCCACAGTAATGATTCATATTAGCAACTGCCTCAGTAATCAACACTAAAAGAATCATAATCATTAGTATTATATTATAATACAATAAACACATTCATTTGTGCTATGGTCAGAAGATGTTAACATCAAAGTTTTCCCCAAACGTTCCCTGAAAGTTAACCCTTTCTGGTTAAGACTGAATCTTTCCTTCTGCAAAACCATTCCTGGACTTTCTGGTTGTTAGTTAACCAGAGAGTTAATATGGGAATAAACAATAAAGTTAAAATGCAAGTTGCAATAGCTTTATTTATACCATCAGTAGCCCAAAAGAAAAAGATCTCATTCATAAAAGCAATAAAAATGCAATAATGAAGAATAACTATTATGAGAAATTCACAACACCTATTTGAAAAACCACATTCTTAGATGGGAAAACTCAATTTTGTAAAGATATGCATTCTTCCCAAATTAACATGCAAAATTCATTCAAATCCCATCATAATTTCAATTTTTTCTTTTTTTTGTTAAAATTTGGCAAGCTGATAGTAAAGTGAGTCTTCATACTATATACATGATTAAAAATATCAACCTAAAAAAATCAGACTATAAAACGACTAACATACAGACAACAGTATTTTGAAATACTGGAGTGGGAAGAAACTTCTAACCAGGACCTGAAATTCAAATGTCATAAATAAAAAGACCAAAATTCTGACTCCGTAAAAACTTAAAAACTGAACATGAAAAGACATAGAGTATGTGAAGTTTGACAAAAGTGGCATAATATTCTAAACTCCCATTTAAACAAACAAGAAAGAAGGAAAAGGCTGGGCACGGTGGGACACACCTGTAATCCCAGCACTCTGGGAGGCTGAGGCAGGTGGATCACCTGAGGTCAGCAGTTCAAGACCAGGCTGGCCAATATGGTGAAATCCTATCTCTACAAAAATGCAAAAATTAGCCGGGCATGATGACGGGTGCCTATAATCCCAGCTATTTTGGAGGCTGAGGTGGGAGAATCGCTTGAACCTGGAAGGTGGAGGTTGCAGTGAGCCGAGATCACGCCACTACACTCCAGCCTGGGCAACAGAGCGAGACTCCATGTCTTAAAAAGAAAGAAGGAAAAGAGGAAAAACACAAGCTGCCTACAAAGATTTGAAAAAAATATTCAGAACTGTAAATAAAAAGGAGATGCTTTACATTCTCCAGATTGATAAAAACATTTTTAAAATCAGTTATACTCAATATCAGGTATTATATGGGTGTGGAGTAACACACAACAGGAATGCAAAATGATACGTTTTTGGAGATCAAGGGAGAAGTGCTTATTAATGGGCATATTAATAAACCAGCTATTATACTTCTAAGGATTTGTCCTTTTAGAAACACACGAGCAAATTGCAGTGAAGGAAAAACATGTTTGTTAGGCCATTTTATGTAATATTGAAAATGGAAATCAACAGGAGACTGATGGATAAATTATGAAACATCCAAGTAAAGGAATACTCTTTAATCATAAGGAAAAAAAATAAGGAAGATCGACATTCAAAGTACATACATAGAAAGCAAGCAAGCTGCAGAATGATTTATAATAGAAGACAAATCATTTTTGTAATTTAGAAAACTATGATCCTGCCAGGGTCACAAGTTTGCAACCAAGCAATCTTATCCAGCCTGAAATCGTATTTGTTCCCCTTAGGTAAATACATTAATTTGGGCTAAATAAATTAATCTGGAGCCCCAGGAAAGTTTTAAAAGACAGTACAGAAATGATAAAAAAGGAGTCAAACCTATATTACTGATACTTGTGTGCTGTGTGTGCAAGTGGGCATGTGAGTGTGCGTTTGGCCTAGTAACAAGTTTTGTGACTTTGAGCTCTCTTTGGTATGTTCAGCTATTTGCCAAGATTGTTGAAATGTTTAAGAGAATCTGATTAACTAAATATGTCTTATTAGTCACAAGAAATGTAAGGGCTTAGGAAAATGCTGTTAATAGATTTTATGTAAAGTTTGAGGGAGTCCTGTACCTTGCCTTTGTGATTATAGCTTGAAATGTCTAAGGGAATTTGCTTAATTATATAACTGGTGGTAAATATTTAAGGATTGAATCTGTTAAGCTTATGTGTTAATTAATGCAACCTCAAATGAAAATTAACTATAATGATTTTCATCATATAGCAAAATTACTAAATTTGGAAACAAGATTCATAAGTTCAGTTTAAAGCTTAAGAAAAATGAGGATTTTAGATTTATAATGTAACAAATTAGATATTAATTAAAATATAACTTAGAGTGCTCCCTTTGATATATACAACCCTTTTTGGACATGAAAAGCCACCACAAAGCTAAGAGTCATCTCTGAAAGATGATGATGAGAGGAATTAGAATGGGGATATTTTCTACTTCAGATCTTTTTTATATCTTTTGAAACAAAAAAGCCCAAGAAACAAATGACCAAAAACTTGCAGGTACCTTGTAGGCCCTGACATGCACATACTGGAGCTGCCTCCACACCAGCCCAAGCATCAAAACTAGAAATAAACCCTTTACAAATTGAAGAGTAAACATATTGGCTAATGTGGAGTCAAGATGAGCATTCAAAACAAAACAAAAAAACAACAACAAAAACTCATGTAGCTTAAAAACAAAATCTCCCTCCTAGAATAACTAGGGACACTATAGTGTGTGTGTGTGTGTGTGTGTGTGTGTGTGTGTGTGTGTGTGTGTGTGTGTTGTGTGTGTGTGTCTGTTCAAGTCAACCAAATGCTATGCAAATATCCTGCCAAACCATTAAGAAAAATAGAGGGAAGCAGAATGGTAAAAATTATTTTTTGTGAAGTCAACCTGGTATGACAGCATCTTGGTTAGTTAAGTCTGGAATTTCTGTTTAATGCTGGCACCCTGCCCATGAGGTGTCCCAAGGCCTGTGCCACTGACTCCCTTAGGCCCAGTCCCTGAGTGAGAGAGCTGCTAGCAGCTCTCATTTCTGACACTTATTTACAGCATTCTCTTTAAAAAATGCTATCAGTGGGCATATCCTCTTTCTTCTTCTTTATGTAATTTGTTTGTGTTTTTCCTTTTTCTCCCTCTTGGCCTCACTTGGTAGAGGTTTGTTGTCTTACAGCTTTTCTAAAGCTCTTGGCTTCATTGTTTCGATCTTTTGTGGTTATTGTTTTCTATTTTATTAATCTCTTTTTTTATCCATATTGATTTCTACCTTCTACCTAGAGTGATTTAATTTGCTGTTATTTTCCTAGCTTCTTGGATTGCATGATTTATTCATTTTCTCCCAACATTTATTTTCTTTAAATACATTTACAGTTTAGCCACATATCACAGGTTTTGACATACAGAATTGTCACTCATGCCTAAATAATGTCATTTTACTTTCCATTTCCTCTTTAAACTAAGAATTATTTTTACATATTTTTAAATTTCCAAACATCCAGAATTTAGAAGCTCTACTTTCCCTTATAATTCTTATGTTCTATGGAATCACTTTGGGAAATTTATCGAGTTTTTTTTTCTATAACCTAGTACATAATTGATAACCATATTTGTTCCAAAGGAATTTGAAAAATATGCACATTCTCCATTTGGGGAATGCAGATATCTATATTTATTTATAATCAAAGTTATTAATCATATTTTATGCAAATCCTCCATGAGCCTATTGATTATTGTCAGTTTAATCTATTATTTTATGAGAGAGGTATGTGAAGTCTACTTCTATTTTTATCAACTGTCTATGTATTTCTGACAGTTTCTACCTTAAAAATTCAGATGCTATGTTATGTAGTGCAGAATGGTTCATAACTATTATAATTTCCTGATAGACTACATTGACTGTATCTTTTTATAATTAAAAAGCTTTTTTAATTTAGTGCTTCTCTTGCATCAAATTTTATTTTGATTTTACTATTGTTCCTCTATTTTTATATGGTTAGCATTAATTATAGAATATTTTTTCCCATTACTTTCTCATTTCTGTATCATTTATTAGGTGGGTCTAATACCATCTAATGCATCTCTTCTGGAAAGTTTTAAAACTTCTGGTCATGTATTATATGTTTCCATGCTTTTCACTGCTGTAATAAAACAGATAATAGACTTTATATTTCTTCTGTAACTCACTGGGGTTTTTGGAGGTAAAAGGAGGTAAGCAAGAAGGATCTCAATCCATCAACCAAAACTAAAACTCTGGAAAAATGCTTTTAAATTTAACATTTCAACTGAATCATTTTGTTAGTAACAAAGCTATACATCACCTATTTGTATATTAAGAGTTTTTTTTAAGTAATTTAAGGTATGTCAATGGTGTGAACATGTTTCCATGGTTTTAAGGTTCAGAAATTAAGTTTTCTTTCAAAAGCAAAAACAAAATAAGCTTTTCTCCCTCAAGGCATTAACATTTCTAGACATTTAATAGTTCTCATCCAGAAAACAGAGAACTCCCTGGAAGATGAGCTGGCCAGAGCCAAGGTATCCTGGGGAGATACTCTCCCAGGCAGTGCGCAGCCTGGGGCTGGACTTCCTTCCCCAGCACCTGCTGACATCTCTGCTACCTACTGTATCTGCAGCCTTGATGTTACACCTGAGGGTGGATGCCTTGCTTCATTTCCTCCCTCTCTCCTCTGGGGTGGGGGGTCTAATTATTAAAACAAGGCTATGTTTAAAGGGCCCAGACAATGAGCAAAGAAACAGTATGTTGTTAATACTGGTGGTTCTAGTTCTGCCTCCACCTGAGCAACTCCACACAGCTGACTGGGAAACATGTTAAGGGACAGAGATGATACCATTTTTCTTTGGAGCATGTTACAATCATTTCTGTCTCAAGCCCGTCATATTTTTTGTAAGTTATTTCAAATACGTTAATGTTTGCATAATTCTCACAAAATCCATGTGAGACAAGCAGGGCACACTTGTCATCTCTGTATCAGTTCAAAAAGATGAATTCACTTATCCAAGTTCACACTCTGGTTCTACAGGCAGAACCAGGATAAAAGTTACTTGCTATGCAGCTCCTGCAACACATGGGAGCAGAGCCCAAGTCTTCCACACGGTAAATAAATCATTCTGCATTTCAAAAAATCTTGTCCCAGAAATACATTTTGATTCTCCAAAACATATACTACCAATTACTTTGGCCTTGCAGTAACTGCCAAGATTGCCCATCTTTTGCACATTCTGACTTCTGGCCACTAGAGGGTACCAGTTAGCCACATCGATCTCATTACTCGACCTGCCCAAACTGCATGTGGCTACAGGGGGAGGATCTGATTTGGGCTGGGACGTGGGAAAGTACTGCCTTGTAGATTGCATAATCCACACCTATATTTAAACATCCTAGATTTCCACTCGAATATCCTTTACAATAGCAGTATATCTCATATCACAATGAAAGTCAGTTTCTAATCAATTTACATATTAAAATGCTCTTACCCTTTCCATGTCAAGAAATTCATCGTCTAGTTTAGTTCCTTCAGCACCACTTATTTTTTCACTAAATAGCTGCAGAAATAAACATAAATAATTGCATTGTACAATGATTTCTTGTCACAGTTTTTTACCTAAATTATTAAAAACAGAAACAAAAAAACTTGGATTCAACTTGTTGGATTTTTTGAACTAACTCCTTTAAGAAAATTGTTGGAAGGGGTAACCATATCTAAAGGCACAGGAAGACATACATTTCTCATGCAGTCAACAGATATTTATTATGCACCTACTATGTGTAAAACACATGGTAAGTGCTGTAGGACATAGACAAGAGAGATACTTGTCATCAAGGAACACACAGTTCACCCAAAGAGTCAACACACAAACATTCAATTAAAAAACAAGAAAAGAACAATAAGAACCATTAAAAAATAATAGTACTAGAGACAAATTACTGTAAATGAACTAAGTGGTAGTCACTTCAGTGATGCACAGAATGGACTTTGAGAGCCCACGGCACTGGGAGTAGGTTCATGCGGGATGTGTTTCCTAGAAGATGTGGCATTTGAGCTGGCATTTTAAGGATAGAGAACATTTCATCGGGCGGCACTGAAGGAAAGGCCTTCTGGGATGAGGCATGGAAAAAAGAGCCAGGGGCAGGAATGGATAGGACAGGTTTTCTCAGCCTCGGCTTTATTGATATTTGTAGCAGATAATTATCTGTTGTGGGGGCTGTCCTGTGCACTGCAAGATGTTTAACAGCAACCCTGGTCTCTGCTTGCTAAAGGCCAGTACTACAAGCATGGACACACACACACATATACACACACACACACACACGGTTGTAACAACCAAAAATGTTGCCCAAGAGCTGAGGACAATTTGTGTATGGCCAATGTGCTAAGAAAAAAAAACAGCAATAAATTGTGTTTAACTGTGAAAACTAGTGCACAAGGAAGAATGGAGGAAAATAAAATCTGAAAGTTACGCAACGCCCAGAGCACAGGGATTCTCAAATGCCAAGCTAAAGAGTACGAGTGAGAGATCCCTAAAGAGTCTTCATCAAACACAGAGAAACCCTTTAGAAAAGCAAGTCTGGCACCAGTAGGGTTGGATTAAAGAACGAGGAAGACAAATTGGAAGAAGAAAATAAGTTCAATCATTTTCTTTAGCAAAACACATTAACATAATCTACGCCCTTAAAATAGTAATATGAATATGCAAATCCACAGTAAGGGAGGTGCCATCAATTAAAGGTGAAAAGATGGCAGGTTGTTTTAAATACAAGTGTAGTTACTACTACTATTACACATGCGGTATTACTATTTAATAGGAAAAATATAAGTGGAGATAGTATTTTACTTAAATTCGAAGTGTGAGAAGGAATTTCTTGAAGACAACAGATACAGAAGACTACAAAATGGCCAGGGTTCTCCATCCTCCCTGTCCTGCGTCTTTACAGTTCCTCCGAGCTAGAGTTGGAGTCTATCTTCCCACCTAGTGAATCTGGGCTGGGCTTGTGACTTGTTTTGACCCCACAGAAACAAGCCTAGCTAGGCAGGAAGAGATCTTGTGTGCTTCTACTCACTCTCTAGAAACACTGTTGCTACCCTGTGAACAAGCAAGCCCAGGCAAATTAACTGAATGGAGAGAAACAAGTGGCCCAGACACCCACCAAGGTACAACCAGTCCATCCCCAGAATCAGAGCCACCCAGCTGACCTGCAGGTGACTGCAGTAACGTGAGAGACCCCAGCTGAGATCAGCCCCATCTGCTGAGGCATGGGAACAGGAGTCCAATAAACGGTATTGCTTTAAACCACTGAATTTTGGAGTGGTTTGCCACATAATAGAAGTTATCTGGTACACTGAACAAGAATCCTTACTTTTCAGGCTGAGTACAGAAGTCAGAGAGAATTAACCTAATGTCTTGATACAAGGCATAACTTCCAATAGAAAAAATGAAAAATTTCATTTCCACACACCAAGCAGTGTTTTAACAGATGTGTCCATCAGTTAACTCTCCTAAACATTTTCATTGTTGTTGTTCAGTAGTGAAATCATCCAACATATTGGTTCTCAACTTTGGAGGTAATAGCCTGAGGATCTAAGGAAAGTTACACAATCTCTCCTGGGGTGGGGAGTGGCACCTCCACGTTTTGTTGCCATGGTAGAGTACAAAAGTGGCCACAGGCTTTGCAGCTCCTCTCATTAAGAAGTCTATTTTTCCACGCTTCGACTTGCTTTGGCCAATAGAAGAGTGTAAACCACACTGTATAGCTATAAATTCCAAATCAGTACTCACAAAGAGGCTCTACAGATACTTCTGCTCACTCTGTCAGGTCCGCTGTGACTGCTTCCACCTGACCAAGTCTGGGCTGCCTTGTTGGAGAATGAAAGACCACGTGGATCAGAGATCAGCCATCCCACCTGAGCAACCTCGGGCCATCAAGCCCTCAGCTCACCTGGCAGCTGACCGGCAACAGGTGAGTGAGCCCAGCAGCGATCAACCACACCAGCACATCCACCCACCCAGTGCTCCCAGCCCAAATTGCTGACCCACAGAATCATAAACTAAATGAACTTTTTTTTTTGTCTTAAGTCGCTGTGTTTTCGGATGGTGTGTTATATAGCAAAAGCTGACTGATACAGTGGCCTGCATTTCCTGTGACTATTGAAACCACAGAAGCCCACATGTAGATCCACGTTTTAAAATAACCATTTGAAAATCCCTTTGGCTTGGAGAGTTGGACCCGAAATCCCTTTAATCCGAACGAGTTCGCACTTGTTCAGGTTTTACTTGTTCTATTTTCAGAAACCAAAATGTCTAATAGAAGGAGTAGTGTTTCTACTTTCAAGAACAGAAACTAGTGACATGAATATATCTTGTTTGAAAAGACAACATATGGGATCATTTTCAACAGGAGTCACAGGTTAAGAGTCATGATCATTCGTTTCTGCTTTTCCTGAATTTCCCAGTGGTGTTTACTGTTTTGATACATTAAGTATAAATACACATATAGCATTAGCTGTTTAGGCCACGTAATTATATTTCAGAGGTCAGTCAATGAACAAATATTGTTTGTTGAGCATCTACTATGTGCAGGGACATGACTGGTACTTGGGATAGAAAGATAAAAAAAGATAGACGTGATTCCTACAGGGCACCTGGCCTCCTTCCAAGGTTACAAGGTTATTTCCTCTAGGTGCTGGAAGCTAAATATAAATACTCAAGCTTCTATTTCTGGTGAAGATGACTATTCAAATTCAACTCCGATGCACTCCCTATGCTCTGAATACAAATCAAGGATAGATTAAATATCAAAATATGCACTCTTTATGCCTTGAATACATAGCAAGGATAAATTAAATATCAAAAAAAGAAAACCAGAAAGATAAGCAATGCTCAAAAACAGAATAAACATTTTTGTGAATCTGAAAATGAACAGAAACACAACATGATGAACAAGGTTGAAGCCTCGGGCCTGCTGGGCTTCTTGCCTGCACACAGGCTATGACAGCCAGCAGTCTGGTTCCTGCTGAGTACAAAAGGATCTAAAAGTGCTCCATGAGACCAGAGTCTGGGTTCAAGTTCTGCTTACAGCTGGGGATGGAAAAGCAAATGAGGCTGGGAAAAAAAATTCAGATGTAAACCCCTGTCTGATGCTACCACATGTGGCAATCTGCAGGCCCAAGGAGACTGAAGAACAAAGAATCAGTCAAGTCACATCCCCACCCCCTCCAGCTCTGTGACTGGATCCAGATAGCCCCAATATCACCACAGAACAGAAACCACGGTTTTGTACTGGGGCCTTGGGAAGCTGGGTGGAAGAAGCCACAATCACTAGAGAGAAGTGAGCACAAGAAGTTGGAATTAAAATTCATCCTAGATCTAAATTCCAAGGCACATGAATAAAATATAACACCAAGAAAGAGAGCCGACAAAATCACATAACATAACATGAATTCACTTCTAGAGAAAACGGTTTTATGAAACAATATAGACTTTTTAATGTGTGTTTAGGATATTATTAAAATGATAGATAAAGGAATAACTTCTATTAATGAAGAGCAAACAATTATACAAAAGGGAAGAAATTTTCAAGATAGACATAAAACATTAGAAACAAAAAGTATTATATAGTCATAAAAATGAAAAACCCAATAGATGGGACAAACTCCAGCCTGGGCGCAATCAGGAAAGAACTGGTAAGCTGGAAAATATTAAGGAACTTAAAGAACATAAAATAAACAGAGATGAAGAGTTTTTTTAAGGAAATATCAGTTAATAGATATGAAGGATAAGTGAGAGATTCCAAGATATATCCAACAGGCACTCCAGAAAAAAACAACAGAATATAGGAGAATCAATATTTACAAGTAAAATGGCTCTTTTATCTTCTGTAATTGAAGGAAAATAGGAGTCTACAGTTTGGAAGCACACTCAAGTACCATGCAAGATGAATATTAATTCACACCCAGACGCAGCAAAACCTCAAAAATAAACAATCCTAAAACTATCGCAGGGGAAAAAACATCCAAAGCAACAATAAGATTGACAGCAGATTTCTCTTCTGCAACAGCAGATGCCAGGGACAATGAAGGAATGGCATCAAAGTGTTAAGAAGAAATCGGCTAGGCACGGGATTACAGATCATGCCTGTAATCCCAGCACTTTGGGAGGTTGAGGCGGGTGGATCACCTGAGGTCAGGTGTTCAAAACCAGCCTGGCCAACATGGTGAAACCCTGTCTCTACTAAAAATACAAAAATTAGCCGGGTGTGGTGGCGCAATAAAAATCTAGAATTTTCTGTCTCCCTAAACTGTTGTTTAAGAGCAAGGCTGGGTGCAGTGGCTCATGCCTGTAATCCCAACAGTTTGGGAGGCCGAAGTGGTGGATCACATGAGGTCAGGAGTTTGAGACCAGCCTGTCCAACATGGAGAAACCCCGTCTCTACTAAAAACACAAAATTAGCTGGGTGTGGTGGCGCATGCCTGTAATCCCAGCTACTCAGGAGGCTGAGGCAGGAGAATCGCTTGAACCCGGGAGGTAGACATTGCGGTGAGCCGGGATCGCGCCATTGCACTCCAGTCTGGGCAATAAGAGTGAAATTCCGTCTCAAAAAAAAAATCAGCTGGATGTGGTGGCACGTGCCTATAATCTCAGCCACTCAGAAGACTGAGGTGGGAGAATGGAAGAATCACTTGAACTCGGGAGGCAGAGGTTGCAATGAGCTGAGATCACACCACCGCACTCCAGCCTGAGTGACAAAGTGAGACTCTGTCTCAAAAAAAAAAAAAAAAAAGAGCGAGAGAAAGAAAATAAAGACATATTCAGACTTCACAGACTCAAATAACAGTGATGCTAAAGTATTACATCAAGGAAATAAAAACCGAACCAAGAGGGAAAGTATGGACCATAGGAAACAACGGTGAGAATAAAAATTGAGAAACTATGGTGGTAAATTTACCATTGAGTAAAGGCAAACAAACAAGCAAAAACCAATGTGTCTGAGTTTACACAAGGGCAAAATTAAAACCTTCAGCAATAATAACACAGAAATGGGGAAGGGTGTTGAGTGGATATTTCAAGCACACTAAGATTCATGTGTGTTCAGGAGGAGGTGAGAAATGGGTATAACTTTAGACATCATTACAATAATGCACAGCAGGTATCTGTGTTATATAACTAATGGTAACTCCTAAAAACACAAAACTATGATACCCATATAGAACTATGCATGTTATAACATAGTATCCATACCAGCACACTGTTAGAAAACCAGTATTTTTCAATCCAAAAGAAAACAAGGGAGAATAAAGGGAGAGGGAGGAAGAAGGAATGGCAAACAGAAACCACAAAATCAGATAGTAATAAGTCTAAATAGATCAGTAATGATCATCTATATAATTGGATTAAATTCAACATACTAAATAATAATAGAGTGAATTTTAACAATCTAGCTATATACATCTTCTAAGAGTCACAACTAAAACACAACACATAGAAAGACTGAAAAGACAAAATGTACATACTAGGAAAATGCTAATCAAAATAAAGCCTGCAGCAGTAATATCAGACAAGAGCTACCTGTCTTTGTTTTTTGTTTTTTTGAGACAGGGTCTCGCTTTGTTGCCCAGGCTGGAGTACAGTGGTGTGATCTCAGGAGTAGCTGAGACCACAGGTGCACAGCATCATGCCTGGCTCATTTTTGTATTTTTGTAGAGATGGGGTTTCTCTATGTTGCCCAGGCTGGTCTTGAGCTCCAAGGTTCAAGCGATCCTCCTGCCTCCACCTCCTAAAGTGCTGGGATTTCAGATATGAGCCACTGTGCCTGACCTAAGAAATACCTTCCTAAGGCAAAGCATTAATAGGAATAGAGACTCAATGTAATAATAAAAGGAGCAATCCACCAAAATTTTTATAATAATGATATTGTTTCCACTATTAGTATAACCTCCAAAAAATATAAAGCAAAACTGAAATAGTGAAACTGATAAACCCACAATTACAGCAGGAGATTTAACACAACTCCATCAGAAAACTGACATATCAAACATGATAAAAAATTGAAAAAGATATTGATTATCTGAATGACCAAAATAATAACCTTGGTCAACTATTATGCACATATACCTATATCCCCCAGCCAATAAATTTAAAAAATGTATATTCCTTGCAAGTACAGATAGAACATTACAAAAACTGACCATATATTATGTTGCTGCAAAATATTATAAGTAGTGGCAAAAACCACAATTACTTTTGCACCAACCTAATACTACGTAACAAAGTCAATCAATACCATATAGAGCATGTTTATTAGGTTTTGGGGTTTTTTAACCATAATGCAATTAAGTTAGGAACCAACAATAAAAATAAGTATATCAGCACAAAATTTTAAAATTCTGTCCTAAATAACAGATTAAAAAGAAAACCCCAATAGAAATTACCAAAAAATTTAACAACAATAAAAATATTATACATCAAAATCTGTGGTATGCAGCTAAAGCTGTATTCAAAAATCATTGTATAACCTTAAATACATTTCAAAGAACACCTCAATTTAATGTTTCAAACTGACACCACGTCATTCAATCTAATTTCTGAAACATCTAATATCTCAGGTTGGAAAGTCTACCAACTGTGCCAATTTGCTAGAGATGCAAAGATCAGTCACTCTCACAGGCCCACTGGAAAGCAGAAACACAAACAGCAATCCACAATGAGATCAATACTATTCTGTAATAGAGATGCAGAACTTGCCATTAAAACCCAGATGGAAGGAAGCAATTATATAAATGAGAAGGTGCCAAGAAAGTTCCAGAACAAAGCCTAGTAGGATATATGGAGTTCACCAGGGAGATAAGAAGAAAAGTGGCATTTCTGTCAGAAAGAATAGTATAAGCAAAGAAATGGCTGATTAAAAAATAGAGAGTCCAAATAGATCAGTAATGATTATCTACACAATTGGATTACATTCAACATACTAAATAATACTAGAGTGGATTTTAAAAAATCCAGCTATATGCAGCTTCTAAGAGATGCACACAACATAACAGGAAACAGCATAATAATTCAGCAAGGGTAACAGAAGCTTAAATGAAAAGGAGCAGACAGGCATACACTCAGGGGCCAGACCATGGGGCTAAACTTAATTCTGGGGACAATGGAGACTTTTAGAAAGGTGAGTGATAAGAACAGATCTGAGTTTCAGAAAGATTAGTCAAGTGGGCCATGAGATAATGGACTGGAGAGGAACCAGAAGGTGGACAGGCAGATCGGTTAGGCGATGACAGGGGACACATAGTTTGAAGAGGTGGAGTGGGGAAAAATGCCAAAATTACATTCTAAAACCCTCTTAATTACCTTCTTCAGCTTCAAACACAAGCTACCCTCACTCACCTATTCAGCTTCCCCATCACAAATATCGCACCTGACCTTGGCTCACTAGACAGAAGTTGCAAATCAAAAATACAAATGGGTGGCTACTCAATGTGGCTCGTGTGTTCTTCCCCCAGTGGAAAAGAAGATTTATGCTGCAAATTAGACCTATCTCAGGTTGCCTTGGTGCTACAGTCAGAGATAAAATCCTTGTTCACCATCTACTTCTTGGCAGCTTTAATTTTGTCAATAACAGGAAAATGAAAACTATTTTCAAAGCCTACAACCGAGCAGTGACAAATTATAAAAGAAATTTATTTGGGAAACGTGAAGCTTTTGCATTTGGTGTTTTGTCTAGATGTGTTGGGTTTTTAATGGTGAATGTTAACACAGCCTTGGCTGCCTTCTCGTGCAAATATCTGTTTTCAAAGAAACCTTGGCGTCTCCATCTTCTTCCCTTTCATGAAGCAAGAAATTAAACAGCAAGAAAGCCGGAACCTAAGAGAAAATGTAAAAAAGCAAAATTTGTAACTTAGGATTTTAGAAAATGCTCCAGAATAGTATTTTCCAGTATGTGTGCCACAAAACACTAGCTCCATGGGATGTACCTAAGGGCCAGGCAAAGTAAAACAAACAAACAAACAAAAACAAAAACAGCTCTTGACTATATATATTTGGAAACACAGGGAAAACAAAATTAAGCAGATTTCTTTACTGAAACATTTTCAGAGGCTTTAAAATGGTAATGGAGGGCCGGGCACAGTGGCTCATGTCTGTAATCTCAGCACTTTGGAAGGCCACAGCAGGCAGATCACTTGAGGTCAGGAGTTTGAGACCAGCCTGGCCAACATGGTGAAACCCCATCTCTAGTAAAAATACAAAAATTAGCCAGGCATGGTGGTGCACACCTGTAATCCCAGCTACTCGGGAGGCTGAGGCACAAGAATCACTTGAACCCAGGAGGTGGAGGTGCGGTGAGTTGAAATCACACCACTGCACTCCAGCCTGGGTGACAGAGCAAGACTCCATCTCAAAAAAAATAAATAAAATAAAATGGTAATGGGCACTGTGGATTTCCAAAGGGGCACATATATGTAAGATGTGGCATTTCCTACAATTACTGGGCTGTGGACGTTGTCTAATAGGAAAATCTCCAAGGACTGGTGTTCTAAGGAACACATTTTGAGAAGCCCTGTGCCAAAAATGTCACCCTTTTGAAAGGTTCCTTTTTCTCCTTTCAACCAGTTGGCAGTCATGCTCTGTTGTTATCAGCTTGGAGAACATGGCAACACAATTTTAAGTATCAATAGTAAAGGTAATATGTAAGTTGTTAACATTAGGGAAAGACGAGTGAAGGGTATATGTGAACTCTCTGTACTAGTTTTGCAACTTCCTTTTCTGTAAGTCTAAAATTTTTTCAAATTTCCAAGTTTAAAGAGATCTTGAGGTCATCGGAGCAACCAAGACAGCCACAATCTGAGGGGCCAAAATCTGGAGGAAGGGAAATGCATTGAGGGGAGTGATACATCTACAGCTGACTGTTCTCTTTAGGAAATGTTCTGTCTTGCAACATAGGACATAAAGTCTGAGCAGAAAACACCAGCCTGGAACTTGCAGCAGTCTTACTAGGTTGTGTAAGAGAAAAATTGGAATACACTGTAACCAAGGAAACCAGGATATAAGAGGCCAAATTTCTGGGAAAAAGGGAAACATAAAGAAGCAAACCTGACAAGCTATGTTCAATTTCCTCTTGAGGCTTTTGACATTTCCTAAGCTGAATACACAAGGCAGATGATAAGAAACCAGCACAAAGAGGCTGCTAGAAGGCTAAATATCTAAGCAGGTATTTCTGCAGTATCACAGTGATCAAGAGACAGAAATTGGAGTCAGGACTCCCCAATAAGGAAAAACATCTGGGATTTTAATTCATCCCTGAATGCCTAAACCCTAGGAGTAAAAGCAAGCAAGGGGACATGCCCTCACAAAGCCTGGAATGCAAACTTGAATCATTTCAATCCACCTGTAGCAAGGTTACAAGCCTTTACCCTCATTATCCGCCAGAATAAAACTAGATAATCTCTGGAGGAAGATACATTACTCAGACCTGCTACAATTCTTCACACACAATATGTGCCATTCAAATAAAAATAATTTGGCATACCAGGATACTGAACCAACAATGGAAAACTAAGAAAAGAATTAGATGATCCAACAGGTAATCCCAGTATTGACATCAGAAATGATTTTTAATGTAACTATGATAAATATGTTGAATAAAATAAATGACAATGTAAAATTTTTATCAAAAATTGGAATACATAAAAAGAAAGCAAATGAAAATTACAGATGAAAATCCAATAACTAAAATTAAGAACCCAACAGAAGTGTTTAATAACAATTAGACGACAACTGAGAGAATATGTGAACTGGAAGTTCAGTCAGTAGAAAGTATCTAAATTGAAACATAAAGGGAAAGAAGATGAAAAACACAAAAAAGAGCACTATAAGCACATCAGACATGGTGAAAATACCTTAACACAAGTGTATTTTAGAGTTCAAAGAAATGAAAAGAAACAATATTTGAAGAGGAGATGGACAATAATTATTCAAAATAGAAAAAAGACACCAAGCTACAGATTGAAACTTCTCTATGAATACCAATCAGGATAAATATGAAGATAAACATACCTAGGCACATTATAGTCAAACTGCTGAAGACCAAAGACAAAGAGAAAGATACACATTGCATTCAAAGGAGCAACAAAAAGATTCTTAGCTGATGTTACAAGAGAAATCAAGGAGCTACAAAACAATGAAATCACATCTTTAAAATGCTGGCAGAAAATATCTACCAATCTTAGATTCTATTCCCTGTCAATGAATATATCCCTCATAAACAGGCAACATCAAAGAAATCTTCAGACAAAAGCATTGAGAGAATTTCTCACAACGGACAAACACCAAAAGAAACACTAAAGGGAGTTCTTTAAAAAATTATATATGTAGTGTGTATGTATTATATATATACACATTTATGTAATATATGTGAATTTATATATATAAATATATATAAATGGAAACACAGACACATATAATTTTTTATTATATATACACACACATATATAAATGGAAACAAATGGAAATAAGAAAATAGGGAAAGAAATGAAGAGCTCCAGAAAGATAAATCTAAATGAATATTCACAGCTTAAAATAAAAGTAATGTCTTGTGAGGTTTTAAATGTATGTAGAATTTCAAAAGCATAAAAATGATAGCACAAAAGCCACCACTAAGGGAGTTAAGTGAGACTCTTGTTGTATGGTCTATTCTATTGCTTGGAAGTGATACAGTACTAATTTAATGAAGACACCACCACATTAAAAAAAAGTGTGTTATAATTTCTAGTATTGCTTTTTAAATAATTATAAAATAATATATAACTAGCAAGCTACTAGAGTAGTAAAATGGAATAATTCTTTAAAGGGATTAATCCAAAAGAAGGCAAGAAAGGAGAAAGAAGCAAAGAATGAATGAGATAAATAGAAAACAAATAATAACATAGCAGATTTAAATGTAAAAATATCAATAATTACATTAAATGAAAATGGACTAAATATTCCAATTAAAAGACAAGAAGCATCAGCCAGCATTTAAAAAAAAAAAAAAAAGCTACACTATATCCTGCTAATAAGAGATGCACACTAAAGGTAATAACATGAAAGAAAAATAAACAGGTGCAAAAAGATACATCAGAAAAACACTAACACTGATTTCTGGAGGAGGAGGCAGAGCAAGATGGCTCAACAGAACCCTCCAGCAATCGTCCCCCCTGCAGGAACACCAAATAGAACAACTATCCACACAAGAAATCACCTTCATAAGAACCAAAAATCAGGTGAGCAATCACAGCACCTGATTTTAACTCTGTATCCAAGAAAGAGGCACTGAAGAGGATAGGAATGATAGTTTTGAATTGCCGACACTACTCCTCCTCCATCCCCCAGCAGTGCAGCATGGCATGGAGAGAGAATCTGTGCACTTGCGGGAGGAAGGGCAAAGTAATTTGGGGAATTTGCATTGGAACTCAGTGCTGCCCTGTCACAGTGGAAAGCAACACAGGCCTTTCCTAGTGTTTCCCACTGGCTTTGGCCAGTGCCCGTGGAGGGAGCACTTAGACTAGCCCTAGCCAAAGGGCAATCGTCCATCCCAGCAGTCAGAAACTGAGTTCTGGCTAGCCCCACCACTGTGGGATAAAGTGTTCTGGGGTCCTAAATAAACTTGAAAGGCAGTCTAGGCCACAAGGACTGCAATTCCTGGACAAATACTGGTGCTCTGCTGGGCCTACAGCCAGTGGAACTGGGGTGCATGCAACCCAGGAAACTTTATTAATAGAGAACTTTCCAGGGATACACCAGCTGGAGTGGCCAAGGGAGTGCTTGCATCACCCCTTCCCCAACTCCAGGCAATGCGGCTCACAGTTCTGTAAGAAGAGGGAAGTGTAAAGAGGACCTTGTCTTGCAATTTGGATACCAGCTCCGTCACAGTAAAATAAAGTACCAAGCAAAGTCCTAAAGACCCCATTTCAGGCCATAGCTTCCAGACAACATTTCTAGACCCATCCTGGTCCAGAAAAGAACTCTACCCTGAAGGAAAGGACCCAGTGTCACAGAATTCACTACCTGCTGACTAATGAGCCCTTGGGCCTTGAATAAACACCCCTGGGCCTTGAATAAACACCATCTGTAGCCAGGCAGCAGTCATCACAGGCCTTGGCAAGACCCAGTACTGTGCTGGTTTCATGTGTGACCCAGCACATTCTCAGCTATAGTATCCACAGGGAAAGGCTCCTGCTTGAAGAAAGGAAAGGGAAGTGTAAAAAGGATTTCATCTTGTGACTTGGGTACCAGCAGAGCCACAGTAAACTAAAGCACCAAGAGGATTTCTCATTTCCTCAGTTCCAGGCCTTAGCTCCTGGAGGGCATTCCTTAACCCACCCTGGGCCAGAAGGGAACCCACTGCATTGAAAGGAGAGACCCAGACCTGGCAGAACTCACCACCTGCTGAATAAAGACCCCTTGGGCCTTGAATAAACATCAGCAGTAGCCAAGCTATAGTTGCCATGGGCCTGAGGCAGTGATTGTCTGGGCAGAGACTCCTTCTGCTTGAGGAAAGGAGAGCAAAAAAGAGGTCTTTGTCTTGCAACTTGGGTAGCGGCTCAGCCACAGTACAGTAAAGCATCAAGCAGACTCCTGCAGCCCCCAGTTCCAGGCCCTAGCTCCTGAACTGCATTTCTAGATCCACCCTGGGCCAGAAGGAAATCCACTGCCCTGAAGGGAAAGATCCATTTCTGGCAGGAATCAACTTCTGCTGACTAAAGAGTCCTTGGCCCTTGAATAAACATCAGCAGAATTCAGGAAATAGTTGTAATACATCTTGGGCAAGACCCAGTACTGTTCTGGCTTCAGGTGTGACACAGCACAATCTCAGCAGTGATGGTCACAGGAGTGCTTGTATCACCCCTCCACTAACTCCAAGAAGCTCAGCATGGAGAGAGAGATTGCATTTGTTTGGAAGAAAGTAAGGGAAAAGAACAAGAGACTCTGCCTGGTAATCCAAGGAATTCTCCCAGATCTTACCCAAGACCACTGAGGCAGCACCTATACAAGACTGCAAGACTCAGAGTTACTGGGCTTAGGGCACTCCCTAATGCACATATAGCTGCAGTGACCAAAGACTTAGATCAAATGCTCAATTCCCTTTGAATACTTGGAAAGCCTTCAGAGGAATGATAGGTATAAACAAGCCCAGATTGTGAAGATTAGAATAAATACCTAACTCTTCAATGCCCAGACATGAATGAACATCCACAAGTATCAAGACCGTCCAGAAAAAACAAGACCTCACCAAATGAACTAAATAAGGTACCAGTGACCAATTCTAGAGTGATGGAGATATGTGACCTTTCAGACAAAGAATTCAAAAGAACTGTTTTGAAGAAGTTCAATGAAATCCAAGATAATACAGTGAAGGAATTCAGAATCCTATCAGATAAATTTAACAAAGAGATTAAAATCATTAAAAAGAACTAAGCATAAATTCTGGAGCTGAAAAATTCAACTGACAAACTGAAGAATGCATCAGTCTCTAAACAGAAGAACTGATCAAGCAGAGGAATGAATTAGCAAGCCTATTTGAAAATACACAGAGGAGACAAAAGGAAAAAGAATAATAAAGAATAGAGCAAACCTAACAAGATCTAGAAAATAGCTTCAAAAGGGCAAATCTAAGAGTTATTGACCTTAAAGAGGAGGTAGAGAATGAGATCAGCATAGAAAGGTTATTCACAGAGATAATAATAGAAAACTTTCCAAACCTGGAGAAAGATGTCAATATTCAAGTACAAAAAGGGTATAGAACACCAAGCAGATTTAATTTAAATAAGACTACTTCAAGACATTTAATAATCAAACTCCCAAAGGTAAAGAATACAGAAAGGATCCTAAAAGCAGCAAGATAAAAGAAAAAAATAGCATATAAAGAATCTCCATTATGTCTGGCAGCAGATTTCTCAGTAAAAACCTTTCAGACTGGAAGAAAGTGGCATGATACATTTAAAGAGCTGAAGGAAAAAGATTTTATCCTGGAATATTGTATCCTACAAAAATATCCTTCAAACATGAAGGAGAAATAAAGACTTTCCCAGACAAACGAAAGCTGAAGTATTTCATCAACATCAGACCTATGCTAATGGGAGCTTTTCACTCCCTAATACTCACCATGCTAATGGGAGTTTTTCAATCTGAAAGAAAAGAACATTAATGAGCAATAAGAAATTATCTGAAGGAACAAAATTCACTGGTAACAGTAAGTACATAGACAAATACAGACTATAATAACACTGTAATTGTGGTGTGTAAACTACTCATTAGCATTTCAATAAAGAAACATCAGACCTATTCTGCACTATAGACCAAATGGACCTCATAGATATTTACAGAACATTTCATCCAACAGCTGCAGAATACACATTCTTCTCCTCAGCAATCATTCTCAAGGATAAACCATATCAAGTGTCTTCTCTGACCACAATGGAATAAAACTAGAAATCAATAATAGAAACTCTAAAAACTATACGAACACATGAAAATTAAACAGTATGCTACTGAAGGACCAGTGGGTCAATGAAGAAATGAAGAAGGAAATTTTAAAATTCCTTGAAACAAATGAAAATGGAAATACAACATACGAAAACCTATGGGATACAGCAAAAGCAGTACTAACAGGAAAATTTATAGCAATAAGCCCCTACATCAAAAAAGTAGAAAAACTTCAAATAAATAACCTAATGATGCATCTAAAGAACTAGAAAAGCAAGAGCAAACCAAACCCAAAATTAGTAAAGAAAAAAAAATTAAAATCAGGCAGAAATAAATAAAATTGAAAAAGAAAAGGCAATATAAAAGGTCAACAAAACAAAAAGTTGGTTTTTTTGAAAAGACGAACAAAATTGACAAACCTTTAGCCAGACTAAGAAAAAGAGAGAAGACCCAAATAAATAAAATCAGGGATGAAGAAGGAGACATTAAAACCAATACCACAGAAATTCAAAGGATCATTAGAGACTACTATGAGCAACAATATGTCAATAAATTGGAAAACCTAGAAGAAACAGATAAATTCCTAGACACGTACAACCTACCAATATTAAACCATGAAGAAATCCAAAGTCTGAATAGGCTAATGACAAGTAACAAGATCAAACCTCTCATTTGATCTCGTTTGAAATACAAAGTCTTCTGGCAAAACAAGCCTGGGACATGATGGCTTCACTGCTGAATTCTACCAAACATTTAAAGAGGAACTAATACAAATCCTACTCAAATTATACTAAAAAATAGAGGAGGAGGGAAGACTTCCAAACCCATTCTATGAGGCCAGTATTACCCTGATACCTAAACCAGTCAAAGATACATCAAAAAACAAACAAACAAACAAAACAACAACAAAACTACGGGCCAATATATCTCATGAACATCAATGCAAAAATCCCCAACAAACTACTACCAAACTGAATTTGGCAACACAAGAAAAAGATTATTCATCATGACCAAGTAGGATTCAACCCAGGAATGCAAGAATGGTTCAATATATGCAAATCAATTAGTGTGATACATCATATCAACAGAATGAAGGACAAAAACCATATGATCATTTCAATTGATGCTGAAAAATCATTTGATAAAATTCAATGTCCCTTCATTATAAAAACCCTAAAAAAACTGGATATTGAAGGAACATATCTCCATACAATAAAAGCCATATACAACAGACCCACAGCTGGTATCATACTGAATGAGGAAAAAATGCAAGCCTGTCCTGTAAGATAAAGGACAAGACAAGGATGCCCACTTTCACCACTGTTATTCAACATAGTACTGGAGTAATCAGATGATAAAGAAAAAAAAGTAGCTAATCAGATGATAAAGAAAAAAAGGGATCTAAATTGGAAAGGAAAAAGTCAAATTATCCTTGTTTGCAAATAACATGATCTTATATTTGGAAAAATCTAAATACTCCATCAGAAAGGTATTAGAACCAATAAACAAATTCAATAAAGTTGTAGGATACAAAATCAACATACAAAAATCAGTAGAATGTCTATATGTCCACAAAAAACAATCTGAAAAAGAAATCAATAAAGTAAACACATTTACAATTGCTACAAATTACATAAAATACCTAAGAATTAACCCAAGAAGTTAAATATCTCTACAATGAAAACGATAAAGCATTGATGCAAAAAATTGAAGAGGACACCAGAAATAGAAAGATAGTTCATGTTCATGGATTGGAAGAATCAATATTGTTAAAATTTCATACCTACTAAAGCAACCTACAAACTCAATGCAACTTTTATCAAACTACCAATGACATTCTTCACAGAAATAGAGAAAATAATCCTAAAACTTATATGGAATCACAAAAGACCCAGAATAGCCAAAGCCATCCTGAGCAAAATGAATAAAACTGGAGTAATCACATTAACTGACTTCAAATTATACTACAGAGCTGTAGTAACCAAACAGCATGATACTGACATAAAAAACAGACACACAGACCAATGGAACAAAACAAAGAACCCAGGGATAAATCCATACATCTACAGTGAAATCCTTTTCAACAAAGGTGCCAAGAACCAATATATTGGGGAAAGGACAGTCTTTTCAATAAATGATGCTGAGAAAACTGGGTATCCATATGCAGAAGAGTGAAACTAGATCCCTATCTCTCACCATATACAAAAATCAAATCAAAATGGATTAAAGGCTTAAATCTAAGACCTCAAACCGTGAAACTACTATAAGAAAACATTGGGAGAACTCTCCAGGACACTGATTTTGGCAAAGATTTCTTGAGTAATACCCTAAAAGCACAGGCAACCAAAGCAAAAATGGACAGATGGGATCATATCAAGTTAAAAAGTTTCTGCATAGCAAAGGCTTTTCAACATCAACAAAGTCAAAAGACAACCCACAGAATGGGAGAAAATATTTACAAACTATCCATCTGACAAGGGATTAATAACCAGAATAAAAGGAGGTCAAATAACTCTATAGGAAAAAGAATCTAATAATAAAATTTAAAAATGAGCAAAAGATCTGAATAGACATTTCTCAAAAGAAGGCATACAAATGGCTAGCAGGTATATGAAAAGATGCTCAACATCACTGATGACCAGAGAAATGCAAATCAAAACTACAATGACATATCATCTTACCCCAGTTAAAATGGCTTTTATCCAAAAGATAGGCAATAACGAATGCTGGCAAGGAGAAAGGGGAACCCTCATACACCCTTGGTAAGGATGTACAACCACGATGGAGAACAGTTTGGAATTTCCTCAAAAAATAGAATTACCGTCTCTACTAAAAATACAAAAAATTAGCCGGGCGTGGTAGCGGGCGCCTGTAGTCCCAGCTACTCGGGAGGCTGAGGCAGGAGAATGGCGTGAACCCGGGAGGCGGAGCTTGCAGTGAGCCGAGATCGCGCCACTGCACTCCAGCCTGGGCGACAGAGCGAGACTCCGTCTCAAAAAAAAAAAAAAAAAAAAAAAAAAAAAAAAAAAAAAATAGAATTACCATATGATCCAGCCATCCCACTGCTAGGAAAGAAGACAGGAAATCAGTGTATCAAAGAGATATCTGCTGCCCATATTTATTGCAGCATTATTCACAATAGCCAAGATTTGGAATCAATCTAAGTGTCCATCAACAGATGAATGGATGGAGAAAATGTGGTACATATTCAGCCATAAAAAAGAATGAGATCCTGTCATTTGCAACAACACAGATGGAAGTGGAGGACATTATGTTAAGTGAAATAAGCCAGGCACAGAAAGACAAACATCAGATGTTCTCATTTGTGGGAACTAAAAATTTAAACAATTGAACTCATGAAGACAGAGAGTAGAACGATGGTCACCGGAGGCTGGGAAGGGTAGCAGGGGAGTAGAGGGAATCGGGATGGTTAATGGGCACAAAAATATAGTCAGATATAATGAATAAGAGATAATATTTGATATCACAACAGAGTGGCTACAGTCAGCAATAATTTGTTGTACATTTTAGAGTAACTGAGGAAGTACAATTAGAATGTTCATAACACAAAGAAATAAGTGCTTGAGGTGAGGAATACCCCATTTACCCTGACAATCATTACACATTGTAATAATCCTTACTTATTGTATGCCTGTATAAAAATATCTGATATATGCCATAAATACTTACGCCTCTATGTACCCATAGAAATTTTAAATTTAAAAAAAGAAAACACTAACATCAACAATAAAAACCTTTAGAATCTATACTAATATCCTACAAAATAGACTTTTATACAGAAAACATTATTACTAGAATAAAGAACATTTAAACAATTGTAAAAAGTCAATTTAAAAGAGACATAACAATCCTAAATCTTTAAGCACTTAGTAACACAGCCTCACGATGTATAAAGCATACTCTTATAAAACTAAAACTAGAAACAATTCCAAATATTTTTAAATATTTTAATACACCTTTCAGCAACTTATAAAACAAGCAGACGAAAACAATCAGTAGATTAACATGACTTGAACCATCATATGTAGAACACTGTAGCAAATAACTACAAAATAATGATTATTTTCAAGTAGACATGGAACATTTACCAAAATAGACCATATGCGGAATCACAAAGCACATTTCTAAAATTTCAAAGACCAAAATCATGCAGAGTAGGTTCTCTGACCATAAAAATTAATATAGAAATCAATATCTGAAAATGTTCCAATTATTTGGAAATTAAACAACACATGCATAAACAGCCTGAGTCAAAGATGAAGATTAGAGAATATTTTTAAATAAGGAATGCAAATATATAGATATAACCTAAGCTTACGAGATGCAGCTAAAGCTGTTGTTTGGGAATTTTATAGCTTTAAATCACCAGTTCTCAAATTCTCTGATTTCAGGTATCCTTTCTATTCTTAAAAATAATTTAAGACCCCTGCTTTACACCATACCTCAAAAATAATTCCTCACTGACCTTAAAATAATGTTTAAGGTAAAAATTTAAAGATTTTAGAATCTTATGATATCTACAAGATAACATAACCCTAGGATAGAAGATATCTCAACCAGACCCCAAAATACTAACTCTCAAGAAAAGGATTCATATGTTGTATTTCATTAAACCTAAGAGAAGACTGAGAAATATCAAGCCACAGAGTAGAAGATGTTTTCCACACATCTATCTGACAAAGAATCACATTCAAATATTAAAAAGAACTCTGATGAGTCATGAAGAAAAAGGCAAATAGATTCAATATTTTAAAAAACAGTCAAAGGAGCCTTGTATAGGCAATTTGACAAAAAGAAGATTTCTGCTATGGCTTGAATGTTTGCGTCCCCTCAAAATTCATAAATTGAAATTCTAACTGCCCAATGATACTATTAGGAGGTAGAGTCTTCAGAAGATGATAGGCCATGGAGGTATTATAGATCCCTCTGGAATGGAATTAGTGACCATATAAAAGAGACTTCAGAGAAAGCTCTCCCACTCTTCCACCATACAGGGACACAGCAAGAAGACTGCCATCTGTGAACCAGGAAGGCCCTTATCAGACACCAGATCTGGTAGTGCAGTGATTATGGACTTACCAGCCTCCAGAAGCATGAGAAATATTTGTTATTTAAACCATTTAGTCTATGGTATTTTTGTTGTGGCAGCCTGTAAGGACTAAGACAATAATCCAAATGGCCAATAAGCAT
This sequence comes from Homo sapiens, assembly GCF_000001405.40. Lineage (NCBI taxonomy): Eukaryota > Metazoa > Chordata > Mammalia > Primates > Hominidae > Homo > Homo sapiens. Next base: position 83,539,134 of record NC_000015.10, on the reverse strand, counting down.
AAGAAAATGTTTTCACCTAATTATAATCGTGGAAATACAAATTAACCACAATGAGATGCCACTACATTACTATCAGAATGGTCAAAATTACTTTAAAACAACAACAACAACACAAGTGTTTCCAAGGATTAATGGTGCAACTGGAACACTCATACAGTATTTGTAGGAGTATACATTGGTGCAACTATTTTATAAAACAGTTTGGCAGAATCTACTAAAGCTGAACATAAAAATAACCATACCCTATGACTCAGCAATTCTGCTGGTATCTACCCAGCAGAAATTCCTACATATGTGCACCAAAATCCATGTAAAAATAGTATTACTCATAATAACAAAAAACTAGAAACAAATGCCCATATTAATTAATAATTACATTGTGGCTATTTCTACAATACAACACTATATAGTATTATAATGAAAAAGAATTAACTGCTCCCATAATATGTAACAACATGGGTAAATTTCAGACATAACATTGAATGAAAGAAGCTCAATATATTTATGTCTAATTACATAAAGTTCAAAAAAGAGAACATACTGCATTATTCCATTCATACAATATTCAAAAACAGGAAAAGCTAATCTATGGTGATTGAAGCTGGTGTGGTAGTTACTTGTAAATTAAGGTTATAAGGGGTCCTCTTGGGTGCCACTAATGTTCTATATCTTGAACTGATCACATGAATGTGTCACTTTGTTAAAATACATCATACTGTACACTTGTGGTCTGTCACTTTCCTATATGTACATTTTATTTCAATTTTTAAAATATTAAACTACCCCTTCCATAAGCCCTGCATTCAATGTGTTTAATATTTACATTGATTGCATTTATCCTGATTTATTCTTCTAGAAGGAAGTTTAACAAGCAATGCTGGACCACTTCGTCCCTATCTGTTTGAATAGTAGAAATAATGTTCATGTCTGACAATCCGCATCTGGAAGTCTCTGTTTAGCAGAATCACAACAAAGCCATACAGAGTCTAATAACCTATACTCAAGAGAACAAAAATCCCAGGGGCTATTACATTGTGACTGTACTCCCTGCACGCTAAATGCTACTTCAAAATTTAATCATTATAGCAGCACGATAAAAAATTAATTAATCTCACTTCCAGGAAGTAAATCGATAAAACACATATAATAAATATTACAGAAATTGAATCAAGATGGCGGACCAAATACACACATCTTCTCTGTGTACCACATTCCTCTCTACATATATCTATATAGATATATCTATAGAGAGAGAGGCATATCCATAACATCTATAACAGGGCTGAAAAACAAGAAAGGGTGCCAGTGACAGATCATAAATGGTGAGAAATTCCTAGAAGACAGAGAGCAGATGGGATTAGAGAGCTGAGGATAAAGCCAACCAATATATGCATAGTAGAAAACTGCTCCCAAGATAAAAGTTGATACAGAGAAATTCCAAGTCTAAACAATGTAAAAATAAAAAGAACAGAGTGAGCCTGGGGAATCATCAGGGGACTTAATAAAATAACTGTATGGTGGAAAGCAATAAGGATCAACAGAGCCCCTCCACCCCCATCCCCACACGCCATCTCTATACCCAAAGGCAAATTCTTTAGTTAAAGCACCTTGATTGGAAATCTCTGCTCCACTGCAACTGTGAACTTCTCTGTGCTTCCAATTCCTTATCTACAAAATGTGGATTATAACAGTATCTGCCTTGTAAGTATTACTGTATGGAAAGTATTTAGAACAGTATCTGACACTGTTAAGTCTCATTAAATATTAGCCATTAATATTATCAACTAAGCAACAGGCAACTGGGGCATTTGTCCCCAGGCTGAAGACTGTACCCACACTCTAAAGAGAGTGGACTTTGCTGATGGCCCCAAAGTGGATGTGGAGATCTGAGAGAAGCTAGAGATCTTTCCCAACATTCCAACAGACAGAAGGGGCAACATGAAGAGGCAGCCCTGCCCAAGAGCAAAGCCCTGCATTCCAAGGTAAAACCCTTCTTTCCAGCCTCCCTGAGTCCCCCTTGGCCACTGACCCTAGCATAAAACTGATCACCACACCCACCCCTATACTCAGTCCTTCCAGTAGGGAGGGAAGACTGTGAGGTAAACAGACAAAAACCTACCCCAGCTACCTACAGTGATGGGTCTAGTCCTTCATTCTGATACACTGACAATCAGAAACCACAGAAATTTTAGGAAAACCAGGAGTGCGACAGGAAATGTCAAAGAGGAAACTTTAGAATGATCCAAAGGAAACAGAGATAATCAAAGTATAGAGGGGAACTTTTTAAAGTTTTCATTAATACCTAATAGGAAAATTTGAGACGATTTCATATGCACAAAACAAGAAAAGGCTACCATGAAAAATGAAAGGAGGAAAACTCAATAAAAAAGAGTGAGCACAGAATGGACAAAACTGAAATCAGAATTGCTTATTAAAAAGGCAGAGTTGGCTGGGCATGGTGGCTTACACCTGTAATCCCAGCACTTTGGGTGGATCACAAAGTCAGAAGTTCAAGACCAGCCTGACCAACATGGTGAAACCCTATCTCTACTAAAAATATAAAAATTAGCCGGGCATGGTGGCACATCCCTGTAATTTCAGCTACTCAGGAGGCTGAGACAGGAGAATCACTTGAACCCGAAGGCAGAGGTTGCAGTGAGCCAAGATTGTGCCACTGCACTCCAGCCTGGGCAACAGAGTAAGACTCTGTCTCAAAAAAAAAAAAAAAAGAAAAGAAAAGAAAAGAAAAAGAAAAAGGCAGAATCAAGGAAATGTCCCAGCACAAGAACATGAGACAGGAAACAGAAAAAGGTTTGGCCCCACCCAGTCTTGGCTGAGTGTGCCCAGGACCCCACACTTCCTGGATGCCCTGTCCACCATATCCAGAAAAAGTCTTGCTGTCCTCAGGCTCGGCTTTGGGCTTCCTGCAAATGATTGTAAGTGTGGACCCACTCTGGGAAAATGGGTTCCAACTAGAATAAATGTTCCCAATATGTACAGGGGCTGACCCCTCTGAGCTCTCACACATAGAAATTAGTAGCTGCGCAGTAACAGCCTGGTCTGGTAGGATTTACTTGTATTCACTTTTTGCATATCCTATCTTTTTTTCAGAAAGGATGTCTACGATTTGGCCCATGTGGCTTCCTACAGTTTGCATCATATCAGGCAGAACTTCTCCAAGTTGGGCAATGCCCTTCTCTAGTTTCCAGCACTGATGCCAGTTTTTATATATTTGTATTTTTTTGCCCATTTTCAATTACAGTTGACAGATGAGATTGATATCTTCCCCATATATCTCTAAAGTTTCCTAAAAAGCTTGTCAACATGTACCCAATGATCATGAATTGGAGGCCTCTATGAGTGTGACCTTTTAAAAAGTTTGATTCTGACTGGTATTTTGTTTTTGATTGATTTCATAGCAAAATGTGGTCTTTCAGAAGATTCTTTTTAGAACACCCTGAATGGTTAAGGCAGAACCTTTGAAAGTGAATTAATCATGAAGGCTGCTTTCTTTCTGGGACCCCGTGTTCCCAGATCTCAACAGTGTCTGGGGACCAGACTACAAACAGGTCCATGTAGGAACATGAAGTTTCATGGGGATTTGGGAGAGAGTTAATCTTTTCCTTTCTTCCTTTAGGGAGATTTATTCTGTTATGTACCTTTATCATTGACCTAGGCCTGATAAGGACAATGTCGAGTAGCTATTTAGATGAGTTTAAAAGATCAGATTGTATAATAGAATGACTGAATGGGTTCTGAGCCACATGAAATAATTTGGCTAGAAAAATTAATGTACGTCATTCTCCTCAAGCCATCCTGTCCAACCTAGGAAAGTTTAATCACCTTTAAAAGGACATAGAAGGTTGAAGCTGACAATGTTTTATTCTTAAAGTTCACCAATAAATATAGGTCTAAAGACTGTTCTGGCACAAATAATATACCTGAGTTTTTTTTTTAATGAATATGCAAGAACAGCTTGTTTTAAATAAAAAAACTGTATAATTAGGCTTTGATCTATGATAGTGTTTGCCTTTTTTTTACATAGATGGTATTTTTCAAAAACTAAAAAATACAAAATGTAAAATATTACCAAATTTTATTAAAACTTTGACTTCATTATAAGAATTAAGAAGTAAAGTTCCCTCCATTCCTGGGTTTAATCAGTCTGAGACAATTCTTTCCACCTTTTTCCTAAATTTACATATACAAACACATGTTTTTCTTTTACAAAAGTACAATGAGTTACACATACTTTTCTGCAACCATCCCCAGAGAAAAGACATTTGCATTCTGGTATTTGTTTAACAACAACAACAAAATTAGTGCCTTCTATGCATCAAGCTAAGTATGGTATTTGAGGGTCATTCTATTCCTTCCTCAATACTCTGGAAATATTGCAATTTCTGCTGCTTTCTGGCATTTAATGTTGCTGAGAACAAGTCTGAGGGGAACAGAAGTAGGTAACTATTTTTCTGAATGTTTTGTTTTTAGGACCTGGAGTTAATTTTTATTTTCTTAAATTTTATTCATTTTTCTTATAAAATATATTTTAAATTTCTTCTTTATGAAGTCAAGTGTTCTTTTCCCATTAAATTTGCTTGGTCTGTAGGGAGCCCCTGTGAATATCAGAATCAGGTCAATGGATCTGTGAACTTTTAAAAATACATAGACACAAAGGTTTCGAATCTTTCGGCCTAAGCCAACAAGAGGGAGGGAGAGAGGGAGAGAGGGAGAGAGAGGGGAAGACAGAGAGACACTGCTGCACTAGAAGTAACTCCACTCCTGTTTTGACCCATTTTCTGCTGCTATAACAGAATACCAGCAATTGGGTAATTTATAGAGAAAAGATATTTATTTAGCTCACAGTTTTGGAGGCCAGTAAGTCCAACAGCATGGCACCAGCATCTGGCAAGGGTAAATCCCATGGCAGAAAACAGAAGGGAGGAGGGAGCACATGAGATAGAGAGAAAATAGAGGCCAAACTCTCTCCATTCACGGGAGCAAGACCTCATGGCCTAATCACCTCCTAAAGGCCCACCTTTTAATACTGTTACAGTAGCAATTGAGCTTCCAACACAATCTATGGGAACATATTGAAACACAGCACCCCAAACATCAAGGCAGATCAAAGCCTGGTAAACCCTGGGACCAGAAGTGAGTCCCAAGTTAAGGAGATACTTCCCAAGAGGATCCTTAAAAAGTTAGTACCACCAGAAATAAAAACGTACATTGCATGAGTCAAGTAAATACTAACCAGAGGGAAGACAAATTGGCTCAGCAAGGAAATGGGACACCTGCGAATAAGTCAGCTCTGAACACCTGCCAGGGACCAGAGAGATCAAAGCCATACTGCAATCACCAAAGAAACAGAAACTTCCCTGCCCCACTTTCCCCTCCTTTCATCCTACACTCCAAACCCAGAGGGCAAGAAACTCTGGGGTAAGAGACTCAAAGGGAGCACACACCCTCCCTGTGGCAATGCCCTACCCGAGGCCAACCCTAGCTGGGGAGGGGGAGAAAATTAACATCAAGTCAGCATTCAACTTGTGATTATCACATAGAACTGGAAATGCTAATGACTGAACAGAAACTGTTATATGATTTAAAGCAGTAGTCTTTAAACTGGAAACACATGGATACTGAACATGGATAGTTTTAAATGACTGTATTTCCAGATCCTAAGCCTCTGTATATGCTCTTTCCTATTAACCGATTTGTCTTCAGAAGCTCCTATATGAACCCCTTCTGCCATTTTACAATAGAAAAGCACAGCCCTCACCCATCCCAAGTCTCTAGGTATTGTCCTGGGGTGTGAAAGCTCCGGTGCATCTTCAATCTCTCCCACTCACATCAACATTTACATGTACTCAAGCCTTTCATATTCTAGAATGTAACCTTCCATTATTTCCCCATATTCTACTCTGGCTACCACCCTTTCTAGTCCATACTCCTCAGAACTGCCTCTTAAGGTGTCATAGACATGGACTGTCCCCATTTTCTCACTTCCCATTCATTTCTCAACCTATGTAAGTCCAACACTGTTAGCTGGCCACTCAATAAACACTCTCCTCTTCCTCACTAACAGAACCCAAATTTTGCATACAGTGTCAATGGGCCCAGCCCAGGCAATGATCACTATGCCAGAACATTCCCTGCTTTCCCAGCATTCCTTGTGACTACAGGTAGTCATATGTCTCATTATGGGCAATGAGACCTAAGTAGTTAGCTGCAGGTGGGGATTTCTTGGAAATTACTGGTTTCCTGATTTGAAGATGCCACTCTTCCTCCCTTCTTCCTATCTTGAACATGAACATGTATGAGGCTGCATCAATCAGCTTGAGATTATAAGGAATAAGCTTCGAGAATTGCAAGAAGACCCTGATGATCATTAAGTTCTTGAACAAACACCAGCAGCCTCCCATCTCTGGACTTCATGCTAGATGAGAAAAATAAGCCTAGATCTGTAAGCCACTATGGTTAGGTTTTCTTTAACTTGCAGCCAAACTCATTCCTAACTGATACACCTTACAATCTGGCTCCATTAAAACTGCTGTCATTAATGACCATCCAATTCCTTCATACCCAGGATAAATTCAGGCTCCTAGCTTAGATGATCTGAGACATTCTAAATCTACTGTCCACTCCCACCTTGAAACCACCCCTTCCCTTGGCCTCTGCAGTCTAAATATCATCCCCTTCCTCCTTAGACACTTCTCAATTACCTTTATAATTTCTTTTTCTCAATTAGTGTTACAACCTTGGCCTTCTATCATGTTTGCCCTAAATAATCTCCTGGGATGATTTTGTCTATTACCATGAACTCGTTAATCACCTATTTTGCTACTGACTTGAAAATCCATAACTCCAACCCAAACTTCTCAAACTTCAATTTTTTCACATCCAATTGCCTTTTGGAAATTTTCTTTAGATATTCCAAAGATACCTCAAACACAATTTACAAACTCATCATTCTACTTATTTGCCTATCTTCCCTTCTCTCAATTAGTGGAATCACCACCCACACAGTTGATAGTCTGGAAACTAAAAGCTGTCCTAGACCTAAGAAAAATGTAATGGACTCTCAGAAGTATATATAGAATTCAGATGTTTTTAAAAACAGCCAATAAGTCAGCAACTTGTACATGCTGAAGTTTTCAGAAAAAAAGACAGATTCAATCAACACCTTCCAAATAAAAACCTTCAGAGCCACAAATGCTGCATAGAGTTCCCTAACATATATGTCTTCCATCTCTCTCATCTCTCTCTCTCTCTCTCATTCTGTCTCTCTCTCTCTCAGACACACACACACCACCCCAAGTGTTATCCACTCTACATCCCAAACATCTCTTGATTCCATTTTATTTTCTCCATTCCCATGAACATATCCTCAGTCCAGGCTACTGTCATCTCATCTCTGAACTGCTCTAACAGCCTCCTAACTGACTCCTCAAATTCTTCCTCCATACAACTGCCAATGAGTTATCCAAAACACCCGTTGAATAATGCTATTCCCCAAAGTGATTCAGTGATTCCATCACCTTTAAAATAAAATCCATACTCAACACAGTGTACCATCCTTCCACGATCTGCCTGCCACTTACCTCTCTCCAGCCTCATTCATTGCCCTCCTCATAAACACCTCACACTTCTCCATTCCTAAACTCTTGGTCACTCAGAATCACCCTGTTCCTTTCTGCCGTTTTATATGCTGTTCCCATTGCCTGGAAGTTTTTCCATATAGCTAACTCCTACACAGCCTTCAAAGGTCATTAGGACTCCTCAGACCTAGTTGGGTGCCCCTTCTGCAGATCTCCTGAATACATTAAAAGCTTACACAGCACTTAACCATTCTGCGCTGAAATTTATTGATGTGCTTCCCACAGTGGCCTATGAGATGCCTGGGGACAGGGTCTTATATTCATTACGGTCTTACTCATGAATATTACTCATTATGGTATCCTCAGCACTAGAATGGTGCACACAAAGTAGTAGGCCCTCTGACCAGCTACTGCTCAAGAAAATGAACTGAAGGATCCCTGAAATAATCTGTGGGCATGTTAAGGATTCTGTTTGAATTTCTAGTACTGACACTTTTCTCCAATAAAAGTCAAGGGAAATTGGATCTTGTAGGATAGCAAACATGATAATATTGTTTTGCTTGGGTATAGGTGTGGGTGGGGGGTTGTTACTATTTGCTGTCTTTCTTTGTGTTGGAAGGAAATAAATGTAATGTCTCTAACCATGTGATCTCCTGGCCTAGGTGCCTTCAGTAAAGTTTAAAAGGTAAAAAAGAATTTGTCATCATACAATTGCTAGATGGCAAATTAACAAATAATGGAAAAGATGAATCATGATGATTAACTGAAGAAAAGCCAACCTGTTGTTTTAGTAGTTTCAACATAAGAAAAAAAGCACAAAATTAATGACTGAAAATTTTGTCTAGATTGCCTTACAAGAATTATATGGGACATAATCCCAGAAAATTAAGGGGCAAAAATCCTCTTATTAAAAAAAAAAACAGTTGACCTGAGGAGGGGCCGGGGAGGTTCAAAATGACTGACTAGAGGTATCTGGCACTCACCACCTCCCCAAAAAAGAACCAAAATAGGAAATAGATAATCACATTTCAAATAGAACATCTAAAAGAAAACACTGGAATTTAGCAGAGAAGTGACAGGAAACACCTGAGGCACAGAAAGTAAGGGAAAGCAAGGCGGCCAGTTCAGCTGGCATCAGCTAGAAGCCTGGAGAGGTTCCCGGTGCAGGGAAAGGGTAAGAGATCCCAAGAAGTCCACATTCCCACCATTGACTCCTGTCATCTTAGCCATGGAAGAGCCTCTCTATCCTCCTGGGCCCTGAGACTAGCACAGGGAGCTGCCTAGAGATTGTGCAAAGGCCTTGCTCCAGAAAGAGAACTAACAGTGCTCTACACACTCCCCTGATACCTAAGCAACTGCAGAACAGCACCATTCTGAGTGCCTAACCTCAACCAGGGCATCCTGCCCTGGGATGCCATAGCCCCTGCATCTCGACATCCCTGAAGCACCACTAACAACCCCCTACACTGGAGGACTGCAGTAGCATGATGCTGGCTGGACCCAGCAGTGCAGCAGGGTCCCTAGCACTCTAGCCCACTCAAGAGTCCCACACCACAGGGAATGGGTGGTGTGGCACACCAGGGAAGCTGCTGCTGTGCTGCTGAAACAAGGGGAGCCAATGTGCATGTTCCCCAAAGCCTGACAGCTGTTTGCCTGCGTGGCCACTATGCACTAGCATGCACTCTGAGGACAGGCTCCCTGCCCACTGTCATCATTGCTGTTACTGCTGCTGCTAAGGACTAATGTGTACACTCCCAAGAGCCTGAAAGCTGCCCAAATGCCTAGGGTCACTCCCACTAACAGCCACCCCACCCCCGCCCCACCCACTGAGCAGCAGGGATGCTGCGCACTTATCTGCACCTTGGGGACAAGCTCTCCCCACCCACCACCACAGATTGTCCCACCACAGCCTGCACTCGTGCATACCATCAGAAGGTTAAGGACAGGACCACCTAGCCTGGCACAACCACCCCTGACTTGAGTGCCTGAGTACATCACCCAGGGGCCTGCGGATCACTCTACCCAGTCCACCACCACTGGTATCTTTGTACTCCTGGGGACCTGAGGAGGGGCCACCCAGCCCATCACAACCATCACTAACATCACTAACTGCCTGGAAGCCTAAGGGTTGTCCTGCCACTGGTACTACTATCTCCCATGCCACACACACTGCCCAGGGGCCCCAGGACCTGCCCACTCATCCAGCCCACTGCTGCCACTGCTGGAATCTGAGCAAGCCACCTGGAGGCCCAAGAATCAGCCTGCCTGGATCTGCTAACACTGGTGCCCATGTACACTGCCCAGCAGCCTAATGGCTGGCATAATTGGCCCACCACTGCCACCACTGGGCACAAAGGACTGGCCCACCTGCTGGGGCCAGCAAAGGCATCCCCAGCAAAGCATCACCACAGCATCCACTAACAACCACAGCCAGGCCACTGAGACAATCACAGACACCATGCTGTTCACAATCAAATAAATCATACCGAGACTACACCAATGCCTGCACCCAGAATCAAAGCTAAGGCACTATACCTAACCATCAACATAAACACATCTTCAGGAAAAAGTCTTCCCCCTCTAAAGCCAATCCAAAAAAATGGAAGAAGTGACTGTTACATCAGATGTGCAGATATCAACATAAAAACACAAGAAACATGAAAGAGCAAGGAAATATGACACCTCCAAAGGAACACAATAGTTTTCTAGCAACAGATTCCAATGAAATAGAAATTTTTTAAATATCAGAAAAAAATCAAAATAATGTTATTAAGGAAGCTCAGTAAGACACAACAGCACACAGATAAACAATACAAAGATACCAGAAAAACAATTCAGAATGTGAATGAGAAATTCACTAAAGAGACAGATATGAAAAAAAGAACAAAACAGAAATCCTGGAACTGAAGAATTCAATATATGAAATAAAAAATTTATTCAAGAGGTTCAACAATAGACTAGATTAAGCATACGAATTCCAGAACTTAAAGACAAATGTTTTGAAATAACCCAATCAGACAAAAAAGAAAAAGGAAAAAGGAATGAATAAGAATCAACAAAGCCTACATGACATATGGGATGCCATAAAGTGACCAAATATTCAAATTCTGGATGATCCAGAAAATGAAGAGAAAGACAAAGGCATAGAAAACGTATTCAACAAAATAACAGCTGAAAACTTCCCAAGTCTAGCAAGAGATTAAGACATCCAGATACAGGAATCTCAGAGATCCCCAAATAGATATGGATATAACCTAAAAAGGTCTTCTCTGTAGCATACTGTCAAAAGCCAAAGATAGACAGAGATTTCTAAAAACATCAAGAGAAAAGCATCTAGTCACATAAGGGAACTGCCCCCCATCAGACTAATAGCAGATTTCTAAGCAGAAAGATTACAAGCAAGGAGAGAATAAGCTTGAGGTTTATGTTCAAAGTGCTGAAAGAGAAAAAAGCTGACAGCCAAAAATACTATACCTAGCAAAGTTATCCTTCATAAAATAAGGAGAAATAAAGTCTTTTCCAGACAAGCAAAAACAAGATAATTCATCACCACTAGTCCAGCTCTGTAAGAAATGCTTAACGGAGCCCTAAATCTGGAAGTGAGAGTATGATATCTACCATCATGAAAACACACAAAAGAATAAAACTCACTGGTAGAGCAAACACCCAAATGAGGAAAAAAAAAGAGATTCAAATGTTACCACTACAGAAGACCTGCAAGTGGCAATGATAAACACTAAGAGAGAAAGAAAGGAACAAAGAACCACAAAACCAAATGACAATTAACAAAATTATGACAATAAGTCCTCGCATATCAATAATAACCTTGAAAGTAAACAGAGTAAATATTCCACTTAAAAAATATAGACTGGCTGAATTAAAAAACATTAGCCAACTATATGCCACCCATAAGAAACTCATTTCACCTGTAAAGACACATATAAACTAAAAGTAAAGGGATGGAAAAAGGTATTCTGCACAAACAGAAACCAAAAGTGAGCAGGAATGGCTATATTTATGTCAGATAAAACAGACTTTAAGTCAAAAACAGTAAAAGGAAACAAAGAACATCATTATATAATGATAAGGGGATCAATAAAGAAAATGAAATAATAAATCTAAATGTATGTGCACCAAAACCGAAGCACCCAGATATATAAAGCAAATATTATTATATCTAAAGGGAGAGTTAGACTCCAATACAATAATAGTGGAAGACTTTATCCCACTATCAACATTAGACAGATTATCTAGGCAAAAAATTAACAAAGAAACATTGGATTTAAACTACACTTTAGACCAAATGAACCTAACAGACATTTACAGAACATTTCATCCAATAGCTACATCCAAATTGGAAAAGAGGAAGTCAAACTGTTTCTCTTTACAGATGACAAAATCTTATATTTAGAAAAACCTAAAGACTACACCAAAAAACTCTAAGATCTGATAAATTCAGTACAGTTTCAGGCTACAAAATCAACCTGCAAAAATCAGTAGCATTTCTTTACGCCTATAATAAATAGCTGAAAAAGAAATCAAGAAGGCAATCCCATTTACAATAGTTACCAAAGAAATACCTAGGAATACATTTAACCAAGGAGGTGAAAGATCTCTACAAGGAAAATTACAAAACATTGATGAAAGAAATTGAAGAGGACACAAGCAAATGGAAAGACATCCTATGATCATGAGTTAGAAGAATTAATATGGTTTGGTTTTTTTTAAGTTCAGGGGTACATGTGCAGGTTTGTTATATGACAAACTCCTGTCACAGGGGTTTTTTGTACAGATTATTTCATCACCCAAGTATTAAGCCTAGTACCCATTAGTTATTTTTCCTGATCCTCTCCTTCCTTCAACCCTCCACCCTCTGGAAGGCCCAGTGTCTGCTGTTCCCCTCTAAGAGTCCATGTGTTCTCATCATTTAGCTCCCACTCATGAGTGGGAACATGCAGTTTTTGGTTTTTTGTTCCTGTGTTACTTTGTTAACGATAATGGCCTCCAGCTCCATTTATGCTCCTGCAAATGACATGATCTCACTCTTTTTTAAGGCTGCATTGTATTCCGTGGTATGTATGTACCACATTTTCTTTATTCAATCTAGCACTGATGGGCATTTAGGTTGATTCCATGCCTTTGCTATTGCAAATAGTGTTGCATTGAACATATGTGTGCATGTGTCTTTATGATAGAACAATTTATGTTTATCTGGATATACCCCAGTAATGGGATTGCTGGGCCAAATGGCAGCTCTATTTTTAGCTCTCTGAGGAATCACCACACTGCTTTCCACAATGATTGAACTAATTCCACCAACAGTATATAAGTGTTCCTTTTTCTCCTCAACCTCACCAGCATCTGTGATTTTTTTGACTTTTTAATAATAGCCAGGAAGAATTAGTACTGTTAAAATGAACATACTACCTAAAGCAATCTACATATTCAGTGCAATCCCTATTAAAATACCAATGACATTTTTTATAGAAATAGAAACATCAGTCATAAAATTCATATGGAACCAAAAAAGAGCCCAAATAGCCAATGCAATCCTGAGCAAAAATAACAAAGCTAGAAGCATCACACTACCTGATGTCAAAAAAATTACAGAACTATAGTAATCAAAGCATCACGGTATCAGCATATAAATAGTCACACAGACCAACAGAACACGAATAGAGAACCCAGAAATAAATCCACATATGTACAGCCAACTGATTTTTTACAGAGATGCCCAGAACATACATTGGGGAAAGGACACCCTCTTCAATAAATGATGCTCGGAAAACTCGGTATCCATATGCAGAAGAATGAAATTGGATCCCTATCTCTCACCATATCCCAAAATCAACTCAAAATAGATTTAAGACTTAAACATAAGACCCCAAACTATGAACTACCAGAAGAAAACTCAGGGGAAACACTCCAGGGCATTGTTCTAGGCAAACATTTTATGGCTAAGATCTCAGAAGCATGGGTAAGAAAAACAGAATTAAACAAATAGAACTATATTAAAGTAAAAAGTTTTTGCACATCAAAGGAAACAATCAACAGAATGAAGAGGCAACCTGTTGAATGGGAGAACATATTCACAAACTATTCATCTAACAAGAAACTAATATCCAGAATTTACAAAGAAACTCAACTCCACAGCAAAACACACACACACACACACACACACACACGCACAAAGAATCTCATTTAAAATAGCATATTGAATAGACATTTCTCAAAAGAAGATATACAAGTGGCTAAAAGATATATGAAAAAATGCTCACCATCACTAATCATCAGGGAAATGCAAATCAAAAACACAATAGAGATATCTTATCAAATTCGAATGGCTATCAACAAAAAGACAAAAAATAACAGACGCTAATAACATGAAAAAAAGAGAACTCTCATACACTGCTGGTGGGAATGTAAATTAATACAGCCATTATGGAAAACAGTATGGAGATTTCTCAAAAAACTAAAAATAGAACTACCATACAATCCAACAATCCCACTATTTGGTATTTATTCAAAGGAAAAGAAATCAGTATATCAAAGAGATACATGCACTCCCATGTTTACTGCAACACCATTAACAATGGCAAAGACACAGAATCATGTGTTCATCAACAAATAAATGGATAAAGAAAGTGTGGAATATATACACAATGGAATACTATTCAACCATAAAAAAGAATAAAATCCTGTTATTTGCAGCAACATGGTTGGAAATGGAGGTCATTATGTCAAGTAAAATAAGTCAGGCACAAAGAAAAACATCATATATTCTCACTCATATTTGGGAGCTAAAACAACTGATCTCATGGAGGCAGAACAGAATGACAGTTACTAGATGCTGGGAAGGGTGTGTTGCGGGGTGAGGGGATGAAGAAAGGTTAGCTAATGAGTGCAAACATACAGTTAGATAGAATAAGTTTTAATGTTCGATAACAGAGTAGGGTGACTATAATTAACAACAATGTATTGTATGTTTCAAAATAGCTAGAAGAGAATGACCTGAAATGTTCCCAACACATGGAAATGATAAATACAAAGGCGATAGATACCCTAAATACCCTGGCTTGACCATTACAGTATGCATGTAGCAAAATATTACATGTATTCCATAAACATGTACAAATGTTATGGATCAATAAAAATAATTTTAAGCAGTTGAACAGAAAGTTACATGTGAAAGGCATGGATCCATTTGATTTCACTTTGAAAATGAGAAGATGCATCCTTCATGACAACACAACTAAGAATACAGAATTTGGGTTAAAAGAAGAAAACAGCCAATAAGTCAGCAACTTGTATGTGCTGAAACTTTTAGGAGGAAAGGCTGATTCAACCAACACCTTGCAAATAAAAACTTGCAGGGCTGCAAGGCTCCACAGAGCTCCCTGCGTATAGTATCCACTGTCACCTTCTCTTACACCAACCATATTCACTTCCTAATACTGCAAGAAAAGCCAGACTTAAGCAAAACTTCCAAACAGGTGGAGAAGAAATCATCTGTATAGTATTACCAGTTCCTACTAACTTTCTTCACTTCCTCTGGGTTTTTGCTGTCTGTTTTTTTTTTTTTTTTTTTTAGATTGCTGAACACCAAATATGATCTTCCCCATTCACTCTTTTGGAGGATTTTGATGTTTGCAGAGGCAGTTGTTGCTTTTGCCAACAACACATTGTTTCCAGGGAGAAGAATCCTCACTGATTTCACACATTCATTTGTTTTTGGAGACCAGACCACTGGGAAATGAGAAGAAGGAAAGAAAGAAAGAAGAGAGAGAAGGAGGGAGGCAGGGGGAAAGGAAGACAGAGACAGAAAAAAAGAACAATAGTTTAGGCTATGTTGGATACATAAAATTAAGGTGGGATCTTCATCTAGAGATAAGGGCCAGAAATTTCCATGATTTCAGAAAAGCTCCCCAATCTCAGCCTCAGGGAGCCAAAAACTGCTAATGTGAACTAATTCCTAACTCAAAAGTTAAGGTGAGAAAGCCTCACTGCCCTCTGGGAAGGCTTGGGGATTTCCCCACCTCTGCCTGGAGGCCACATATAAGAAAAGTCAGTCTTGGGAAGCTTCCTGGGAGATGGCGTTCAGCCCCTTCTTGGTCTCTACTCCACACACCCTTCCCGGGCAGCCCACCCCGCACCACTTCCTAGGCAAACTCTCCCACAGAACTCTGCCCTTCCAAACTCTTCTGAGGGGCAGGTGTCTCTACAGTGCTCATTTGTTTCCACAGGGTCATTTTAGCTCAAGGTTAAAGGGCTAAAATCAAATGAGATGTCATTTGTATTGCAGCAAATAAATAGTAACAATGGAATATACTGTTGGTCTATTTTGAGATGCTGATAAGAAAAAAGAAAAGGTAGAAATAAATGTTATTCTTTTCCTTCTTGTGAAAACTTTCATGACTTTGCTCAACACTTTACAACTGTACTTCCTTCACAAGATATGTCCTTGAAACATCACATGTAAATCTATTTTTTATAATTGAAGACATTTTAAATTTACTTTAGAAACTGGCTTATTTAAAGGCACTATCAAAGAATACTTTGGTAAAATGAAAGGGTGTTAATGATCTATTTGTCATATATATTCAGATTTGGGTGTATCAGCTTTTCTTACAATGCTGACCATGTCTATGATTTAGGATGAAAGGTAATTATTTAAGTGTTTTTAAAAATAGGTTTTCAACTGAACTTGCTCTAGCCTACACAGACTTTTTCCTATAGTCACACAGTTTTAATAGGATATTTGGATCAGAAAAAGACCCTTCTGTGGTCTCAGAGCATGTTTTAAAGCCTGCATATATTTTGCCTCTTCTTTATCAACCTGAAATTATTGACTTAAGAAATTTAGTAATTTTGCTTTTCAAAAAGCAGCTATAATGACAAAGCAAGAAAAAGAAATTGTGATTAGTGGCTTAAACTCAATTCTAGAGTTAAATTAACGTAGTAACAGTATTGTGACCATGAGCATGGGAATGCCCAAGAAAGAGCCAACAGATTTGCCAAAATGTGGTCAGCAAAACCTGCCTCTTCCTTTATCAACAGTGCAGAGAAGAGAAGTGAAGAGGTACATAATCCCCACACCAGCACTTACGGAAGATGGAGTTTGAGGGAGACTATAAACAAACAATATTTTGGTATCTGGGTTTTAAACTCACATTATGGTTGTTCATTCCACTACAGTGCAAATAATACCAAAGATGAAAGTTTCAAGCAAATAATCTGCTTGAACGAAGTGATCTCCATTAGGATGAGCTCGCCTCTGCTGGCTCCTCTAACTTTGAAAATGTTGGTGTCCTCCAAGGTTTTCAACCCTTCCCTCAACTCTTCTCCCACATTCTCTCCTGGGAAACTGCATATACTCTCAAAGGATGTGCTTACCATCAAGCACCCAAATTGTTATCTTTAGCCCCAAATCTCACCCAAGAGTTCCAGACTCACGTTTCCAGCTGCCTCCTGGATGTCCCAATTCTGAACCCACTATTTCCCTCCCTTTCTCAGTGCCTGTTCCTCTCTGTGTCCTCTCCCCGACATAGCACCACTATTCCAGCAATAGGAAAAGTGGCGAGAATGAGACCTCAGATATTATGACCTCTAGCCTTGACCTCAAAAATGAATGCATATAAATCCAAAATTAATTCAGCTTGATTTTGGAAATTAATCAGACACAACACATAAGCAAACACTGCCCCAGAATCTCCTTTATTTGCCATTAATTCCCAACTGACCCACGGGCCACAGTTCCTAGAAGTAGCAACAAAATGAGCATTCCAATTTTCACATTGTTGTAGGAGGAGCTAATCTGAACGGTTTGCTGCTTAGACTCTGTGCTGGTTATTTGCCTATTGTCTCTCAGCCCCAACCTCCACTCAGTGATTCTACTCTGCAATCTACATTTCTCAGGCTTCCTTGCTGCTGGCTTCTGGTTATGTTGTGACAGTGGAAAGAAGGAGCTGGGAAGAAAGGACTGTGTTCCTGCTTTTAGCCTTGACGGTCATCCTTCCAGCAGCGGGTAAAGCAGGAGCGCTGTGGTATCTCCTGGGCCATTCCATTCCCAGCTCTCCCCTCCCCATCCTCAGCACCATCCAAGGTAGCTCCTTCTCTGAGCACCTAGATTTTATATTGCCACCTCTTCCCTTTTGTCACCCAGCACCTAAAGGTAGTGTCCATTTTTAATTTTTTCAAACTTTCAGACCCTGTATAGCCAGATCCCTGTATGAAATCCCTTCCATGTGAAATACTTAGCACGGTTCCTGTATCCTAACTGGACCCTGGCTAATGAAAGAAAATCTCCTTTGCTCTACGGTTTGTTTTCTTTTGTTAAAAAGTTGAGGTTTTGCTCACAAAATGTCACTTTCCATTGCAGATAGATCTACATTTGGTTACCAATTATTCTGCCATGGAGACTGCTTTTCAGACTGGAAAGGGAAGAATAAATATCAGTAAGAGGAAACACACCTCAGAAAGAGGCCAGCTGGACACGCAGGAATTCCAGGTGCATGATCCACTTCAGATTCTAAATTCAAATTTATACCGAGTATTTAACAGGTTAAGAGAAATACGGGCCTTTTTATTTTTTGCTTAATTTTTATTGCATATGTTTAAGATACACAACATAATGTTTTAATATACATATAGATAGTGAAATGATTACTACACTCAAGCCAATTAACATATCTGTCATCTCACATAGTTATCTGTGTTGTGGGGGTGGGTGGGAGAGGTAAGAGCATCTAAAATCTACCATCTTAGCAAATTTCCAGTATTCAATACAGTAAAGGCCTATTTTAAATGATTGTTTTTCCTCTCTAGGGACACAATACATTTTAAGACTCAACGAAGAAGACTCTTACTCCTGACACTTGTCCTTCCTTCAGCCCCTTCCTCAACAACCCAACAGCCCATGGAGCTCTGTCATCTCTGAAGCATGTAGCTCAGTCTGTACCCACTCCTCACCTCCACTGCAGCAACCTCAGTCTAATTCACCAGCACCTATCTCTTGGAAGACAGCTTTCTCCCACTTTTCCAAGGCATGATGCTGGGATAATTGAGTTTCAGCATAGAAAATGACGGAAATTACCTCTCACCACACGCAAATTACTAACAGGTGGATTACACCTTAGGGGAGACAGTTTTCCCTAAATCCCTCATGTTTCTGCAAGTCTTGAAGGCAGACACTCTGCTTTTTTTTGTTCTTTGCTATCTCTTCAAAGGATATTTGTATGGCAAACAGTCTTAGAAGATATAGTGTCTCTCCCCAAGGAAAATGACAGACTTGTTTACTGTCCAGTATATAAAGACAATTTCTCCCTCTGGGCAAAGGTCAGGCAAGCTTACAGCCCATTATAAAAGATTTGGGTTCCCTAGCCTCAGGGCTCCTCACCTCTAACACAGTTCACTCCAGGTGTACAAGTCACCTGACCCTCTACACATTTGCTCTGTAGGAATTTGGGCTCTGGGAACTGGCACAAGAAGATGCCGATACTCTGGCAAAGTCATTTGTCTCCGACCCTCTGACCCGGAGTCTTGTGTCTTCTGGCAACATTCGTGACACTAAGGCAGGCTAACTTGTTAGCTTGCAAGTAAGGCAAAATTTCAGACACTCCACAGTTCTTGACTTACAATACTAAATGTGAAAAACAAAACTATAAAGCTTTAGAAGATGAAATAAAGAGTAGCTTCATAATCTGGGATTGAAAAAGATGTCTAAAACAGCTACGTATAAACACTTACACGTATAGATACTTACCATATACGGAAAAGAAGGATAAACTTGACTACACTAAAATTAAGAACTTCCACTGACCAACAGATACCAGTAAGAGAGTGGAAGAGGAAGTCCTAGCCAGAGCAATTAGACAAGAGAAAGAAATAAAAGGAATCCAAATAGGAAAAGAAGTGAAAGTATTTCTCTTCACTGATGACATGATTCTATACCTAGAAAACCCTAGAGACTCCACCAAAAGGCTCCTAGAACTGATAAGCAACTTCAGTAAAGTTTCAGAATACAAAATCAATGCGCAAAAATCAGTAGCATTTCTATACTCCAATAACATTCAAGCTGAGAGCCAAATCAAGAATGCAATCCTGTTTACAACAGCCACACAAAAAATTACCTACGAATGCATCTAACCAAGGAAGTGAAATATGTCTACGAGGAGAAGTACAAAACGCTGCTGAAAGAAATCATAGATGATACAAACAAATGGAAAAACATTCCATGCTCATGGATTGGAAGAATCAATATCGTTCAAATGTCCAAACTGCCCAAAGCAATCTAAAGATTCAACACCATCCTTATCAAACTAGCAACATCATTTTTCACAGATCTAGAGAAAACTATTCTAAAGTTCATATGGAATCTAAAAAGTGCCCAAATAGCCAAAGCAATCACCAGCAAAAAGAACAAAGCTGGAGGCATCATATTACCCGACTTCAAACAGTACTATAAGGCTACAGTAACTAAAACATCATGGTGCTGGTACAAAAACAGGTATGTAGACCAATGGAACAGAACAGACAACCCAGAAATAAAGCTGCACACCTACAGGGATAGCTGGCTAGCCACATGCAGAAGAATTAAACTGGACCACCACCTTCCACCATATACAAAAATTAACTCAAGATGGATTAAAGATTTAAATATAAAACCTCAAACTATAAGAATTCTAGAAGAAAACCCAGGAAACACCATTCTGGACATCAGCCTTAGGAAAGAATTTATGACTAAGTCCTCAAAAGCAGTGGCAACAAAAACAAAAACTTGAGCAGTGGGACCTAATTAAACTAAAGAGCTTCTGCACAGCAAAAGAAACTATCAACAGAGTCAACAGACACTCCACAGAATGGGAGAAAATATTTGCAAACTATGCATCCAACAAAGGTCTAATATCCAGAATTTACAAGGAACTTAAACAATTGCACAAGCAAAAAACAAATAACCCCATTGAAAAATGAGCAAAATAAATGAATAAACACTTTTCAAAAGAAGACATACAAGCAACCAAAAACATGCAAAAAAAATGCTCCACATCTCTAATCATCAGAGAAATGCAAATCAAAACCACAATGAGATACCATCTCACACCAGTCAGAAAGACTATTATTAAAAAGTCAAAAAACAACAGATAATGGTGAGGCTGTGGAGAAAAGAGAACACTTATGCACTGTTAGTGGGAATGCAAATTAGTTCGACTGCTGTGGAAAGCAGTTTGGAGATTTCTCAAAGAACTTAAAACGAAACTACCATTCAACCCAGCAATCCCATTACTGGGCATATACCCAAAGGAAAATAAATCATTCTACCAAAAGGACACATGCACATGTATGTTCATTCGTAGCACTATTCACAATAGCAAAGATAGGTTCACATCGACAGTGGACTGGATAAAGAAAATGTGGTACTTGCACACCATGGAATACTATGCAGCCATAAAAAGAATGAAATAATGTCCTTTGCAGCAACACAGATGCAGCTAGAGGCCATTATCTTAAGCAAGTTAACACAGGAACAGAAAACCAAATACTGCATGTTCTCACTTATAAGTGGGAGCTAAACACTGGGTACTCGTGGACACAAAGATGGCAACAATAGACAATGGGGACTACTAGAAGGGGGAGGGAGAACTGGAGGTGAGGGGTGAAAAACTGACTTTTGAGTAATATGCTCAGTACCTGGGTGACATGATTAACTGTACCCCAAACCTCAGCGTCATGCAATATACACATATAAAAAACCTGCACATGTACCCCCTGAATCTAAATTAAAGGTTAAAATTATTTTTAAAAGAAGAGAGAGAGATCTGCAAAATAAATAATTTTGACATAAAACCGACAAGGGCTTATATCCAGAATGAATATATATTCTACAAATCAATAAGAAGACTGAAAAAGAGAAAAATGGACAAAATAGTTGGGCAGACCTTTCACAACAAGGGAAATCCAAATGACCAATAAATATACGAAAAGGTTCTCAACCTCAATCAAAATGAGGGAAACACAAATTAAAATGAAACTCATGGCCAGGCATGGTGGCTCACGCCTGTAATTCCAGCACTTTGGGAGGGTGAGGCAGGTGGATTACCTGAGGTCAGGAGTTCAAGACCAGCCTGGCCAACATGGTGAAATCCCATCTCTACTAAAAAATACAAAAATTAGCCAGGCATGGTAGTGGAGGCCTGTAATCCCAGCTACTCGGGTGGCTGAGACAGAAGAACTGCTTGAACCTGGGAGATGGAGTTTGCAGTGAGCAGAGATTATGCCACTGCACTCCAGACTGGGCGACAGAGCCAGACTCCATCTCAAAAAAAAAAAAAAAAAGAAAAGAAAAGAAAAAGAAAAGAAAGAAAGTCACATGGAAAACAATGTGTCATCATCTAGCAGTGAACACCAGATGACACATCAATTCTATTTTTAGATACAAGTCTTCTAGGAGACATGTATAAGTATGTTCATAGCAGCAATATTTGTAATAGCCAAAAACTGAAAAGACCCCAGAAGTCTACCAACAGGAAAATAGCTCAAAAAAGTATGGTATAGTTATACAATGGTATTCTATACTGCCATAAAAATGAACTACAGTCATACAGAACAACATGGATGTATCTTTAAAAAAAAAAATGTTGACTGAAAGAGTCAAACACAAAAGATACGATATGGCCCTAATTTTAGAAGTTCAAAAATAGGCAAAATTCAATTCACAGTATTTAGGAATGCCTCCTGATACAGTTTGGATATTTGTCCCCACCCAAATCTCATGTTCAATTGTAATCCCCAATGCTGCAAATGGGGCCTGGTGGGAGGTGTTTGATCATGAGGCACACCCCTCATGACTTGGTGCTGTCTTGGTCATAGTGAGTTTTCATGAGATCTGGTCATTTAAAAGTGTATGGCACCTTCCCCCACCCTTGTTCTGCTTTGCCATGTGACGTGCCTGCTGCTCCTTCGCCTTCCACTGTGATTGTTATCTTCCCGAAGCCTCCCTAGAACCCAAGCAAATGCCAGCACCATGCTTCCTGTACAGCCTGCAGAACCATGAGCCAATTAAATCTCTTTTCTTATAAATTACCCAGTCTCAGGTATTTCTTTATAGCAATGCAAGAATGGCCTAATACACCTACTTAGGTTGTAAAACTATAGATAAAAGCAATAAGTGATTGCCACAAAACATACTATAGTCGTTATTTTGCTGGGAAAGAGGAGTATGTAACTATAAAAGGGTACATGGGAGCTTCTGGGATGCTAGCAATGTCCTAGTTCTTGTCCTTGATGGGGTAACATTAGTGTTCACTTTATAAAAATCCAACAGTCAGTACACTTATGTTTTATGTTCACAGAAAAAGAGAGACTCAAGAAAGGCATGCTCATCATGAAATTGAGCCTTGCCAGTAATCCAGAAGCCCCCCATGTATCCCTCCCCCCTCCTCTCATAGCCTATTACTACACTGACTTTAATCCCCTAAGTGTACATCACTAAATACTATGATTTATCTTGGTCTGTTTTTTATTTTTCCAGGAATGAAACCAACTGAATATTTGCATTAGAGTCTGAAAACTGTTCTAGATAAATCAATTTATTACTGTGATGTATATGTTTCTTTCAACATAACGATATTTTTACAGTGAATTAAACAAGTCCAGCAGAAACAAAGATAATGTTCCATAACTTCACGAGTGTGTGTGAAAACACATTGAGAACATCAATTTAAAATCAGCAAAACGTTATCCATGACATTAACTCAGTGATGTTAATTTGAATTTTATTAGGTTTGTAATTTTATTTGCATTTAATTTGAAATGTTTGGAGTTTATAGTTGTCTTAAAGCTATAAGCATAAATTAACACTTAGTTTTATGTTTATACAGATTTAAGTAGCAATATAATAAAACTAAATTTAAGTCAATACACCAAAAAAGTCCCTTATGGAGAGGGGTCCTTAATTCACACAGGTTTGAGAAACCTGCCTAGGCATCAGCTCCCATTCCCTTCCCCTCCCCCCCCACCTGCATGGGCTCCCTTTACCCCAGGACAAAATATCTTGCTACATAAATCCAGGCACTGTCAAGCAAAGCACTTCCCAAAGCATCCATGACATCTCTGTGAGGTGATGTCAAGCACTCGACCTGCTAGTTCTGCAATTCATTCCGATTCCATTTGTCATACATGTGATCAAAGCTGGAGAACAAAATAAGACACAGGCAATTAAGCAAAGTGTGAACACCGCTGATTTGAGCCAGAGGACAATTCTTTGAAATGCTAATGACAATAATCCAGAACTCATGCCTTGGCCTCACTCTCACTTATGAACTCGGGCATAGAATCCACTCACCCAGTAGATTTGCTTCCTCTGGCTGCTATAAAAAATTACCAAAAACTTAGTAGCAAAACAATACAGACTTATTTTCTCACAGCTCTAGAGGTCAGAAGTCTAAAATCAGTCTTCCAGGGCTAAAATCAAGGGGCTGGCAGGGTTGGTTCCTTCTGGAGGCTCTAGGAGAGAGGATCCGTGTCCTTGCCTTTTCTAGCTTCTAGAGGTCATGTGCATTCCTTGGACCCTGATCTCTCCTTCACATCACTCCAATCTCTTGCTTCCATCCTCGCATTGCCTTCTCATATAAGTTATCACTCACAGGTCCTAGGGATTAGGACATGGACATCTTGGCGGTGAGGGGAATTTCCCAGCCTGACACGCCCAACAAGCAGAAGTCTGACCTATGACAGCTGCGAATAAGAGGAACCCACTTCTCCTTTGCTTAAATGTCAAGGGGTCAAAAGGTGCTCACAAACACCTGCCTCAAATGCAGTTTCTGTGTGAATGGATCCTAAACTGCCAAGCACTACCATTTATGCCTATAGATAGAGAAACACAACTTTTTTGCAATCATATCATCCTTTTAAACTGGGTAAGAATTCAAAGAATTTGCTTTTGCTTTTCAAAAAAACTTATTTTGAAATAATGTCTGGTTTACAGAGAAGTTGCAAGCATATGACAAAGAATTCCCCAATGCTACAAAGAATGCTCCAATAGACTTCGCCAGATTCCCTCAATTTTATCTCATTTATTTTATCAATTTTCTCTGTCTCTCTTTTGCTCCCTCCAACCCACCCTTTCCACCCTCTCTCTCTCTCTCCCTCCACTAAATCATTTTGAGAACAAATTGTGGATATGATGCCCCTTTTTCCCATAAACATTTCATTGTGTATTTCCAGTGCAACTTAGCTTCTAAGTGGGTTTGGAAAACAGAGGGCTGAATTGCCAGTGGGAAAAGTTTTTCAAGGGAGATGTTCTTCTTTAGGTCTGGAAATCCAAAGGAGACAAGTCCTTGTTCTGGAAAGTGGGGAGTGTCACATCTCATTATATTGCAAAAAATTATTTTTCACATAATATTATGCCAAACTCTAGGCACTGAGATTTTTGCCCTTGAGCCACTGATGAGCAAGTACTTATAATACACAATCTCTACCCATCCACTACAGGGAAGCTCAGTGAAACTAGCTACTGAACAGCACAGATGGAAAGAACAAAGCATGGAAAAAATCCTCATGGACTAGTTGTTTCTCCTTGTCTTTTCTATGTCCTAACCTAAAGTGAATTGAAACTCACTCTAGGATAAGAGCTATGCCATAGCTATCAGTGTTCTGCAATTTGTGTATATCCCATAAGCATTCATTTATGATGATTAGTCATTTATGATGATCATCCATTTACGATCCTTATTCATTTATGATTTTCTGCTCAGGTTGCTCTTGGGTTAGATGAAAAAATTCCATTCAGCAAAGATTTATTGAGCACCTACCATGCCCTGGGTAGAGTGGGAAGTAGAAATGAATGGAGGGTCATGATTTAGTGGGAGAGACAGATGCATCAACCACAAAGAGCAAAGCAGCATGAAGTACAGTCTGCGGTGGAGCATGAGGGAAGTGTTCTCAGTGGTAGAAAAGACTTTCTAAAGGAAGGAGGGCAGGGATGATGCCTTGAAGCAGCATTTGGGAAGTCTAGGAGAGGGTCAAGGGTTTTCCCAGATGAAAGAGAAGCCTGAGCCGAGGCACCACAGGATGCAGATGTCCAGCACGTCTAGGGACAGAGGGTGACACATCCAGTGTGGCTCAACAGTGGAGGGTTTGAGTGGAGTTGGGGCCTGAAAAGGAGGTGGAATAAGATCATGAAACCTCTTGACACCATGCCTTATCTTTCCATGGCCTTTATTCTGTAGCTACAGTTGAACTTTCAGAAAACAAATTTCCTTTTCATAGCCAAGTAATTAACATCCCACAAGTTAAATGCTCAAAACCTTGACCTCGTTCTAGCTCGATTAAAAAACTTCTCAAAGACCCTTCCAATCCCACGCCTCTCAGCTCCATGCTGTGATTAATGCATCACTAGTGGAAGGTAGGGCGGGAAAGTCATTGCAAATACACACAGCGGAAAAATACAGATTCACAGCAGGAAAAGTACAACTTTTGTGCAAAGCTGACCCAGACCATCTCATTATGCAGTCGTTGAAACCTGTCTGAAAAGGAGTATGTGGATTTGTCATGAGACCTATGTAAATATATTTCCAAAAGATTATTTTCAAATGGCTCTAAAGTTTAGAAGGAAAAAGAAAGAGATAACCTTTTTAAAATGTGGGAAGCAGGAACAATATTGCTGGCAGCTTATTCATCTAGTTAATGAGTACTCTAAGGGGTCCATGCAGAATAGCACCTCATCCGGAGGAAGCTGATAGGGAGAGGGAGGGAGGGAGGTGGCAGCCAGGCAAAGGTGGGGAAAACAGAGCGCTGACTACATTGAGAGTCTTGGAGGGGATGGAGGAGTAGGGAGGCCAGGGAGGCAGGGACGGGGAGGAAGGAAGAGAGAAGGAGGAGGGTGGAGGTTAGGGAGCGATGATGCTGCCCTACCACCACTCTGGCGCCTTTTGTTTGGCTCCCTTACAGGGGCAGACACAAAGAGGACCTTTCCAATTCTAATGTGCAGGAAAGCCCAATCTGAGAACCAGGAGTAGCTTTTCTGACACCAGGAGCAAAGAAAGCAGCGCGCTTCCAGGCTGTGACTGCCGCACAAAAGCAAATTCTTTGGGAATACCACAGGCACTTAAGAGACTTCTCACCCTAGGAGTAGTTTCGAAATGAAAACTACCCAGACCTTGCAGCAGCCAAGAATTAAACTGATATTAAATAAACGTGGAGTTGTTAAGGCAAATGAAAAGAGTATTAAGCACATTTTTGTCTTAATTGACTTAAACATCTTACACTATCAAGGAGCAAAATGGCAATGCATCTGTGTTACAGAAAAGCGATCTCACCCTCAGTCCCACCAAGACCTTGGCAATAAGAGTTCCAGAAGAATTAAAAAGTCACCCATTAATGGATAGAAGCAGGGATGGGGTCAAGTCTCCTTAAATAGCAGGTGGCATTTATCCCCCTTGAGAGGACCTGTCAAGGCCCCCCTTACCTTCTGAGGTGAGCTAGGTCTGAAGACCCTTGTCAATGCGAAACTCCCACTGCAGTGAGTTTATAGTGCTGACATGGTGCAAAAACTCATGGAGAGTGACTGTCCATCCAAGGCCTGGCTCCTTTTAGGTCCAGTATTGTTCCAAGTGTCAAACTCCCCTCTTACCCGGTATCCTGAAAGCTTGTGCAGCACTAAGTCCTGATACCATCCTAGCCCTGTCCAGGGTGGGGATGGTAGCAGGAAATGCCCAGGAAGCATGGTAAATGTCAAGGGTGTGGCTTCCTGGGAGCCAAGATGTACTGGGTGAGGGAACCAGCAGGTGCGCGGTACACTGGGAGAGAGAAAAGAGAGAAAATTGGAAATGTGATCCTGGAGACAAAGCAGCTGACTGAGATGCTGTAGAGCCCAAGAGAAATAGGAGTTTCTAGACTTTTAGATTTCATAAGCAGTAAATACCCGTAGTAGTAGTAATAGTGATTATTATTATTACCGTATACAAAGTGTTTTCAACTTTTTTCATTTCCCCAGGAAAGGACACAACCTTTTGAACTATTGCTGCTGTTTTCATTTTAAAAAGGAACTTTTAATACTAAAATTATAGGAAGAACATAATATCTGACGTCACGTAAATTCAGATTTGAAGGAAATTTACTTTTTTTCCTTATTTGTTCTTATTTTTTCTCATTTTGTTAAGAACCAGCGAACACTTTGAAGAAAGCCAAAAGTTTACATCTGGAGCTGGAGGGTTCTGTGACTGCACACCAGGCACTCTGCCAGCCCTACTTCTGCCTGTAGTCCTGCAGGTCACTTGCCAGAGGTGGTACTTTCTGCAAAGGGAAAAGCCTAAGGCACCATCATGGGGGTCCCAGGACCTACAGCATTCCTTTATTTAATCCGTTCTTCCGATTGGCCAACTTTCTTTTTTTTATTATTATTATACTTTAAGTTCTAGGGTACATGTGCACAACGTGCAGCTTTGTTACATATGTATACATGTGCCATGTTGGTGTGCTGCAACCATTAACTTGTCATTTACATTAGGTATATCTCCTAATGCTATCCCGCCCCCCTCTCCCCACCCCACAACAGACCCTGGTGTGTGATGTTCCCCACCCTGTGTCCAAGTGTTCTCATTGTTCAATTCCCACCTATGAGTGAGAACATCTGAGTGGCCAGCTTTCTTTTGGGAAAGCCCGAATGCCATACCCCTGCTTGGCGGTGGATATGCTCTAAGCAGTCCTTTGCAAACCCAGAGAAAGGATTAACTGATTGCCTTCCTTTTTCCACTTTGGCTGCCAGGAAGCTCAACATCAAATCTGAGGATCCACATAGCTGCTTCATGGACCCTTTTACATGTATATTGACACATAAATACACTCACACATGCCTCTACAAGCTTTGACTTTTCCATAAAATATTTATATTTTCTCTGATCATGATTTATGACTGTTATTTACATTGTATTTTTAATTTTTTGCAAGCTGCTTCAAATCTTATGTGGGACAAGGGAATAAATAACAACTTTTTAAAATTAGGACTATAGAATTTTGCTAAAGCAATTCATTGACAGGCAATGTCTGTGGCAAACACAATGTCTTTACATAATAAACAAACTGCAAAGCAAAAATTATTTAGGCCACTAGGTTAGACATTAGATTCCAAACTTATATAAGCAAAGCTAATTTTTCCCCCGAAATATGTAATATAGTGGGCCATCAGCTTAATTTAAAATTCACACAGCTTCCAAACAATAAGAGGCACTTTTCTCTTCCATGAACAAAGACGTTTTATTCATACATGAATAAAGCAAAGATTCTTTCTATTGTATCTACATGAAGCAATCCTGCATTTCTATACAAAATGAGGTATTTTGCACCAGGCAGAGCTATATTACAGAGTTGCTGTGCATTCTGGATGAAGTTGTCTGATGATGGCACAAGCATTGAATAACAAAAAGTACTTTGTATCAGCAAAAAAAAAAAAGAATCCTTAAGCCTTCCATGACACTCTCTTCTGTTTTTCCCTCAGCACAAGGCATTGATGGGTGAACACATACATTAATATATTCGCTTCGAATCTAGCACTGGGCATGCTCCCTAAAGGATGGCAAAAGTGTGTGGGCCCAAAGTGAAAGGACTAAATCAAAGAAATGAACTCCACACCAAACATATTTGCGCAGTGTTTTGGTTTAATTTTTCCAAGGGTATAATTTAAAATAGGCTTTGTGAAACTGGTGGGGGTGAGGGCAGGATTCTCTTCAAGGTGATTGTAAACTCTTTCAAGGCAGTAACCGGGTAATTTATACTTATTCTACAGTTAAATTCCTGAATTATTCATATTTCTGAATAATTAGGGAGGCGTCATAAAAATAGCATACTCTTTAAAGATCTTTGCCCTCTTCCTTTCTCCAGAAGTTTAAATCATCTTCTTAAAAGGGTAAATACAGTTCTTGTATCAGGAACCAGTACTGACCAACCTGGTAAATTTAACAGAAACCAGCATTTATCACACCAATAAAACTGGATTTGACATATGAAGTCTTAACCTGAAAACGAAGTTCTTCCTTTCTCCCACTATTGAGCAATAAATTACCGAGAAGTTCTGGTCTACTAAATAGTTAGGAAGAAGTGAGGTTGCAGAAAATATAAACCAGTTTAAAGCCAGAAAGCCACAGCAACCATTTAGAAGCAAACACGAACTTACGAGCTTCCTTCATCATAGTAGTCCTTGTCTATCCCCAGCCTCCGGTCCTCTCCAAAGTTGGTGGGACATCCAAGAACGCGCTCCCCAGATTCTGCCCTCACTCCGTGAGATGAGGCAGGGCATGCCTGCCCATTCCTCCCCTCCACGGCAGGTCAGCCTTCATTCCCCATCTTCTTTATCCAGGACAAGGCTTGACCAAAATGGCCTGTTCCAAAGGCAATTCCCCTGCTCTCACTTTTCTGTCCCATCACTTTCTCAAGAAAAATATGTATTTTTTAAATGTGTAGTTTCTTAATGCACGCTAAAATGCCCGATGTAGGTAAAAACATTCATTCCATAAGCCTTACCAATTGCTCAATGCACAGTAAGATCCTAGGTGAGGAGCGTTACAATCGCCTCTAATCAGTCTCCCTGCTTCTACCCCGGCCCCTCTAAAATCTATTCTCAAAGGAGCAACCAGAATGATCTTTTAAAAATGTAAGCCCAGCAGTGGCTCACGCCTGTAATCCGAGCCCTTTGGGAGGCTGAAGCAAGCGGATCACGAGGTCAGGAGATCAAGACCATCCTGGCCAACATGATGGTGGCCAACCAGATGGTGAAACCCCATCTCTACTAAAAATACAAATATTAAGTGGGTGTGGTGGCACCTGCCTGTAATCCCAGCTACTTGGGAGGCTGAGGCACGAGAATCGCTTGAACCCAGAAGGCAGAGGTTGCAGTGAGCTGAGATCGTGCCACTGCACTCCAGCCTGGCAACAGAGCGAGACTCCATCTCAAAAGAAAAAAAAAAGTAAGCCCATCTTGTCCCTACAATATTCCAGAACTCTGCAATGGCTCCTCTCTTCACTCAGTGTCAGTCTTTACACTAAGGCCCCATACAAACATCTGTCCCCTACTCTATCCCTCCCTAACCAACCTTGACTCCCTCACTCACTGCACTCCAGCCACACCCCTCCATGATCCTCGAACACCTCCAGCGTGTTTCTAAGGCCTTTGCACAGGCTTTCCCCTCTGCCAAGCATGCTTTTCCAGCAGATATCTACATAGCCGGCGTCCTTACCTCCAAGTCTTCGTTTAAATGTCCCCCTCTCAATGAGACCTATGGTGACCACGGTATTTAAAATTGTGCCTGGGCTGGGCACGGTGGCTCAAGCCTGTAATCCCAGCACTTTGGGAGGCTGAGGCAAGCAGATCACGAGGTCAGGAGATCGAGACCATCCTAGCCAACATGGTGAAACCCCGTCTCTACTAAAAATACAAAAATTAGCTGGGCGTGGTGGTGCGCACCTGTAGTCCCAGCTACTCCGGAGGCTGAGGCAGGAGAATCCCTTGAACCCGGGAGGTGGAGGTTGCAGTGAGCCAAGATCGCACCACTGCACTCCAGCCTGGTGACAGAGCAAGACTCCGTCTCAATCAATCAATAAATAAAATAAAGTAAAATAAAATAAAATTCTGCCTGGATCCCATATCCCACCTCTAGAACCCTTGATCCATTTTCTTTTTCTCCAAAGTAGTTACCGTATAATATACTCATTTTGAGCTTACCATATGATATACATGGATTTTGCTCATAGATATATTCCAAGCACCTAGAAATGTGTCTGGTACACAGTGGGTGGGCACTGAATAAATATTTTTTCAATAAATAAATGAATGAGGCCAGGCGCGGTGGCTCACTCCTGTAATCCCAGCACTTTTGGAAGCCAGGGCAGGCAGATCACCTGAGGTCAGGAGTTCAAGACCAGCCTGGCCAACATGGTGAAACCCCATCTCTACTAAAACTACAAAAATTAGCCAGGCGTGGTGACATGCACCTGTAATCCCAGCTACTCGGGAGGCAGAGGCAGGAGAATCACTTGAACCCAGGAGGCAGGGTTGCAGTGAGCTGAGATCATGCCACTTCACTCTAGCCTGGGCGACAGAGCGAGACTCTCTCTCAAAAAAAAAATAATAATAATAATAAAGGAATGAATACCTGGAAGATCCAAGATGAATCACTAAAAAAGTAATTAAAACCAACAAAAGATATCAGTAAAGATCATTCATTAAAAAGAAGTGTACACAGGCCGGGCACGGTGGCTCACGCCTGTAATCCCAACACTTTGGGAGGTCGAGGTGGGCGGATCACAAGGTCAGGAGATCGAGACCATCCTGGTTAACACGGTGAAACCCTGTCTCTACTAAAAAAATACAAAAAAATTAGCCAGGCATGGTGGTGGGCGCCTGTAGTCCCAGCTACTTGGGAGGCTGAGGCAGGAGAATGGCATGAACCCGGGAGGCAGAGCTTGCAGTGAGCGGAGATCG
The DNA here is from genome assembly GCF_000001405.40 of Homo sapiens. NCBI lineage: Eukaryota > Metazoa > Chordata > Mammalia > Primates > Hominidae > Homo > Homo sapiens. The sequence continues at coordinate 83,507,067 of NC_000015.10, read as the reverse complement.
TGCCACTGCACTCCAGCCTGGGTGACAGAGCAAGACTCCGTCTCAAAAAAAAAAGCGTACACAAAAACAGGGTTTCAAACCTCAGTAACAACCAATCAGGAAATTTTTTTTTTTTTTAGCAAAAGAGAATGATTTCTATAAACAAAACCTGTTACGGTAAACAGATGGGGCAGAGCTGCGATGCTCCCCAGCCTTCAGCCACTCCTTGGGAGCCTTTATCGCTGAAGGAGTGGAGGTTTGAAAACCTATGCATCAGAAAACGCATAGGAGAAAAGGGCCAATTCACACCAGAAACAAAAAATTTTAAAAACTTAGAATAAGAATTTGCCAGACCTCTATTGAAATGAAACCTACAAAATTTTTCTGAGGGACATAAAAAGATTCAAAAGTAAATGGCAAGACATGCCACATTCCTAAGTGGGAACACTAATTTCTAACAAGTCACAGACAAATCTACAACACAGCCAAAAATAATTATGTTAATATTAAAGGGATCCTAAAGCTCATCTAGAAAACAAAAATGTAAAAAATGTCAGGACAATGCCGAAAAACAAGAGTAACGTGCAGGAGCAGGCCCTATCAGATGTGTCCCGCAGAGCACAACAACTACAAGTAGGTGTCAGAAAGTGCCAGAATCAACAGAATGAGCAATTAACAAAAGAGAAAGCTCAGAAATACAGCCAATATATAGGATCCCACTTCATAATACGGGTAGCATTTACAGTAGGAAGAGGTCAGATTATTCTGTAAATTTGCTAACCGTATTCATCACATTCAGGGAAAAAAAATGTTATAACCAAAGCTTTAAAAAAATTTCAGATGAATGGTTTAAATATTTTTAAATGAAAACATAAAAATAAAACCACCACATGTAGGTGAATATTTGTGTAATCTCAGAGTAGGGATGCCTTTCTAAACAGGATTTCAAAAGTCAGGAACTATAATGGCAAAGACTAATAAAATCAACTACGAAAAAAACCTACATGTTAAAAAACAAATATGGGAAAAGATTAATAAACCCTATTACAGTAAAATAATTTCTTTTATCAAAAGACATCATTAGGCTTTAGAGAGTGAAAAGATAAACTACAGAGTAAGAGAAGATATTTGTATAGCATATAACAACAAAGGGCTAGTGTCCAGAATATGTAAAGAACTGCTACAAATAAATAAAGACAACTAATTTCTTAAAAATGGATAAAATACTTGAACAAGCATGTCACTAAAAAGGAAATTCAGGCCGGACGCAGTGGCTCATGCCTGTAATCCCAGCACTTCAGGAGGCCAAGGCAGGCAGATCACCTGAGGTCAGGAGTTCGTGACCAGCCTCGCCAACATTTAGTGAAACCATGTCTCCACTAAAAAATACAAAAATTAGCTGAGTGTGGTGGCACACACCTGTAATCTCAGCTACTTGGGAAGCTGAGGCGGAGAATCGCTTGAACTTAGGAGGTAGAGGTTGCAGTGAGCCGAGATCGCATCACTGCACCCCAGCCTGGATGAGAGAGTGAGACTCCATCTCTCAAAAAAAAAAAAAAAAAAAAGGAAATTCAAGTAGTCAATCAATAAATGAAAGAGTGCACAACCTCTTGACTCCCAGGGAATGCAAAATTAAAATCCCAATGAGATATCACTTACATACTCACCAGATGGGCAAAAATCAGAAAGACCAATAATACCACGGATTGGCAAGGATGTAAAATAATGGGAACTTTCACGTCCTGCAGATTGGAGTATAATCTGGCATTATTTGATGAGGTTTGGCCATTATCTAGTAATGTTAAAGAAAAAGTGAAGATGCCGATGTCCTTTAGCCAGCGAGTGCACTACAAGGTCAACTTAGAGAAGCCTGTGGAATGTGCACCAGGAAACATGCCCATAATATTCACTGCAGCAGTTTTCATAATAGTCTCAAACCCAGGACAACACCGATGACCACGAACAGGAGAACAGATACGTATGTAAGTGGTGTATTCATACAATGAATCTCTAGATTGCAAATAAAATGAGCGCTGGCTATATGCAACTATAGGGATATGCCTAATATCGAGATAAGACCCAATTTTAAAATACATGTATAAAATAGGTAAAAATATGCAAACCTAAACTATCTTGTTTAGAGATGCATACATATTGGTGGTAAAATTGTAATGATAAAGAAGGAAATTATTATTATAAAAGTCAGAATAGTTATGTTAGTTGTCTATTACTCTGCTAAAAAATTACCCCCAAACTCAGCAGCTTAAAACAGCTCACATGGCTGTTATCTCACGCAGTTTCTGAGAGTCAGGAATCCAGGAGCAGCTTAGGTGGGTGATTCTGGCCCAGGATTTCTCATGAGCCTGCAGTTAAGCTGTGGGCCAGGGCTGCAGTCATCTGAAAGGCAGAGGATCTGCCTCCCAGCTCACCCACATGGTTGTTGGCAGGCCTCAGTTCTCTAAGGGCTTTTGGAAGGAGGGCCTCAGTTCCTGGATACCGGGGCCTCTCCACAGGGCTGCCTGAGTGTCGTCAAGACATGGCAACTGGCTTCCCCCAGAGTGATTCATCCATGAGAGAGTGAGCAAGCCCAAGATGGGAGCCACAGTCTTTTATAACCCAATCTGGAATACAACATCGCACTGTTTCTGTATATTCTATTGGTCGCACTGGCCCACCTTGGAACAATCCTGGGTGGGTATGAAGACCAGAAGGAGAGAATCACTGGGGGCCATCTGTGAAGCTGGCTACCACAATTGTGGCTTCTTCTAGAAAGTTGGGCATAGATTGTATCAGGAAGGAACACACAGGGAACTTCTGGGAAACTGGCAAGATTCCATTGCTTCAACTGGTGGTTGTACAGTTGTTAACTTCATAATCATTTGATAAGCTGTACATTTATATTCTATGCACTGTTCCAAGGTATGTCAGATTCCACAATAAAAACGTAAAAAGAAAAACCTATTTAAATTTCAAATGACTAACAGGAAAATTATTTGCAGCAATTCGACAATCATATGTAAAATGTATAAAGAGTTCTTAGAAACCAGTAAAAGACAAACACCACAATGGAAATAAACAGTGATTCATAAAAGAATTAAAAGGTGGATAAGAATGTAACATTTCATCTCACAATTAAAGAAATGACAATTAAAATAGTGATTTTAAAATACTATATTCAGCCTAGTGTTAATAAAGACATGGGGAAATGCGCCTTTTCTTACACTATTTGAGGGAGAAATTATCTGGAACATAACTTGGCGATGCATAACAAAAGTCCTTAAAATATCCAGTGCTGACTCAGCAACTTTATTTCAGGATTACTTTTTTTCCCTAGGAAATTGCCAAAGACAGTAGCACAGAATCACTAATTATACATTGTTCTAGTTGGGAACACAAATGTGAAATCAAGTTTCCAGGACTGGAATCCCAGCTGCAATACTTATTTTTCACTTTAGGTATATTATTTTGTGCCTCAGTTCCCTCATCTGTAAAACTGGGGGAGAACAAAATACCTACCCCGTAAGGTTGTTGAGGCTTAGGTGAAATAATGCATATAAACATCTTAAACTCATAATCTGAGACAGCAAACACTCAATAAATTTCACTTATTGTTATTAGTGAAAACTGGTAACAACTTAAATATCTAACAATTAGAAAACTTTAAATAAATTGTAGTTTTTCCATATTATACAACTTCTAAAAATTATGATGTGGATCCATATTCTCATAGAAAAATCATCACAATATATTAAGTGAGAAAAGCAGGTTAGAAGCCAGTACATTTCATTTTTGCATTTTTATGAACATATGTAAATGTAATAATATTGGGTATATATCCAATATTAAGAGTAACAATATAGGGTAATGAGATGTGGATAACAGTTTTGCTGGTGGTTTTTTGTATTTTATAATGTTTTTTTCTTTTTTTGTATTTTATAATGTTTCATCAATGAACATAAGTGATGTATGAAATACATGATTTATTTAAAAACAATCCAAAATAATGAACAGAAAAATCAAGAGGTGTGAAATAAATACAGTGGACTTTCATTATTAAAAGTAATTATGTTCTATTAAAAGCCACTACAAACACTCAATTAATGAATACTGAACCATTGCTCCTAAAGGAAATAGAAGTTAGGTTCTTTCAAGCCTCTGGTCACATAAGCCTCTGGTATATATATTGGGAGCTCATCCAAATTCATAAGAAAAAAACTAATACTCCAAAGGATGGCTAGGCCAAGGGTGTGAACAAGTCATAACAGGAGAAACACAATTAGCAAATAAACCCATGAGAAAACCTTGAGCCCCCAGCCTGGGCAACATAGTGAAACCCCCTCAACAAAATATATGTATTTTTTAATTAGCCAGGCAAGGTGGAGCATGCCTGTACTCCTAGCTACTCAGGAGGCTGAGGGAGGAGGATCCCTTGAGCCCCAGAAGGTCGAGGCTACAGTGAGCCATGATGGCACACTGCACTCCAACCCAGGTGATAGACTGAGACTTTGCCTCAATACAAAACAAAAACCCCAGGCCCATTCATTTATTCATATCCATCCATTTATTCATTCACACAGGCATATATAAGGTACCTCCAAAAGTCACAGATACAAGGCATTACATCCTATTCCTGGGTAATTTGGGAGACACATGCTGAATCCAGGAAGTATGCACACGTGGGTGTGGAGGCCTCGGCCTCTCCTGTCTCCTACTGTGGGTGGGATACCTCCACTCACCATTACACCAAACATGGCAGTGGTTACTCACTTGCCCTGGGGCACCCAAGGAAGGTGCTGCTGATGGTGATCACCAACTCGGCAAACCCTTAGGCTCTGGGATGCTGATCCGCTGTCCATTTCCACACACTGATGAGGGGAATGCATCCCACCCAGGTGAAGGTCATTCCTAAAAAGTCTGTAGACCCTTGGGTAAAGGCTATAATTTAGACACATAGTTGTCACTTGATCTAAAGACACACCACTTCTTCTAAGAACTTGAAACTATTCTTCTGATTAAAACTTTATATTATTCCTAGAGTGAAGCTTAGTCTTGGTTATACCTGTCTGAATGTGAAATAGCTGCAATTAACATTATTTATAAAACACCTATTTTTCTAATGGGTTATTAGGTTCCCTTCCTTTCCTGCAAACTGTGTCTAAAAAGAAGCCAGTAAGTCTTTTTTTTCTTTTCTTTTTTTTGAGACGGAATCTCACTCTGTCGCCCAGGCTGGAGTGCGGTGGCATGATGTCAGCTCACTGCAACCTCAGCTTCCCGGGTTCAAGCAATTCTCCTGCCACAGCCTCCAAGTAGCTGGGATTACAGGTGTGGGCCTCTACACCTGGCTAATTTTTGTATTTTTAGTAGAAACAGGGTTTCACCATGTTGGCCAGGCTAGTCATGAACTCCTGACCTCAGGTGATCTGCCTGCCTAGGCCTCCCAAAGTGCTGGGATTACAGGCGTGAGCCACTGCACCCAGCCAGAAGCCAGTAAATCTTAAAGGCAAGAAGGGTTTTCTCATGTGTAGGACGAGTAACTGAGATCTTGCACCCAAACACGAAATTGAATAAATTGACCTTTCAGTGTCTGTTCCTCTTGCGATGCCAATAATCTCACTCTGAATTCCACCTCTAACCTTCCCAAGAATATTAAACAGGATCATGATTAGCAAAGGGAATTTTTTTTAAATATATAAGTCAGGAAGAGAAAAATGTTAGCACAGAAAGTACTTTTATGATGTACTAATCATGAATCTAAAATTAAAGTTCAGCTTATGTATGAAATATGGCATAACTTGAGTCGCTTAAGTTTCATAAAATGTAAAAATACAGTTTTTCCAGACAATAATTACAAATTTAATCCATTTACTTTCATAAATGTTATAAAGTTGTTAATTATGCTATAAACAGTGTAACAAGCTGTTGGCCTTCAAAGAATTGCAGAGTTCTTGCTTATTTCTGATAAGCATACAACTTTGGAACACTAAAAACGTCAGGTGAAAACAATTTAAAAATATAATATTTTCTGGTCTAAAGGTCATTAAAAGCATAAGCCAATTCCAAAAAGTACTAAGTTTCAGGGATACACAGAGGACAAGAAATATTCCAAAATCCATGATTATAACTCTTTTCAAAGGGCCTTCGTAGCCCCTGTCTTCTAGAAAGCAGAGCCCGAGACAAGGATTAAAGTGACAATTTATTGTGCGAGTTACTAGCCCAGGTAAGAGTGAGGAAAGAGAGCAAGGCCAAGAAAGAGTCCAAGGATTGTGGGATAAAGGGTGTAACTGCACCAGCCACCTTCAAAACACTCCAGGCCACTAGGCAACCATGTCCATCAGCACACCGGACTTTCTCACAAAGAGCTGCAAGAAGAAACTGCACCTCAGAGTAGTCCCTGGAAGGGAGAAAGGAAGGGAAATTGATCTGCCCAGTGCCATCCTATCCTCTCCCATTGGTTGAGGTTCACCATAGGAGCCAAAGACCCAACACTTCCGGGTTTCACCCTCCAGCCCTTGGACAGCCACTCGAGAAGCCAGGTTCTAGGCCCCCAATGCAGCATCTCACCCAAGACCAATAGTGGAGAGAGATATGGCACTTGATAGGGCTCAGCATGTGGGGCCTGAAGGCCACATTGGTCCAGGGCTTCATTGATGAACTCCAGCCTGCTCTGTGAACTCCAGCAAAAGTGTGGTCCGGGAAGAGGGGCTCAAAAGGAGGCAGCAACAAAACACACACCTAAAAATGCCTGCAAAGCTTATTACTATCAATATATCTTATTACTATCATTATATCCAATACAGAAGCATTGACACCAGGGATTTATTTCCTTATCTCAAATTTCCAAGTAGTTCGCCCAATCAAGGACAGCACAATAACCACCTCAGGTCAGCTGTGGTTACCCCATAAAATACTGGGAACCACAATAAAGTCAAGCTCCATGTTACTGACTGGAGATTAGGGCCTGGACTCAGAATGTGAGTGCACCTTCCAGAATGATTCCATCTGAGCTGGCATTTGTTCAGCCCCTCATTATCATCAAATAGCTGCCACATCAGCAGTCAACAGGACTTCCCGACCCTCTCCCTTTCAGATGATCTTCTCCAGTGTCATGTGTCCATTTTTCAGCAGACTGGTACCTTTTCCTGAAATAATGCAGCTTTTAAATATCAGGGAGTTGCGAGGCTCTTGGGTTCTAGTGTCATCTTCCAGGATTTTATTCAGATCTCCTCATTCTGTGGCCAGGCCCTACTGTGTAATTGTTGTGTATTTGTTTGTTCTAAGGTCCTGTGTACTGATAGGATTTTATATACTTTACTCAGGTTGCAGTGACACTAGTTAAAACACTAATAATCATTTACTCAGGTTTACAGTTGGCACAATTCTCGGTATTTACCATTCAGTGGTCATTTCATTGACTATTAATCACTGAGTCTCCAAGCCTGGAGCAGTTACCACACATGCTAGGCACTCAGTAAACATTTATTTAGTGAATGACATTTGTTTCTTTGATCAGATTTGGATCTCTGTGAGAACTGGATGACTAATTGAACATATGATTACACGTATGACTACACTTTAAAATGTTTAAGGGAAATTAACAGAATTTATAAATAGTATTAATTGAGGGATTTAATTGGTTAAATTTATAAATTAAACACTGTTCAAAGATAAGTGCCTTTCTTTTTTTTTTTTTTTTGAGATGGAGTCTCTGTCGCCCAGGCTGGAGTGCCTTTCATTTTAACATAAATATCAGATTTACAAATGAATTTATAAAATTTGTAAGTTATTTTTTAAAGTTTAATGTAGAATCAGTTTTACATTTATGACTTTAATGAGTTAAGTATTTAATAAAATACTGCTAACTGTAAACCTCCTTTTCCAGGCCTTAGACATTAAAAAACCTAGGGGTAAGAAAGATAGAGCCCCTGATCATGAGAGGCAAGATATGTATAAAACGCTGTAAGAACACGGAGAACAAAGCAACCCATCCCCCACCTCAGCAGGTGGGGGAAGAGGAAGGAAACGGGTAAAAATTCCTAAAATTTTTACAGCAGCAGGTAATGCTTCAACAGAATCTTAAAGGAGGAGAAAGCAAAACACCAGGAGGACAATAGAAGGAGGTGGAGGAGAAGCTTATTTCAGCAGAAGGAAGAACATGGACCTGGTCCAAAGGGATAACCCAACAGGGCATAGTGTGCAAACTTCCAAGTAGCTCCAGATGGCTAGAGCTAGGCCAGCAGACACAAGGGCTTGACAACATGGAAGCAGTACAAGTTTATACTGAAGGGCCACTGAAGGATTTTCAGTAGGGGGTGACCATTCCTGTTTTAGGAAGATCCCTCTGGCCACAGTGAGGAAGATGGCCTGGAGCAGGAGAGAAAATAGGTGGGAGAGGTGGCAGTGTAGATAATAAGTAATGTGGCCCCACCCTGAGGAGTGATGGTGGTGCAGAGAGAGATTGACAGATCTTAGAGCACTTAAGAGGTAAAAATCTACAGAATGTAGAGAGATAAGGGTGTGGAGTGAGTCCCTAGCACAATGCCAAGTGAATCACTGAGGATACTCAGAAGCGTTGAATGAATGATGAATAGAATAATGGCAACAATAACAAAACACAGCATTTGGTGGAAGTTACTACATATTGAGCCCTTTGCCAAGAGCTTTGCCTTTATTATCTAATTTTATCTTCATGTCCATCCTTTAAGGAAGATATGCTTAATTTCCAGAAACTAAGACACATGGAAAGTGGATTACTTGCCCAGGCTCACCCAGCTAATCAAGAGAGGAGTCAGGATTGAAGGGGAGGTAATCAGCTCCAGAGTGCTATGCCCAAAGATGAAGGCTGGTTTTATAGTTTCTAGTAAATTGGAGTGATGAAAATGTTTGGATGGACTTAAAAAATATATTTTTTGAAAACTAATTTGAGGTGTGTGGGGGTGTCCAAGTAGAGCTGTCCAGATAGGCTGCCTAAAGCTCAAGAGAAATGTCAGGACAGGAATTATGAACAGGTGACCACATGGGTTATCATGAGAGTCATGGTATCATACACAAAACATCAACTGAGTGAAAAGACTAGATGACCAAGAGCAAACTCCTCGTGATCACTGATTTTAAAAAGTTGGACAGAGAAAGAGAGGCTGGAAAATAAAACATAGTGAACAGAGAGTTAAAAGTTTAACCAGCAGTGGTGTGGTAGGAATCATAGTAGACGATGTTTCCAGAAGGAGATGGTCAAAATCCACAACAGAGCAGAGTTGTCAAAAATAAAGACACAAATGCCTGCTGGATTCATCTTTTAGGAAGATGTTGGTAACTTAACTGAAGTAGATCCATTGTGTGATGATGGAGGGGACAGTAGATTACATTGGTTGACAGTGATACGTGATCAGGAAGTGAAAGCAGTGGGTAGAGATATGCTTTCTAAAAGTCCAGCAATGAAGAAAAGAGTGAGACAGGGGAGGCCTAAGGGGAGAGAGAGTCAAGGGAAGGATTTAAACAAGAGGCCAACTTGCTTAATTGTAACCTGCACAGACCTTAGGGGACTGAACAAAGGAGGATGAATGTGGGAATAAAGATAAGAGACAAAAAAATATGTTTGGAAGAAGGGGTCAGGGGGCACCTTGCCTCTAGTGGACAAGGGCCCTGAGCTTTACATAGCCCTCCATATTTATTGGTAAAAGAGATAGCGAGAAGGGGGGCGTGGAAGAAGAGGTCAGCTGCTCGGGTCCAGAGTAGGCTTGCAAGACTGCATTCCTCGAACAATAGGCTCTAGATGTCCCGGTAGATAACCTCAAGGTAAGTGTCAGTAAAGGAGAGCGTGAAGACAAGGGGCAAGAAGGTAGGACTACTACCACGGGGTCTTGGGGCTGTAACGGGTCTTCAAGAGCCATGACAAAGAGTGGAAGAGGAAGCCATTCAAGAACATAATAAAGGATTAGTGACTTATCTTGAAGCTGAAGCCATAAATATGTAACACCAGCACAATTACAAGATTTTCTCCAGCAGTTCCTGGCAGACCCTGTATAGCAGAGAAGACAGATGTTAGAGGGCTCCAGGGCCTGAGGTTGGCAGAAGACATAGGAAAGATAGTGGAGGGAGGGGTTTGCAGGGGTCTGTGAGAAAGGGAGCTGCCCTGCATGGGATCTGGGCAGGCAGGAAAGGAAGAGAAGTCCTAAGATATCCAGCTTGGGGAAAATAGCTTCAGGAAAAGAGCCAGGCCTCTCAACACTGCCGAGCTAGATGAGAAATAGCAAGTTGAGTGGAACTTTCCTCCTGACCTGGAATCACAGCTAAGGTCCAAAGCTAATGACTGAAAGCTCACAATAGTCCACAGTCAGAGTCACCGACAAGCTTCTAGCCATGATGCCAGCTACTACAGCACAACTTTCCAAGAGGTGTCAAAACTGGTCCCCTGCCCTTACCACTCCCCTGCCTCCCATTCAGTCAATATAAGAGAGGAAATCAATATAAAGAGAGGAAAAGAAGGACCCTTCAGCGTGACAAGAGTGACATGTAACACCTAAGCCCGAAAGACAAGGTTCAAGTCCTGGATCTGCCAACTTATAAACCGTGTGATGTAGGGCTATATATATCCACTCTAGTCCATAAAATGAGGCTAATGTCTACTCCAAATGGTTATCACAAGGATTAAATCAATTGAAATATTTAACATTCTTAGAACTGCACTATGTAAGTATTAGCTATTTTTCTTTTTTTTTTCTTTTTTTTTTTTTGAGACATAATCTCACTCTGTTGCCCAGGCTGGAGTGCAGTGGCACAATCTCAGCTCATTGCAACCTCCACTTCCTGGGTTCAAGCAATTCTCCCACCTCAGCCTCCCGAGTAGCTGAGACTACAGGCACGTGCACCACCACGCCTGGCTAATTTTTGTATTTTTAGTAGAGGGGGTTTTGCAATGTTGGCCAGGCTGGTCTCCAACTCCTGGCCTCAAGTGATCCTCCCGCCCTGGCCTCCCAAAGTTCTGGGATTACAGGCATGAGCTACTGCACCTGGCCAGTGGGTTTTTTAATGACATTAAATTTAATTCAAGGCAAATGGAAGACGCAAATCCATATACGTGTTTCTTTGCCTCCTTTCTCCTCCCCGCTCCTTTTTTTTTTAACAAGGGTTTTCTCTAATGACTATGTATCATGGGAGCAATTAAAACTGTACTACACATACACACACACAAACACACACACATATAAAAATTTGTACTTAGAATTGTTCAAATCCTTTGATGTACAAATTTCACATCACAGAGTGGAGTCTATCATAAGGAAAGTCCATTCCTAAATACAGACAGACAACCTTAACATGGAAAAAGATGTTTAGTGCAACATTTTTTTTTCTTTTGAGACCGAGTCTCAGTCTGTCACCCAGGCTGGAGTGCAGTGGTGCAATCTTGGCTCACTGCAACCTCCGCCTCCTGGGTTCAAGCAATTCTCCTGCCTCAGCCTCCCAAGTAGCTAGGACTTCAGGTGTGCATCACCACGCCCAGCTAACTTCTTTGTATTTTTGGTAGAGACAGGGTTTTACCATTTTGGCCAGCCTGGTCTTGAACTCCTGACCTCAAGTGATTCACCCACCTCAGCCTCCCAAAATGCTGAGATTACAGGCATGAGCCACCACATCTGGCCTATTAGCTACTTTTCTTATTCCCTCACATTCTCATGGGAAACTGATGAGGATGCTTTCCCTTTCTCAAAGCCAGTTCCGAGGGACTCCAAGAAAACCACTTGCAAAGACTAGAGTTGCCTTCAGTGAAGGAATACCATTCTCTATGGCCCTCAGAGGGTATGAAAGAAGACTCCAGTGGTTTCCCTGAGTCAACAAGAAGGTTCAGGTTGGGAGAGCAGCAGGAGAGGAGCCATGGCCTGTCCAGGCAGCTTCAAGGGTAAGGGAAATAGCACCAGGAAAAGAGGGTGGGATTATATACCACAGATGAGACCACAGGAAGACACAGGTGCCACACCAGCATCAGACAGAACCGGGGGGACCACAGCAAGACCAGGAACCCCCATACACCCTCTGCAGGTGGAAGACACATAGAACTAAGCCTCTCCACCTGTCCTTCCTGTGCCCAGCACCAAGGGAAGGAGCATCTGGAAGGGGGAGAGGGAGGAGGTGCACAGAGCCTGACCACAGCACCCTCTTCCGCTACCAGCAGCCAGGATCCCATCTCTGCCCATGCTGTTGAGGACAAACTGTCAATCAGGTTGGAAACTGATATTTTAAAAACAAAAAGCGGCCAGGTGCGGTGGGTCACACCTGTAATCCCAGCACACTGGGGAGGCGGAGGCAAGCGAATCACTTGAGGCCAGGAGTTCGAGACCAGCCTGGCCAACATGGTGAAACCCCATCTCTACTAAAAGTACAAAAATTAGCTGGACACGGTGGCACACACCTGTTGTCCCAGCTACTCAGGAGCCTGAGGCAGGAGAATCGCTTGAACCCGGGAGGCAGAGGTTGCAGTGAGCCAAGATGACACCATTGCACTCCAGCCTGGGTGACAGAGCAAGACTCACCTCAAAAAAAAAAAAAGGGGGACTAAGTCATACAGAAATAAAAAGGTTTTAAAACTTAACCATGACAGGAAATATATGGCCCTGGTCAAAGGATCCTCAAGAGTCCTACTCCACAGAAGGAGAGAAGAACTTGCTTCAGCACAGTGGAAAGCAGTGATTAGCAAAAATAAAACCAATTCCTATGTATGTGCAGAGCTGAGACCTCTCAATAAATAAGCCAAATATAAAAGATCTTCAGCCTGCAGGTTCTCCATGGCCACCCTCACCCAACCTGTTCCAGTGACCGAGCCCATCAGAAACTAGCCCCATGGGCACAGGCTCATTCCCTCCAGTGGCTGAGCTCTGCCATTCCTCCTGCCACCCAAAGCCTGGCATACCTGTGGCAAGCCTTGGGCAGGAGACCCACCTGAACCTGGCCCATGCATCCAGTATGCAGAATTAGCCTCCTGCCCTAGTTTCCTGATTATATCCCAGCTTCCCTCTGGAAAAGTCCTGGCCATTTGGCTAATGCCCTAACAACGACTCAGGCTTTCTCCAACCCTCTCTCCCTGAGAACTGAACTCTTCCTGTACTGGATCCCTCCCGATTGAAGTTTCTATTCTTCCACTTACAGCCATGGTGGCACTTCCTCTCCCAGTGGCTGCCCACCCCCCAATTATAACACCCCTGGGGTGTTTGGCCAAGGCCAAAGTCACAACAACCTCTTGGATATCCCACTAGAATTGCTGAAGACTCTTTACAGGAGAAGGCCCACAACCTGGCCTGACCTCTGTCTCCAGGCTCACCCTCCCTCCCGCCCAGCAGTTCTGGTACTTAACAGTCGAGACCACGTGGGTTATGATTGCATGGCGGGTTACAGATTGGAAAGTTGCTGCAATAGAACCAGAGGAATCGCTCAGGGCAGGAGCTCACAGGATGGAATTTAAGAACTCAGGTAAAAGCAGGTCTGGGTGATGCCAAAGGCTCCAGTCTGGCTACGGGATGGATGGATGCAATGGAGGAGGTGAAGGCCACCAGCATGGAGGAGGGCCATGAACTGAGACACTAAGGACTCACTTGCTGAGCCACTGATCCCCAAGACAGAGCCGATGTGTCACGGTAACATGGCTGGGAAGAGGATCATTTAATTTTGCCTCAGAGGAGGGAGACCAGAAAGGTGTACATGTGCTTTTTTTTGTTTTCTTTAACATTTTACTATGAAAGATTTTAAATACACCACAAAACCTCTGTAATGAACTGCCATGTCCCCATCACCCAGCTTCAACAGTTATTAAAGTTTTGCCCACCTTATAGTCCCCGGATCCCCTCCCTGGTGCCCCTCCACCTCCACCACCACCACTGGATTATTTTAAAGCAAACCACAGACATCGTATCATCTCATTTGTAAATACTGCAATGTGGATCTCTAGCAGATAAGCACTCTTTTTTAAAAAAATAACCAAGAAACAACAATCAAACCTAAAGAAATTAAAGAACGATTATTTAAAATCATCTAATATCCCATCTATGATCATGTTTCCACATTTAACTCATAAATGCCTTTTGGCAGATGGGTTGTTTGAATCCAGATGGAAATAAGGTTCACTTGTTCCATGGATTGATTTGTCCCTGTCCTACTTTGGTTTCCCCCAGAAACAGACCCTGGGGCAATGATTTCAGTGCAAATGGTTTAACTGGGAGGTGACCCCAGTGAAACTGGTAGGGGAGCCGGAAAGTGAGACAGTGGGAGGACCACCAACAAAGGGTTCGTTACTGCTGGGGGCAAATGAAGCTCAGTCTCTCTGGACAACTCTGGAAAACAGTGTGGGGCACCACTGAGAGTTTTCCCAACCCTGGGGGATAGAGGGAAGGAAGCTGGGGTATTTGTCCACCAGCTTTCCACCCATCTTTGGCTAAGCACTGCTTCCAGAGACATTAACTCTCTAGGCCATTAATTCTCGGGCACTCTGCTCCGCTTACCATGTGTAACCTTGGGGACAGAATAAATGCCCTAGGGGAAAGCGTCACAGGTGTTCCTGGCACACAGCCTCCAGCAAGCTATAGAGGTAGAAGTGGAGTGAAGGTAGGCAGAACATCAATTGCATCTGCCACAGTCCCTTCAAAGTTTCTTTCATTAACACCACTTCCCCCGTCTTTTTTTTTTCCATGTATTTACTGAAGAAATGTGGTGTGGCATCTTTTAGTATTTCCACATTCTAAATCCGATGGACTTCATTCCCATAGTGTTGTTTGATATGAACCCCTTATCGTCCATACCTTCCTTTTTTTTTTTTTTTTTTTTTTTTGAGAGGGAGTCTTGCTCTGTCACCAGGCTGCAGTACAGTGGCGATCTTGGCTCACTGCAACCTCCGATTCCCAGGTTCAAGCAATTCTCCTGCCTCAGCCTCCCGAGTAGCTGGGATTACAGGCGCATGCCACCACACCCAGCTAATTTTTGTATTTTTAGTAGAGACGGGGTTTCACCATGTTGGCCAGGATGGTCTTGATCTCCTGACCTCGTGATCTGCCGGCCTAGGCCTCCCAAAGTGCTGGGGTTACAGGCGTGAGCCACCAAGCCTGGCCTGTACTTTCTATAAATAGTTGGAAGATTGATCAGATCGCAATTCTATTTTTTGGCAAGAAACCTACAGGTAAGTCTGTGTCCTTCCTATACCACCACATAGGAAGTATGGGCTTCTAACAACTAAAGGTTTGCCCGGCTTGAAAGAAGCTTAAGCCCCCTCTCATTGGTTGGTTATGTTGCTTGATTCAGCATATTCCCAAGCCGACCAACTTCTTCCACATGCCATGGAAGCTGGACAAACACAAAGTGAACAAGTCAGGCTCTGTGTGACTCAAAGGCCTTGCCAGCAGATTTGAAGCAGGGTTTGCTTGTGACTTGGAACAAACATCTGAAGATGGCATCGATTCTTCCACTCCTTACAGCACCTTTCAAACACCAAGCCCCTTCTGAAACCAACTTGCACACCAGAACAGTGCAAGACCACGTGAATTTCTGACTTTGAATGTCAGATGTGTGAATCTATTTACACTTTAGCTACCACGAATTCCAAAGCAGAGAGGTGTTCAGATCCTCTAAATCTTATCCATACCACTTCACAAGAAAAGTCTGCCTTACTGCACTGTAATGCAGACAGTGCAGGCAAAAAAAGAAAGCCAAGACTCTTGAGGGAATGCTAACATTAAATTCAGAGGACAATTCAGTCCAATGAAGTATTTCATACAACACTGACATGTTGAAGTTCTTTAGCCATTGGTATTTAGGAAAGAGCTTCATTGCATTTTGGTTAATTTTCCAAGGTCCTTTCCACTTGCCTCCAATCAAGCTTTTTGCAGAATGGAGTCCGCACTGTCCAATTCACTCATGCAAGAGACACTTACTGACCAGGTGAGCTTAGGGACTCTGTCTCCAAAACACACATAAGGACTTCTAATGTCTTACTTTTCTCTGTACCCACAGGATTCTCGGACTCTCCCCAGCACACATTAGACATTAGACCTTAGGTCTTTGTCAATCATCACTCCTTGCTAATACAAGGCTTCCCACTTTTCACCATGAAGATCTGTACCTTCTTTCAGTGCTTCTGTGCTGATGAGAATGGCTTTTCCAAGTTTACTGTTCTTCCCCAACCACTCCCCCTTAACATTTTCCCATTTATTACCTGTTGGGAGGTCCAGGTAAGGCACCTATTAGCTTGATTGCATATTATCCCAGCAAAGATTCCATCCATTCATTCATCTTCTGATTTAAGAGAGTCCTCAATGTTTATGACACTGCTCATTGGGAAAATGGTCTTATTCACTTAAAAGCTCCTGTAATTAAAAGTGAACAAATTCCAAAGGATGATATTGCCCTTGTGAGAGCTTGGTCTGTTTTCCCTGATGTGCAGGTGCTATCCTGCCCAGATAGAAAGCCAGTGACCACCGTCATATACTGTGCCAGGCTGAACTAGGTTGTAGGGGGGCCAACTGTGACATCACGGAGGCAACACATCACTTCAGGGCCAAGAAAATGAGCACTCAATTCCTGTTTGTCTTCAGAGCACCCTCTGCCCTTGGTGGATATTTCAGACTCACAAATAACATTTCCTACCCATGACATTTACCAGAAAAAACAAATTGTAATCTGGCCACCTTGGCTTCCTCTCTGAGAGGAGGCTGAGTCCTCCTGATGAGCCCTCAGTGTCCCTCTGGCATTTACCCACCAGTGACTGGCATATAAGAAGTCACTGGGACAATGCAGTGTGTAAGAGCAAAACCTCTGCTAATGAGGGTCAGCGGAAAAAAAAAAAAAAAAAACGCAAAATCACTAAAGGGGCAGTGTTAACACAATCCCACAGCAGAAAGAAGCCAGCTTAGACCCACAGAGAAGGGGAGTCCAGACGCCAAGAGCGGAGACCCCTAAGGGGCCCCAACCTCATCCATCCCCCTGAGGTTGGTTCCCACACAAGGTCAACAACCTTCTCCCAATCTCTTAGCTGGCCTCTGTGGGCCATACAACTCTGTCACCAACGATGTGATTCCCCCTGCCTGGCAAAAATGCCCAGGCCACAGAGACAGTATTTGGTTCCCTTTTATCTATCTATTGATCTATCAAACATCAATTTATAATCTATCATCTATCTGTCATCTATCTATCATCTATCAATCATCTATCTATTATCTATCTATCTATTATCTATCTATCTATCTATCTATCTATCTATCTATCTATCTATCTATCTATCGGCTTCTGACAATTCCTACTAAACTGCACCAACAATAAGCACAAACCTGTCCCACAGGCTGTTCTCTATTCCCTAAATAGGTCTAACTTCCCCACTTGCTTTCACCTGGAAAGGGCATTTTGGTTCAGCCTCTTCCTTTTAAATAGAGATAGAGGCCCAGAGGGGTTAGTGACTTTCCCAAGATCACAAAGCAGAAGCAGGCTGAAATCCAAAAGCACTGTGCCCTAGGGACACTGGACTATTTAATACGAAAGGATCTTTACATTTTTAGTTATAGGAGAATAATGTCGTTTGCAAATACATAAACCTGCCCTTGGGCTGTCAAATGCTGGCTATGGATGGGGTAACAGTTCCCACGGGAGGTGGGGTGGTTAGGGAGAGTCGTTACCCCCATCAAAGGAAGCAGTAAAGATTCTGGAAAAGCAAACTGGATGAGGGTGGAAACAGGAAATGGGACCAGGATGGAGAAGTGGAGGGTCACAGCAGTTTTTCCTGTATCACGGAAATTTGAGGTGGTTTTTACCTTCTTCCTTTAGCTTTATGGTGCAGCTTGAGTTTTCTTCACGTGTAGGTATTCACTGACATGATTAGGAAAAGCAGATCAATGAGCATGATTCCCAGAGTCAAACCCAAGAACCAGCCTCATAACCTGGGAGTCACAAAAGATGTAACACCTGCCCGTCAGAATGCCGTCAGAAGAAACGAAGCCTTCCATAAACTGAAAAGCAGATGGCTATCTATTACAAGGCACCCATTCTGCTACACAAGTTAAGCTGCTATGAGCTGCTAGCACAAGCAATGCTGGACTCTCAGGACCCCCATTCAACCCTGATGCACAGCATCATAGCTTCAGAACTATCCAGGATCTTTGTCCAAAAGCCAACATGGTCTTCTGGGTCAGGGAGACAGATCAGCAACGGTGCCTGGATGCTCACTTAAGTCCCCATGAAAACTAATAAAAATGGAGGAAAGGGGTAGCAAGAGTTATGAAAAATAAAAAGTTGACCATATGCCCAAATCAGAAGGATCTTCTACTGACAGGAAGAGATTCAGATGTATAGTCAGTGGCTAGTGAACATCAGCCACAAAACCCAAAGTGGCTGCAGAGGCAGCTGGGCAGGGGGTGACAACTGTGCCACATGGAAGGGAGCACACCCTCCTGAAGCAGATTTGTGTACTTATCATACAATTTTCCAGCAGGCGGCTGTCAAATCACCAGCTCTAACCAATTCAGGATAGGAGAGTTTTCCCCCGCATGAAAGTAAAGTGTGTCGAGGAAGAGGCGTATTTTTCTAACTCATACAAAGAGCACCATGTGGGCTAACAGTGACCCACGGACACCCTGACTCCACGGACTGCTCCTCCACAAAAGCCTCAAGGAATCCCATCCAAACCACATAAGCACTCCCAGGTCAAGTCTCTTGGTCTCCTCAATAACTTTAGTTCTGCATTCATCACACATCTGCAGCTCCTAGGCAAGAACTCAGCCTGGTGCACAGATGCCCAGGCTAACTGCATTCTGAGGCATGCAACCTCCTCACCTGGGAGCAGCGCCTGCAGGCAGGTGTATGCATCCATGAAAGACTGGTTAGAGCTGGCCTCAGGTTCTGCAGGACCCACATCCATTTTTTTCATTTGTCAGAAACGGATAGTGAGAGAAGAGGCTGGGCACAGTGGCTCACACCTGTAATCCCAGCACTCTGGGAGGCCGAGGCAGGCGGATCACGAGGTCAGGAGATCGAGACCATATTGGCCAACATGGTGAAACCCATCTCTACTAAAATACAAAAAAAAATTAGACGGGCTTGGTGGCATGTGCCTGTAATCCCAGCTACTCGGGAGGCTGAGGCAGGGGAATCACTTGAACCCAGGAGGCGAAGGTTGCAGTGAGCTGAGATCGCGCCACTGCACTCCAGCCAGGCGACAGAGCAAGACTCCGTCTCAGGAAAAAAAAAAAAAGAAAAGAAAAAGAAAAGAAAATTAAAAAAAGAAAGAAAAAAAAATGGATAGTGAGAGAAGAGAAAAACTATGTCAGCCAAAAAGAGCTTCCTGGGATGGGGCCACAGACTAGGAATGTCCCATTGGTGGTGCCACCAGCTCAGCCCCTGGCCTCAGATATGAGAAGGCATTGTGCCAGGGTCAGTGGTACACTGCAAATGGCCAGTGTATCACATCTGTGTGCCAACACTAGGTCTATTCACAGATAAGGAAGGAGAAACACAACAGTCTGATGCCTATGACCAGAATTTGAAGCACAAGAGGACAGAAACCGTTCCTCAAAAAAAAGAGCAAAAACATTCTTGCACATAGATTTATTGCAGGAAAGTATAGAAACTTCTTTGGGTTCACAACAGAAAATAAGGGCACATTCCCCCAAAATAGTCCACATACCAAACAGAAGAGGCAAATATATCAAACAGTAAACAGACGGAAAAAAGAGACTGCAGAGAAAATAAAAACATGGTACCCAAATTATAAGACATGCAAGGCACAGAGGAACATACTGAAGAAGAACAAGAGGAAACAATCAGGCCAAGCCAAAAGATGGGACGACTGAACTAGTCATGTTATCAAATTGATGTCATTGCAGGAAAAGAACAAGAAGGAACAAGAAAGATAAAAAAAAAAAAAAAACAGGTAAACCGGTTAAAAATTCTTCAAGATTAAAACATTTAAGAATAACCCAGCAATTCCACTCAGGGTATATACCCCAAATAATTGAAAATATGATGCAAATACTTGCACATGAGTATTGTATGGACTGAATGTTTATGTCCTCCCAAATTCATTTGTTGAAGCTCTAACTCCTAATGTGGTTGTATTTGGAAGCAGGGCTTTGGGGAGGTTATCAGGTTTAGAAGAGGGACAAGTGTAGGGACCCCATGATGGGGCCGGTGTGCTTATAAAGAAGAGGAAGAGAGGCCAGAGTGCTCTCTCTCTCTCTCTCTGCCATGTGAAGACACAGGGAGAAGGTAGCCATCTGCAAGCCAGGAAGCGGGCCCTTTCCAAGAGCCAAATTTTCCAGTGCCTTGATCTTGGACTTCCCAGCCTCCATAACTGAAAAATAAACATCTGTTATTTAAGCCACCCAGTTTCCAGTATTTTGTTATAGCAGTCTGAGCTGACTAGGGTAAGTATTCATTGCAACACTATTCCCAATAACCAAAAGGGAGAAAAACCCAAATGTCCACAAAGGATAAATGAATAGACAAATTATGGTATATTTATACAATGGAATATTATACAGCCATGAAAAGGAATAAAGTACTGATACATGCTACAATATGGATGAATATCAAAAACACTGTGCTAAGTAAAAGAAGCAAAACACAAAAGGTCACATATTGTACAATTCCATTCATATAAAATATCCAGAATAAGTAAATCCACAGAGGCAGAGGATAATTAGTGATTCCCAGGAGATGGGTGGGGTGGGAAATGAGGAGTAACTGCTTAAAGGGTATGAGGTTTTACTTTGGGGTGATGAAAATGTTTTGGAACTAGATAGAGATGATCATTGTACAACACTGTGACTACTAAATGCCACTGAATTATTCATCTTAAAATGGCTAACTTTATGTTATGTAAATTTGAATTTAAAAAAAAGCAGTATAAGAGACATAACTATCAAATACAATGTATGGTCTTTGGTTAGATCCAGATTCATACAGGCTGGCCATAAAAGACATTTGGAGAATATTAGAGAAATTTGAATATAGGCTGGGCATTGGAGGACATAAAAAATCATTGTTAGATGTGATAGTGGTAGCATGGTTAGAGAAAGGCCTAAGAGAAAGGCCCTTATTTTTCAGATGTGCATACTGAAGTATTGGGAATGAAATGTTACGTGGTCTGTTAAAATGCTTCAGGAATAAAACAAGATAAACCAAAGATGGCAAAATGTTAATACCTGTTAATCTATGTGATGGGGTAGAGGTATTCATAGTATTTTTCTCTTTAGTTTTCTGTATGTATAAAATTCCTCATAATAGAAATTTAAAAAAACAAATCCACATGGTAGGCAGTAAAAAGTAAACTTCCGGCCAGGCATGGTGGCTCATGCCTGTAATCTCAGCACTCTGGGAGGCCAAGGCGGGAGGATGGCTTGAGCCCAGGAGTTCGAGACCAGCCTGGACAACATAGGGAGACCCTGACTCTATAAAAAAAAAATGCCAACAAAAACCAAACTAGCTAGGTGTGGTGGCATACGCCTGTAGTTCCAGCGACTTGGGAGGCTGAGGCAGGAGGATTGCTTGAGCCTGGAAGGTGGATGCTGCAGGGAGCCATGATCATGCTGCTGTACTCTAGCCTGGGCAACAGAGCAAGACCCCACCTCAAAAAAATAAATGAATAAATAAACTTCACACACTTTACAATGCTAAAAAATGCAGCCAATGGAAAAAGAGGAGAAATACTTCAAAAATGGAGCAAAAAATTACCTAAAAACAAAAATCATCGCAAAGAACACAACACTTTTTCATTATTCTTCCCCAGACTTGTTGAGGCACCTACATTAATATATGAAGGAACACAGAAGAAACATCCAACCCATGTAAAACTATTTCATCCCAAAATAAAACCCACACAAATAGTATCCAAACAATAAATAAGCACTTACCAGAAAAAAACACTTTCCTCAGTTGAAAACAGATTTCAGTTTGCATGGTTCATCATATATTAAGCAAAATTAATGGAAAGAGATTCACTGATAGACATGTTCTGGTGACATTTTTTAGTCTCAAGGACACATAAAGAGTCATCAGAATTCAAAGGTGAGAAAATAGGAGACAGAGAGATTATCTGCAAGGGAATACAAATCAGGATGGCCTCAATATTTACCCCCAACAGGAGGTTTTGGAAGATAATGCATCAATATCTACATTTTAATATTTAAACACTTGTGACTTTAAAACTACTAAATTAAGACACATTGTTGTTCGCAACAGAAGGCAACCAAAAAAAATGTTTTAAATATGCAAAGTCTCAGAAAACATATGGTGTATGCTTCTTGAAGAACGTATTTGAAAATGTGCTTCATGTCAGAGAGAGCTGGAAAACCTAAGAACTCAAAATGGCAAAGTGAGCATCAACTAAGTTTAATATAAATGCATGCATAATTCATAACAGGATTATGAAGAGAGACACAAAAGAAAATCACTGAGGTTATTTGTGAAATGCTGACTTGAATAGTTCTAGATTAGATTGCCAAATGTCTCAGGAAATAGAAGAAAAGAAAAGAGATACAAAAAAACAACCAAAATAAAGAAATGTGGGATTGTCTATCAGGGAGAGTGAAAAAAAAAACTATTTTTACTGACTTCAGCAATTTCATAAATATAGATTTAATATGGATTTTTTAAAAACTTAATAGGATCCACTACTAGAATTAGAAATGGCATAACTATGATCCAAACAAAAGTACAAGATAAAAGTAAATGTAATGATAATGTAAAGACAGGACTGAAAGCAAAAAACAAGGAAAACGAAATGGCAGATGACCAGACATACCACTGTGTCAATAGTACGATTTCCTCAATAAATAATAGGCAAAGACAATCAAAATTGGTTCAAACATAAATTACCTGCTTCTTAAAAACCCTTTAAAGTAACACCATAGTATTACACCAAAAGATGAGGGCAAATGTGAGGAAAAAATTAAATTGGGGGTAATATTTGTATCATTCTGAGTATAAGAAGAAGGCAGAAAATGGGATTAAAGAGGGTCATTTGAGATTGCTGAAAGATACAATCAGTAGTGGAGCCTCGTAAACACTGAAGCTTTTGCATCAAGATATAGTAAGCCATTAAAACACAGAAAGATGACAATAGGCTCTTGATTCAAAACACAGATCTCAGTTCTTTTCTCTCTAGCACCAACATTCTCCCTGGAATGGCCATAGGACTATAAAACTGAGAAGTATCTAGATCAGCTTTACAAACTAGGACAACTCCCAACTTCCTGGCAGCAGCTTTGAGAAATTTCTGAAATTCTTAGGAATTCCTAAGGCAAGGATGGATTGATCTCACTGGTCAGACTGGCACACACAGTAGGACATAAAAAGGGCCATGGGGATGGGAATCCTACAGATGCCCCTACCAACAGCACTTGTGGTAGTTACTGATGAGGGTAATGCGACTTCTCTAACTTTGGGCAGACCCACAGAAAGAAAAGGAACTCTTGGCATAGCAAGGAAAGAAGCCCTACCAGAGATTTCCCCTTGCTGCATCCATTAATTTCTATGAATATTGAGTGTCTACTGTGTGACAAGTACTGGGGCTGGGAACACAACAGTAAACAAATCACACAGGAAGCCGTCCTCATGATGACCGTGCTATCTAATACATAGCCACTGGCCACATGTGGTCATTTAAATTTATGTTTTAATTAATTAATAAAAATTAATTAAAAGTAAATAAAAGTTTAGAAATCCATCTCACTTGCACTAGCCACATTTCAAATGCTCAGTAGTCATGCATGGTGAGTGGCTATCATACCAGGCAGCTCAGATCCAAGAACATTTCCATCAGCACAGAAAGTTTGCACTGGGCCGCACTGGTCTAGAGCAAGGCCCTCCATTTGCAACCTTCCTTTCAGAAAGCTAAACTATCAATCTGAAGCTCTCCCTTCTCACCCTGTCTGGGCTGACAACAGACTATATCTCACCTGCTGAAACTAGACACACTAGAGCCACTTTCTTTGAAGAGCATAGGAGAAAATAATCCAACATATGAAGAAACTCAGTCATTTAAAATAAGAGAACCAATTGGAGAAATCAAAGTAAGTATGACCATAAGAAACAAACTCACAGAAGGCAAGGGAAGGAAAAGTCAAAACAGTGCACTGATTCTGATTTCCAGGTTGGATTCTTGATGGCATTGCCCCCTGGAAGAAGGACAAATTGAGATCAAGATTTCTATTCCTAGAACGGAACTGTTCACATTAAAAATGGTATAGCATAGAAAAACTAGCTTGCGTATCAAAGGAAACCAAATGAGAGACTTAGAAAACAAACTTAAGAAAATTCTCTCAAAACTTAAGAAGGCTCAGCCGAGCGCGGTGCCTCATGCTTGTAATTCCAGCACTCTGGGAAGCTGAGGTGGGTGGATCACCTGAGGTTAGGAGTTCAAGACCACCCTGGCCATGATGAAAACTCGCCTCTACTAAAAATACAAAAAGTTAGCCGGGTGTGGTGGTGCGCGCCTGTAATCCCAGCTACTCCGGAGGCTGAGGCAGGAGAATCGCTTGAACCTGGGAGGTGGAGGCTGCAGTGAGCCGAGATCACGCCATTGCACTCCAGCCTGGGCAACAAGAGCGACACTTTGAATCAAAAAAAAAAAAACTTAAGAAGGCTCAACAGACTAATATGCTTGTAGAAAGAAAAGAGATTTGGAAAACAAACCCTAAGGAGGCAGTATACATTAATAACAAGATTTCCACCGGTATAGAAAAGAACAGAATATATAAAAAGTAAAGCCTACTTTATATCCCAAAAAATGGATTTAATTTGTGACAAAAACTGCAAACTGTAAAACAATACACAAAAAAGCTTGCAACAACCACAAAGGATCAGCTAAATAAACCATTACAAGATATATGATGATGGATTAATATATTTCATATATAAAGGTAAATTTGAAAATGACAATTTAAAAATGGAAAATATCAAAAGGCAATTCACAAAAGAAATGCAAATGATCAGCACATATGTAAAATCAATATATACAAATTTTTTAATAGATCACAAGAGCAAACATTTCAAATGAATGGCAAGACCCAGTGTTGGCAAGGAAATGGCAAACAGGTTATCTGACAGAACACTATTGCTGAGAGGACAAATTGCTCATCTTTCTGTTAAGTAATAAATTGGAAATGACTCCCCCCTCTTTAGTGCCATCTTCTTTTAATAAGAAAATTTAAAATGACTCCTTCCCACAACAGATTTCAATGCCTCTCTAGTGGTTTTTTGTAATATTTGCCTTTCAAGTAGAACTGTCTCCAGTAGAAAATATTAACTCCAAGAGCACAGCCTCTTGGAGAGAGAAATAGCAAGAGTAGCTTTCTTTCAATGCAACCCAAATTACATATTTCTCTGCACATGTCAAAAGAGGTGTTTTGTCAGGGGAAAAAAACGATCAATCCTTTAGTCTCTAAAAACCTTTGTACAGGGTTAGGGAATGAAGTTCTGCCATCATAATGCACCACTGTGCTCTTTCAGATATATGATTAAAGATTGCATTGTTTCCTTTTGCCAACCTGAAATTTCAGCTCTTAAGAAATATTTTTGCCTGCTTTAATGTAACTCAAGTCAAGTACAAATAAAGTAAGCCATTTCTGAGGAGAACCAAACCAAACCAGCAGGGAGAAGTAGCAATTTAAATGCAGCTCCACCTCAATAAAACAAAGCTGACAAATTACTAGAAATCCATTGCCCACCTAACGTCCTAGTGTCAAATCTCCTGATTCCTAAAGCCATCTGTTGGAAAACAATTTCAGCAAATAATTATTTCAGCATGTTTCCGCTCCCTGTGACAGGAATTATTTCTCTTTTTTTTTTTTTTTTTTGAGACAGAATGTCTCTCTATCCCCCAGGCTGGAGTGCAGTGGCAGGATCTCGGCTCACAGAAACCTCCGCCTCCCGGGTTCAAGCGATTCTCCTGCTTCAGCCTCCCGACTAGCTGGGAATATAGGTGGCTGCCACCACGCCCGCTAATTTTTGTATTTTCAGTAGAGAGGAAGTTTCGCCATGTTGGCCAGCCTGGTCTCGAACTCCTAACCTCAGGTGATCCGCCCGCCTCGGCCTCCCAAAGTGCTGGGATTACAGGTGTGAGCCACCGTGCACAGCCAGGAATTATTTCTCTTAATCCAAAAAGAACAAACAGGCACCAGGCAAGAAGGCAGGCACCAATAAATGTACAGCTACCCCTCGGTATCCATGGGGGAATGGTTCCAGGACTCCCATGGGATACACAAATCCTTGAATGGTCAAGCCTCTGATGTAAAATGGAGTCATATTTGCATATAATCTATGCACATTTTTGCATATACAGCACTTTAAATTGTCTCCAGATTACTTATAATAGCTAATATAATGTAAATGCTAAATAAATAGTTGTTATTCTGTATTGTTTAGGGAATGATGACAAGAAAAAGTCTGCACATGTTCAATCCAGATGTTTTGGTGTTTTTCTCAAATTTTTCTGACCTTCTTTTGGTTGACTCCACAAATGTGGAACCCATGGATACTAAGGGCTGGCTGAACTTCCAAGCTGTATTCTACCTCAGCCACCGTGAGAGACACAGAGCAGAGGGGAGGCCCGAGCCTTGCAATCCTCCCAGGCTCATGCTGGCCCCACAAGGTAACAACTGTGTGATTTGAAAAGAGTTGCATAATGTCTGCATGCCTCAGTTTTCTCATCTGTGAAATTGGGATGGCGGCATCTTCTTCATAAACTGTGAGAACTTTAAAAAACCTGTAAAGTATGCTGGGTACAGGGTTGCTATTTTATTTTTAGAACAAACAGTGATAAAAACTGAGTTTTGCCATTATTTATTATAACAGTGTAGAAATATGAATTTATATCAACAGACTCCAAAGGAACAAAAAGATAAAAGTAATAATTGAAGGGTGATAGAGTTAAAGAGGATTTTTTTAACCCTAAAACAGATTGCGTTTTTGTTGTAACAGTTTTCAAATAAATAAAAATTGGGGAAATAATCTGATGCCCAAAGAAACAACTAATTAGTTTCCATCCAAAAAATCTTCATCTTATGTCACAGTAAACATGGTGAATTTTATTACACTGAAAAAGAACCTGAAGAAACTCAATGAATAATCACAAAATAATAAAAGTTAGCATTTATTTAGCAATTACGACATGGCAAGCATTCTACCAAGTGCCTTACACATATCAGTTCAATTCATTCCCATCACAAGTCTGGGAAGGAGGTATTATTATTATCTTCATTTTACAGATGAGGAAACTCAGGCATAATAAGTAGTGTGGCCAAGATCACAGAGCTGGTAGGTGGCAGAGACAGCCTTCCACCTTAGACAGGAGAGCAGATGCTGTCAGTGCCCCACTGATGGCCCCGAGGACTCAATTCTACAAGATCAAGTCTGTTACCACAAACACCTGCAACCTTCAGTCTGGAGGCCTTTTTACCCCCAACCAAAGGAACATTAGCCCATGTGCCAGGCAAATTGGAAGTGCCAGGGACTTAACGTCCCAGAAACAGTCCTCAGCCAATGATGGGCAGGGCAGTTGGTAGATAAATCCCCCAGCTTCCTGCCTTTGCTGGGATAACTCTCAGGTGGCTTCTATGCTGTCTGTGAGAGTTCCCTAGGAAGAATGAGCTCCAGTTACCATCCATGGTAACTAACTTGATTAATAGTGCACCTTGATTGGCTTCCATCTCCTCCCCGTCACTCTCCCTACTCACCAGCTAGTTTTCCCGGGATCACTGCAAGAACAACAACATCAACACCACACACACACACACACACATGCACACGCTCTACCTCTACACAAATCGAGGTCTGCTTACAGTGGAGTGCCAACCAAGAAAGCAAGCTACGCAGCCCAGATATACTAACCCACACTCTAACCATCAGGCTATACCTACTGTATGAATGAAACAACAGGGGATTCCCCCTTCAGAGTCAATCCCAAATATACTCAGCCTTTGAAGGCTGAAAATACGCACCTGGCCCTTACATCATAAATTAAGTGCAGACCTTAGTACATGCCGTACGACGGAAATGTGTGATATCATGGAGGGGTAGAGAGGATTTGAGAGACATAAGTCATCACCCAAGCAGGCGTTCTGCTCCCCAGGAACCCAGAGAAGAGTAGAAAGAGGACATTTCTAAAGGCAGTTGGTTTATAAGGATGAAGCTTATAACATTTGGTTTTAAGAAGCAGAATTTCATTTTCTGTTCCAGGCAGGAGGTCAGTGGAGAAAGTTATCAGCTAGCATTTATTACACGTTTATTATGGGCCAAGCCCTGTGCTGAGCACCTCATGTGCATTAGCTCATTTAATCCCCAAAGTTGAGTCCACCGTGTTGGAGCTGCTCTTTACCCTAGTATACGGAAGAGGAGAGTGAGGCTTACATAGGATATGTGACTCGTTCACCATCACACAGCTACCAAAATGGCTGAGCTGCGACTCCAGCCAGGTCTCTCTGATTCTGAACTCAACTCTTAACCAGTATACTAAATGATTACTATACTAAAGCTCCCATTAATTAAACCATATATCATATATAAAGCACTTGAGATACATAATTTCTAAGCTTCAGCACAACATTACAAGTTAGAATTGAGCCAAATAATTTGTAAGCGGCACAAACCCATCAGCCCTTTGAGGTATTAACTCCAATTTGCAGATAAGGAAACTGAAGCACTGAAAGACATTTCCCCAAAGTCCCCAGCAAGTGCCAGTGCAGACAGCCAACCAGACTCAGCTCTCCCTATCTGGCTGGGGCTTCCAGTTCCACTGTGCTCTTCATATTACCTGAAGAAAGACACTATCTCCTCCTCTGCAATCCTTGCTGAATCCCAAATCTCTGTGCTTAGATGTAACTATGACTCATGTACACCTTCTACCTGCTCAGAGGAAATCTAACAGTTGCCCTCCCGTAGGTTAAGCCCCTGCAATGATCTGCAAGTTCCCCTAAAGTCTGGTCTTCTCAGAATGACTAGACCCTGTCCCTTCAGCTTTCGGTTTAATGAACTGGCCCTCACTGTCTGTTCATTCCCTGGGACCCATGCCATCTCCCTCACCCACCTCACATCCACATACTCTCACTGCTGAAAGTGTCCCCAAAGAGGCCTAAGTGAGCAAATCCATGGCCCTATCAAAATAAAAGCATCTCATGGATTATATCCTCTTTTACCTAAGTCTATGGGGCTTTTCATTCTCAGAGAAGTAAATCAAATAAATCCAGTAATATTTGTTCCCGCAAAATCTATGCGGTCTTCTGATAGTACACTCCTTATTTTGATGACAAACTCCAAAGAATTTTTCAATTAGGACAATTTTGGCTGATTTACATTCCCAAAGAACCCCCTCTAAGTCTCCTAAGGAGAATAAATGCCCCACATTTCTTTAAGTATGCATGTCTGGCAAATCAAAAGGGTACCATCTGGTTCACATAATTTCTGCATAGAATTTCTGAAAAGCCTATAGAACATATATGGTCCACGCCTGCTCCAATAGACGCCAAAACATTCCATTACTATTGTACAAACTGACTGAAGTTAACCGAGGCTAAAACTGGCCACAGTCCTTTTAAAAGAATATGATGATGATCAATTAATTCCCTCAGAACACAGCTCACAAATTATAATCTACATACTTATTTGATTAAGTCATGTGAGAGAAGAAAGATAAACATGAAAATGACATCACCCCCAAGAATAATTTTTGAGCTCTGGGAAAAGTAAGTAGAGAATTGGCAAGAAAAGCAAACTGGGACTCTTTCAAAATGAAGCAAAGGAGAAGGCAAGATGAAGTTGGAATTATTAAAACAAGAAAGAAAAGATGATAGAAATGAAGTAAACCCAGCCAGGAGAGCAAGCAGTGTTTCCCTGGTGAGAAATTACAATGAAATGCACAGCAAAATGCCAGACAACCTGCAACCCAAAAATGCTTCTTGAGTTCCTCCCTCCAAGTAAATGAGAGTCCCCATCCAAGCAAACATACCACAGTCATTCTTCCCCAGTACTATAATATCTGGATAGAAGAGTTTGGTGTGTGATGGCCAAGTAAGGCATTAGCAGAGGTGACTTTTTGGTACTTGTAGCTCCTGAACTACAAAGTAAGAATGTATTCCAGAGTGAGGCCCTCCCCAGGTCACCAGGATGAAAAAGAACTGTTGAGCATTGGGGATCCTCCAAAAATGCACAACCAAACTGCATATTCAGACAAAACGCTTCTAGTGTTCTATCCAGGGCTTCAGAAACATGCATACCGCCATACTTCAATTGCCCAGACTTATAGTCCAGAAAAACTGTTGGCAAACTTCTTTGTAGGGACCACATAGTAGTATTTCAGGCTTTGCCCTCCATGCAGTCTCTTGTTACAACTACTCAACTCTGCCCTTGTAATACAAAAGCAGCCAGAGACAACAAGTAGGTAAATGAGCATGGCTGTGTTCCAATAGAACTTTATGTATGAACACTGAAATCTGAATTTCATGTAATTATCACATGTTTTAAATATTTTTATTCTTTTGATTTTTTTCAACCATTAGAAGAAATTATAAAAACCATTCTTAGCTCACAAGCTGTACAATAAAACAGGCAGTGGGCCATATCTGGCCCACAGGCCAAATGTTTGCCAACCCCTGTTTTAGAATATTCTATGTAATACAGAGTGTAAACAGGTGACATCTGGCTCCAATGAATGATGAAAGCACCTCAAATTTATATAAGGATTCAGAATCATGGAGAAAAGGTTAGAGAATTAGCAACAGATTTATTTCATGCAATGGTGACAAATACAAACACAAATATTTATCTCATGCGATGGTAACAAATACTGTACTGTACTTGCCTTGGAATCACACAAGCCTGCTCTTGAGTCCTGGGAAGATCACTTTCCAACTGTATAAACTTCAGCAAATTTTACTTGACCTTGCCAAGCCTCAATTCCCTCCTTCGTAGAAGGAGGATAAAAATAATACTATTTTAATCTACTTTTTGCTAGTTATACTATTTGACATACTATTTGACTGTTTATACTATTTTTTGATAGTTATGAGGATTAAATGAGACCTTTCCACTAAAACACTTTGTATAGCATCCACCACATCTGCAAAATAAATCTAATTAGTATTATGATCAATACTCACGTAATGGTTGATTAACTAACTGCAAAACATTTGTCCTGGATATGAAGATAAAATGTTTAGAAATCCTTACTCCTAATTATTTATTTATAAAAGACAAAGCTCCAAACAAAGTAGATGCCAGAGTTAAAGTCAAAGACTAATACAATAAAGAAAATTTTAATTTTGGTGCAACATCCCAACTCTTCAGCAACCAGGAGTCTACAGACCTCAGATTTCTGTGCGCTGTAAGTGCGAAGTCATGAGAAAAGAATGCAAGCATTCATTCACTCAGCAAGCATTCCTCAAGACTTGTATAAGCAGTATCTGGTAGACAGGCACAGGAAGTAACCAAAATAATTTCAATACAACAGGTGACAATTTGTTTTAGGCAATGACTGTCTTTTCTTGGAAAATGCACTTGGTGACACCAATGTGAATAGCAGAGATCCAGGATGGGTAAAATTCAGGAATGCTAGTTAACTTTTTATTTTTTATTTTATTTTATTTATTGATTTATTTATTGAGACAGAAGCTCACTCGGTCACCCAGGCTGGAGTACAGTGGCGTGATCTTGGCTCACTGAAATCTTTGTCTCCCAGGTTCAAACGATTCTCCTGTCTCGGCCTCCCGAGTAGCTGGGATTACAGGCACGCAACACCCCGCCCGGTTAATTTTTTATATTTTTAGTAGAGACAGGGTTTTACTATGTTGGCGAAGCTGGTCTCGAACTCCTGGCCTCATGTGATCTGCCTGCCTTGGCCTCCCAAAGTGCTTGGATTACAGGCGTGAGCCACTGTGCCCAGCCTAGTTAACTTTTTTAAAACGAATTTTTATATAAAATTATAGTTTTTTATATATAGTTATATTTATATAAAATTTATTAAAATAGGTTTTAAGATGCATCACTTTTACATTGAGCTAAGGCTCAATGAGACCACCAAGAAGGGGATTATATCTGCCTTATAACATTCGAGAGAATACCTATTCTTGCATCCTGTTCTCAAAAGATTCCTAAATAGGTCACTACAAGCAAAGCACTCCCTCCACCTCATTTCTTGCCAGCCTTTGCTCAGCCCACTTGTGAGGCTGCCCACCCATTTCAAAGCCTGCCTTCTGCTGCTCTGCCCACCCAGCATCGTCAAATCTGTATCATGACTTGACAGCTTTCTGTCCTTATCCCCGATCATGCCAGAGCTCTCACATTCTGCCAGCCAAGCTCCTTCAACGGATTAACACAACAGCACATGGGCAAGCGCTCAGTTCATTACTACCCAATCTGCCTCCCAATAAGGTTTACAGGAACATCCTCAGACAAAAAGCCAGGAGTTATCTCTACAGAGACCATATGCAGCTCCTGAGCAAATACTGGCCAAGCTATGGGTGAGCAGGTAACATCCTTCCACTATTCAAAAACTGAGAAAAAGGCAACCTGCAGATGAACTATCCAAGCAATATACGCTTACCTAAGACTCTGAAAAAAAAAAAGTGCCAGCCATTTGGCAGTGGATCATAATAATTAATCACACACATTTCTTTGGCCTGCACAGCTTTTTAAAAAATTAAATTAATTGCCAATATTTCAAAAGTAGGACATTTCATATAAAATCTGGATTTTTAGCATCCTCCCTCCAAAAAAATCAAGAGGATCTAGGCAAAGAACAGGCTGAAGGTAAACAGAAGCAGGACATTCAGGCCCCAATTCACCATCATCGCTACCTGCTGAATGTTCATTCGACATTTAGCATATAATTACTACACAACTACTATGTGCCAGGCAGTGTTTGAGGGACTTGGGATACCATAGGGATAAACAGGACAAGAGATTATCAGACAGTAACATCCGCTAAGAAGGGATTTAAAATTGGGTAGCACAGAGGACTTCTGCTTCAGGGATGATGGGGTAGATATACTTTTCTCTATTCCTCACACTAACTACAATTTAAAACCCCGGGCATTATATAGAACACAAACATAAGAAGACTCTGAAAGGTGGAGAGAAGAAGGCACACCAGCTTGGGACCCTGGGACCCAAGAAAGGACAAGGTCATGGGTTCTCTCAGTTTTCTTTTTCCCTCACGTGTCCAAGATTTGGAGCTGAAGAAGCCAGCAACACGGAAATGCGCATGGACATAAAAAAAAAAAAAAGCCCCAACAGGCCGGGCGCGGTGGCTCACGTCTGTAATCCCAGCACTTTGGGAGGCCCAGGCGGGCAGATCACGAGGTCAGGAGATCGAGACCATCCTGGCTAACACGGTGAAACCCCGTCTCTACTAAAAATACAAAAAATTAGCCGGACGTGGTGGCGGGTGCCTGTCGTCCCAGCTACTCGGGAGGCTGAGGCAGGAGAATGGCGTGAACCCAGAAGGCGGAGCTTGTGGTGAGCCAAGATCGTGCCACTGCACTCCAACCTGGGCGACAGAGCGAGACTCTGTCTCAGAAAAAAAAAAAAGCCCCAACAAATGTCTGCTCTCTCTAGCCAAGGGACCAAGCAAATGTCTGCTCTCTCTAGCCAAGGGACCAAGCAAGGGGCAGCCAAGGAAGAAAGAAAACTTTTAGACAATAACTGCTCTACTCCAGCCACAGACCACAGAGAAAACAAAATGTGGCCGTACCCTTATCCACACCAGCAAAGGATGAATGGGGGCCTAGACTTCTACCCTTGCCAGGCTGAAATGAGGTAACCAATAGCCCTCTCCCCTCCTCACCCCTGGGGCAGTGTCAGAGAAGGCCAAGTAGACCCATAAGGCAGTAACAACACCCACCCACCCCCCCACCCACCTTTGGTGGTAGTGGACAGCATGTGGGGAGCCTGAACTTTCGCCTCCATCAGCAGAAATGAGGTGCCCTTGCTCCTCCCCACTGGG
Source organism: Homo sapiens (assembly GCF_000001405.40). Lineage (NCBI taxonomy): Eukaryota > Metazoa > Chordata > Mammalia > Primates > Hominidae > Homo > Homo sapiens. The sequence goes on along the minus strand of NC_000015.10, from coordinate 83,473,136 downwards.
GTGATGTCAGAGGATGCCTAGTGGAGAGTCAGAACTACCTGGTGGTAATGAGGCTGCCCCCGCCATGGTGTCAGTTGAGGCCAAGTGCAGAGCAGTAACAAGGCACTCATACCCCTCCCAACCAGAGAAGGGTAGGAGTGCTTTGTTATCAGTGGAGGCCTAATGGCCGGAACTCTCGCTCCCCCTCAGCAATAATGAGACCCCACCTTGAGTGTCAGTGAAGTCTGAGAGGAGACTTCCCCCACCTGGAAGTAACAAGGCAGTGCCCCCCATGTCCCCTACCAGAGCAATGTCAAAGAAAACAAGCAAAACCAGACAATGTAATTAAGATCCAGAGTCTCATAATATCATAGCCCCAAATGCCCAGATTTTAATAAAACAATAATCATGCCAAGACCCAGGAAGATTTCTAGTTGAATGAGAAAAGACAATCAGTAGATGCCAACACCAAGATCACAGAACCATTAAAATTATCTGACAAAGATTCTAAAGAAGCCAAGAAGCCACTGTGAAGATGCTAGAAGCAGTGAAAAATAGAAAGTCTTAGCAAAGAAATGGAACATATGAAGAAGAGCTAAATGGAAATTTTAGAACTGAAAAATAAAATAACTGAAATTAAAAATTAGCCTATATCTCACCCACAGAATGCAGAAACAGAGAAAAAAAATGTGAACTGGAAGATAGAACAATGAAAATTACCCAATCTGAACAACAGAGAGAAAATAAACTGCAGGAAAAAAATAAGACAAAGAACAAAGCTGCAGGGACATGAGGGACCATAACAAAGGACCTAACATTCATGTCATCAGCGTTCCAATAAGAGAAGGGAAAAGAAGGCAGGACTGGTAAAGCACTCAAAGAAACAGTGGTTGAAAACTTTCCAAATTTGGCAAAAGACAGCCTACAGATCCAAGAAGCTAAGTAAATGCCAAACAGGATAAAGCAAGAAATCCAGCCGGGCACAGTGGCTCACGCCTGTAATCCCAGCACTTTGGGAGGCTGAGGCAGGCGGATCACCTGAGGTCAGGAGTTCGAGATGAGCCTGGCCAACATGGCGAAACCCCATCTCTACTAAAAGTACAAAAATTAGCCAGGTGTGGTGGTGGGCACCTGTAATCCCAGCTACTCAGGAGGCTGAGGCAGGAGAATCACTTGAACCTGAGAGGCAGAGGTTGCAGTGAGCTGAGATGGCACCACTGCACTCCAGCCTGAGTGACAAGAGCGAGACTCTGTCTCAAAAAAAAAAGAAAAGAAAAGAAATCCACACCAAGACACATCATAGTCAAGCTTCTAAAATCTAAAGACAAAGAAAAAATATCTTGAAACCAGTGAGAGAAATGACACTTAACCTATAGAGAAAAACAATTTGAATTACAGCAGATTTCTCACCAGAAATCACTGTTAAATGAAACACTGTAGACAAATTTAATCAAGTTTATTTGAGCAAAGGGCAATTCATGAATCAGGCAGCACTCAGAACCAGAAGAGGTTCAGAGACCTGTGTCCGGTAGTATGAGAAGTGAACTTTTATAGGCCAGACACAGAAGCAAAGTCATGAAATCACTGGATTGGCTACAGCTAGGCATCTGCTTTATTAAAGCCTGGTATGATGAGGTATTTGCCTTATTTGGGCATAGTCTGATCAGCTAGCTGCCTGTGACTGGCTGAAACTTGGCTGTTTGTTATAGTTCTAAGTTAGCTTTTAATTTGTTTACATACTGTTTGGTTGTGGTTCATTAGGTAGAAACTCAAAGAATGAAAACAGCCTCAAGGTAATAACCTCCTGCTTATTTAATTTAACCTTACAAAAGCCAGGAGAAAGTGGCAGAATATTTTTCAGTTGCTTAAAGAAAAGAACCATCAACCCAGAATCTTATATCCAAAGTAAATATCCTCAGAAATGAAGGAGAAATCAAGATATCCTCAGATGAAGGAAAACTAAGAGAATTTGTTACCAGCAGACCAACCCTAAAAGAAGGGCTAAAGAAAGTTCTCTAAACTAAAAGAAACAATAAAAAACAGAATCTTGGAACATCAGAAAAGAAAAAAGTACATGATAAGCAAAAATATGGGTAAACATAATAGACTCCTTTCCATAAGTATTCTAAACTATATTTGATGGTTAAAGCCCAACTATAATACTGTCTAATGTGTTTCTAAATGTATATAGAAGAAATATTTAATGAAATTATATTATAAATAGGGAAGGCCAATGGAAGACAAAGGGAGGTTAGTTTTCTACACTTCACTTGAACTGGTAAAATGATGACATCAGTAGACTTTGATAACGTGTGTGTGTATGTATACACACACATGTGAACAGCCACGACAACTGCAGTACAAAGAGGTGTACTCAAAAACACTATATAAACCAAAATGGAATACTAAAAAATTTCACCTAACACACAGGAATACAGGAAAGAAAAGAAAATAAATTAAAAACAGAGTAACAAACAAATACCCCCAAAATAAAATGGCAGCCTTTAGCGCTAACATATAAGTAATTACATTAAATGTAAGTGGTCTACATGCACCAGTTAAAAGGAAGACAGGTAGAGTAGATTAAAAAGCATAACCTAACTATATGCTGTCTATAAAAAACAAACTTCAGGCCAGGCTCAGTGGCTCATGTCTGTAATCCCAGCACTTTGAGAGGCCAAGGTGGGCAGATAACTTGAGGTCAGGAGTTGGAGACCAACCCCTGGCCAACGTGGCAAAACCCTATCTCTACTAAAAATACAAAAATTAGCCAGACGTGGTGGCGCATGCCTGTAATCCCAGCTACTTGGGAGGCTGAGGCAGGAGAATCACTTGAACCCAGGAGGCAGAGGTTGCAGTGAGCTGAGATCACGCCGCTGTGCTCCAGCCTGGGTGACAGAGTGAGACTCCATCTCAAAAAAACAAATAAACAAAAAACTTCAAATATAGCAATATAGGCAGGTTGAAAGTCAAAAAATGTATATATTATGCGAGCATTAATCCAAAGAAAACAGGAGAAAAGAAAAAGAAAGTAGGACTGGCTATATTAATATCAGATAAAGTAGACTTCAGAGGAAAGAAAATTATCAGAGACAGGAACATTATATGATAGTAAAAGAGTGAGTGCACCAAGTAGACATAGCAATCCTAAATGTGTAGGCACCAAACAGCAGAGCTGCAAATTATGTAAAGCAAAACTGGTAGCAATGAAAGAAGGGAGACAAATCCATAATTATAGTTGGAGACTTATCTCAACAATTAATAGAACTAGACAGAAAATCAGTAAGGATATAGAAGAACTCAGTAACACTATCAACCAAAAAGAGCTAATCAATATTTAGATAATTTATTTGGAACACTCCACTCAACAACAGCAGATACACATCGTTTTAATGTACCCACAGAACATATACCAAGATAGACCATATCCTGAGCCATCAGATAAACCTCAACAAATTTAAAAGAACTGAAATCATACAGAAAGTGTTCTATAATGACAATGAAATCAAAGTAGAAATCAATAACAAGAAAAATCCCAAACACTTGGAAACTAAAAAAACAAACTTCTAAATGATACATGGATCAAAGAAAAAGTCTGAAGGGAAGTCAAAAATACATTGAATTGAATGAAAATTAAACTACAACATATCACAATTAGTGAGGCACAACTGAAGTGAGATAAAAGGAAAGAATATAGCACTAACTTTGTACCTTAGAAGACAGAAAAGGTCTCAAATCAATAATCTCATTTCCCTCAAGAACCTGGTGTGGAAGGAAAATATGCAAATAAACTAAGGAAGCAGAAGGAAGAAAATAATAAGGATAAGGGCAGAAATCAACGAAATTGAAAAGAACAAAACAATTGAGAAAATAAAACAAAGGGCTAGTTCTTTGAAAAGATCAATAAAACTGACAAACCTTTACCAGGACTGAAAAAGAAAAAGAGAAGACAAAAATTACCATTATCAGGAATGAAAGATGAGATATTACTATAGCCCTGCAGACAACAAAACAATAATAAGGGAATACTATAAATAACTCTCATGCCTAAAACTGATCACTTAATTGAAATGAACCAATTCCTTGAAAAACACAAACTAATAAAACTCACTCGATAAAAAACAGATAATTTGAATAACACTATATCACTATTAAGGACATTAAACGTGTAATTTGAAATTTCCCAAATGAGAAATCACCAGGCCTAGATGGTTTTACTGGAAAATTCTCTGAATTGTCTAAAGAATTAATACCAATTCTACACAATCTCCTTCAGAAAACAGAACAGGAAAGAACATTTCCCAGTTAATTTTATTAAGGTACCAAAACTAGACAAATTACAAAAAAAAAAAAAAAACACTACTAAAGACCAATATCCCTCATGGATATAGACACCAAAAAAATACAATAAAACGTTAGCAAACAGAATTGATCAGTATCTTTAAAAAATTATACATCATGACCAAGTGGGTTTTGCTGGTTCAGTTTTTGAAAATCAATTAATGCAATCTGCCACATTAACAGGCTAAAGAAGAAAAATTACATGATCATATCAACTGATGCACATTTGACAAAACTCAATACTCATTCATGATAAAAATTCAGAAAAGTAGAAATACAGGGAAATTTCCTCACTGTGGTTAAGAGCATCTACAAAAATCCTACAGTGAACACTACACTTAATAGTGAAAGATTGAATAATTTCCTCCCAAGATGGGGAACAAGGCAAGGATGTCAACTCTCACTACTCTTATTCAAATAATGCTGGAAGTTCTAGACAGTGAAATAAGGCAAGAAAATAAATAGCCTACAGATTGGAAAGGAAGAAATAAAAGTGTCCCTATTCACAGATGACATAATTGTTTACATAGAAAATCCCAAGGAATCTAAAAAACAAAAACAAAAACTCCTAGAACTAATAAATAAGTTCTGCAAGGTCACAGGATACAAGATAAACGTACAAAAACAATTATATCTTCATACACTAGCAATAAATACATGGACACCTACATTGAATATACAATACCTGGCAGGGCGCAGTGGCTCATGCCTGTAATCCCAGCACTTTGGGAGGCCAAGGCGGGCAGATCACAAGGTCAGGAGATCGAGACCATCCTGGCTAACATGGTGAAACCCTGTCTCTACTAAAAATATAACAGAAAATTAGCTGGGCGTGGTGGCGGGCACCTGTAGTCCCAGCTACTCGGGAGGCTGAGGCAGGAGAATGGCGTCAACCCGGGAGGCAGAGCTTGCAGTGAGCCAAGATTGTGCCACTGCACTCTAGCCTGGGTGACAGAGAGAGACTCCGTCTCAAAAAAATAAAATAAAAAAAGAAAAGAAAATACAATACCTTTTACAATCACTAAAAAAAAGGCATGAATACTTAGCTACAAATTTAATAAAACATGCACACGATCTATGTGCTGACAACTACAAAATGCTGATGAGAGAAATCAAAGAGCAAAATACACACAGAGATACACCATATCCATTGATTAGAAGACTTACAACAGGAAACATATCAATGTTCATCAATGCTTTCCAAATGGATATACAGGTTTAACGCAATTCCTATCAAAACTCCAGCAAGATTTTTTTATATAGACAAGAGTATTCTAAAATTTATACGAAAAGACAAAATAACTAGAATAGCTAAAACAATTCTGAAAAAGAATAATGTGGGACAAGTCAGTCTACCTGATACAAGACTTAGAATATAGCTACAGTCATCAAGACTGGATAGTACTGGCCAAGGGACAGATATACAGGTCAATGGAACAGAATAGGCAAGGCATGAGTAGACCCACACAAATATGCTCAGTTGATTTTGACAAAGATGCAAAAGCAATTCAACGGAGGAGGGATAGCCTTTGCAACACGTGGTACTGGAGTAAGTAGACATCCACAGGCAAAGAAAACAACCTAAGTCTCACACTTTATTAAAAAAATTAATTCAAAATGGATTACAGACTAAAATGTAAAACATAAAACTATATAACTTTCAGAAATAGACATAGGAGAAAATCTTCATGATCTCTGACTAAGCAAGAGTTCTTAGACTCCAAAAGTATGATCCATATGTGGAGAAATTCTTAAATTGGACTTCATCAAAATGTAAAACTTTTGCTCTGTAAAAGATCTGATTCAAGAGGATGAAAAGACAAGCTACAAACTGGTAGAAAACATTTGCAAACACATATCCAACAGAGGACTAATATCTATAATATATAAAGAATTCACAACTCAACAGTTTTTTAAAAACCCAATTAGAAAACAGGCTAAAGATATGAACAGACATTTTCCATAAGAGGAGATACTTAAAGCCAATAAGCATATGCAAAGCTATTCAACATCACAAGCAATTAGGGAAACGCAAATTAAAACCACAATGACATATCCCTCCACATCTAACAGAAAGGCTAAAATTAAAAAGAATGACAATAAATGGTGGAGAGGATGTGGAGAAATTGAAACTGTCACACATAACTCTTGGGAATGTAATATGGTACAGCCACTCTGGAAAAGAGGTTGATAGTTTCTTAAAAACCTAAACAGATTCAGCGTAGCATGCCTTTCCCCTTGATACCTGCAAAGTAGTACCTTTCCTCTGGGATAAATGTCCAGGAGTACAATGTTAGATTTTATATACATATATCTCCAGTTGGGTGGGTGTTTCCATCTTGGGGCCTTTGTGATTGCTGTTCCCTTAGCCTAGCATGCCTTTCCCCATATATATATATATATTCTAACAATTGCACTCCTGGACATTTACGCCAGAGAAACACACACTTACATTCACAGGAAAATCTGTGCATAAATATTTATAGCAGCTTTATTCATAATAACCCCAAACTGGAAGCAATCCCAAAGTCCTTCCACATGTTAATGGTTGAACAAACTGTGATACATCCATACCATGGATTACTACTCAGCAATAAAAAGGAACAAACTATTGATATACACAACAACCTGGGTGAATATAGTATTACGCTGACACTTTAAGCCATTCAGAAAAGGTCACAGACTGTATGATTCCATTTATATAATATTCCTGCAATGACAAAATTATAGAAATGAAGAAAAAAATAGTAGTTGCCAGGGGTTAAGGAGGGAATGGAGGCAGGAAGGAAGTGGGTATGGCTATAAAGGGTGACACAGGGGATCTTTGTGGTAGTGGACCTGTTCTATATCCTGACTGTATCAACATAAACATCCTAGTTGTGATATGTACAATAGTTTTTCATAGTGTTATCACTGGGGGAAACTGAATAAAGGATACAAGAGATTGGTATTATTTCTTATAATTGCATGTGAATCTGCAATTACCTCAAAATAAAATGTTTAATTAAAAGCACATAGAATAAAGGAACACAATTATATTGAAAAACAATTATCAAAATATCGAAAATATTAAAATATTTGTGATAGGAAAAAATAATCCACCCAACTGGATAACAGACAAGAAAGGGTAAATGTCTATTTGAATTGAATAGCCAGGGAAGCCCTCTCTTAAAAGGAGACCTTAATCTGTGCTATGATGTGAATGACAAGAAGGAACTACTTTGCAAGGATCAAGGGGAAAAGCATGCTAGGCTAAGGGAACAGCTACCACAAAGGCCCCAAGATAGAATGACCTTTCTTAGAATACCAAGGGAGCAAAAAGCGGCTAAACATCCTCAGGAGAGGAGTGGGAGAGGCCAAGTCAAGTGAGGTTTCACAGGCCCGAAGAGGAAGCTTAGGTTTTATTTTAAATTCAACTGGAAGCCACTGAAGACATGCAAGCAGAAGAATGACATGGTCTGAGATACATGTTTTTATTTTTTACTTTTTTATTTATTTATTTATTTTGAGACAGAGTCTTGCTCTGTCACCCAGGCTGGAGTGCAGTGGTGCAATCTTGGCTCACTGCAACCTCTGCCTCCTGGGTTCAAGACAGTCTCCTACCTCAGCCTCTAGAGTAGCTGAGATTACAGACACACACCACCATGCCCAGCTAATTTTTTTATGTTTAGTAGAGACGGGGTTTCACCACGTTGGCCAGGCTGGTCTCCAACTCCTGACCTCAGGTGATTCGCCCTCCTTGGCCTCCTAAAGTTCTTTTTTTTTTCCCACATGAGCTGTTTTTATTGCTGTTATTATTATTATTATTATTATTATTATTATTATTATACTTTAAGTTCTAGGGTACATGTGCACAATGTGCAGGTTTGTTACATATGTATACATGTTTGGCCTCCTAAAGTTCTAAAGGATTACAGGTGTGAGCCACTGCACTGGCCCGAGATACATTTTTTAAAACAGTATCCTGGCCATTGTGGGCAAATGAATTGTAGCTGGTCTGGAAATTGGTTAGGAGGCTACTACAATCATGGGGGCAAGAAATGATGGCCAGGACCAAGGTGATAGTAGCAGAGATGGAGAAAAGCAAACGGTTGTATTTTGAAAGTAGAACCAAGAGGAAAGGCTTGCTGATGAATTGGGAATAAGGGAAAGAAATGTCAAGGATGAGTCCTGGTTTTTGTTTTACTTTGGTTTGTTTTGTTTTGCTTAAGAGATCACAAGTAGAAAAACAGTTTGGGGTAGAGATAATTAAGAGTTCACATTTGAACATCTTAAATTTGAGATTTTTTAAATATCCAAGGAGAGAGGTGATGCAGGCACTTAGATTTGTGTGTCTGTATCCAGGAGAAGCATCTGGGCTAGAAATATAATTTAGAGAGAAATCAATGTATAGATTTTGTGTAAATCTGCAGCTGAGGAAGCTACCTTGGGAGCATGCAAAGTTAGAAAAGAGAAAGTACCCAAGCCAGGGCCTGGGGTATTCCAGGATTTACAGTCAAGGGCATGAGAAGGACCCATTAAAAGACACCTGAAGGAACAGCTAGTGATTCCAGAGGAAATCTGAGCAAGTACAGAAGGTGTTGTAAGCAGAGAATAGTCCACTGGGTCAAATGCTGTTGAGAGCTCAGATGGAGAAGTGACCATGAGATTTGACAATGTGGAGGTCACTCAAGACCTAGGCAAGCATGGTCTCAGAGCACAAGAAAAGAAAGCCAATTTGAATAGGTTGAGAAGACAATAGATAAGAAAGCAGAGGGCCTGGCGCGGTGGCTCAGGCCTGTAATCCCAGCACTTTGGGAGGCCGAGGCGGGCGGATCACCTGAGGTCAGGAGTTTGAGACCAGCCTGGCCAACATGGTGAAACCCCATCTCTACTAAAAATACAAAATTAGCCAGTGGCGCACAACTGTAGTCTCAACTACTAGGGAGGCTGAGGCTGGAGAATCGCTTGAACCCGGGAGGCAGAGGTTGCAGTGAGCCAATATCGTGCCACTGCACTCCAGCCTGGGTGACAGAGCAAGACTCTGTCTCAAAAAAAAAAAAAAAAAAAGAAAGAAAGAAAGCAGACATGGGACAACAAATAACTTCCTCAAATATTTAAATAGGACAGGGGTGAAGAGGGACCTAAGATCAAAGGAGGTTTTCCTCCTTTCCTTTTTCAAGACAGGAGATACTAGAGAGGATGTCTGCATGCTGATGGCATCAAGCTAAAAAAGACATCAGAGAAAATTATCTCCTAATTTAATGTATTTTTCCAAGAGTAAGTAAAAAGAACTATAATCTGGGCACAAATTATACTATATTATAATCTGCCCAGACTATAATATAACCTTACTATAATGTAATCTCACCATAGCACAGCTATAGTAAAGCCACAGATACACCCAAAGAGGAGATGGTAAGAGGAAGCTTTTATTGACAAAAAGGATAAGCTCATGTAAGCTGCTTGGAAAGAGTTCATTTTTTCCAGAAGCTCAAAGCCAGAGTCAGCGTCAGTTCATTGGTGGAGATGCCATTACTAGGCAAGGGTTCTTTCAAGAGCATCTTATCTGAATTGCTACAGTTCTAAAGAATGTCTAATGATAAACCTGGTCCTAGAAATGTATGCATATGTGCAGAACGTTAAGTCATGAAAAGAATGAGATATGTGAAAGCTGTGAAGGAATTTCTTGTGGAGTTATTTTAGAAAGTCCTTGAGATAGCCTTATCTCGGATATGCAAGCATGAGCCCTTCCCCTTCATGCTTCCCTGACTCAAATTTGAGTCTGACAGAACTGACTTTATCCTCATATCTGCAACTTTCACGTTTCCCCCTTTTAATCAAGATCTTTCTTTGGAGAAAGATTGATCAGCCTGTATTCAGGTTTTGAATATCCCTGGGTGCTAGGATGGACCTGTCCTGGATAGATATTCTTATACAACATCAGGGGCAGGTGATTATCAGCTGGAAGTCAGTATCAAGCCATTTTAGCCACATTTGAGCAACAAGAAGGCCATAAGGAGAAGCTCTCAGGCTTTGTTTGTCTGGATGTCATCAAGTTTGATTTTTGTCTGTTCCATTGATGTTGGCTATCATTTTAAGACACTAGACAAACATTACTCTATTAGAAGTTGCATTTCTGCAGAAATTTGACAGACATCAGGTACATATTTTTAAAAGGAAAATACAAAGTAAAAACAACAGGAGTATGACAAATCTAGTTTATGCAATAGTTCTGCCAAGCCTAAGGGCAATCAACTAAACAAATCAAAAGACCATGGAGAAACTGGGTAAGACTTGGCATAGCCATTGGGTAGTATTCCATGACTGGGTTAAATTAAAGCAGACAGTGCTAACTCTGTAAAAGGGCCCACTAGTACAATATGAACAAAAAGTTGTTAGGGATATTGCCAAAGCTACTCAATAAGTGGACTAAGGGATTTCTTAGATCAGCTTTTGTTAAGTTACTCATAATTGTTACTGATTGTGAAATTTTAATTATGGCATTATCCTGTCAAGTGAAGAAGGGAGGCATTACAAGGGGTAAGAATCTCATTATGATGTCTTGTTCCAACGGCCTTGGGAAACACTGTCCACAGTGTGAAGTCAGCAGTTTTGCAGTCTGAATGCCTCTGACTATGGCATCAGGCGGTTTGGTGAACTTTCTGTGTGGCCCACATATCAGGCACAAGGCTTGTCCCTTGTAATTTATATTAAGATGTTTAGTTTTAGCTTACAGCGCTTTAGAAAAGAATGGTTTCCATTGTTAGTAATTCTATTTAAAAATTCCATAGGAGAAAATTGGATTAGAGGAACCTAGAAGAATTTAAGATCCAGTCCCTTCTACAAGTATATAATAAAACCTGAAAACAACTCACAAGACTACAATCTAATAAAGGGTATATCACTGTCATCCCAATTTTACCAAAGTACTCAGAGCAAGACTAATTTGTATGTAAAATAAGTTAGTTTTATCAGATTTGTCCTGAGTATTTACATAAGTACAGTGAGAATAGTGATTGAATCTCAGATTGAACTTTTTTTTTTAACTTCTGAAGCAAGAAGGCCAAATCAAGGTGGGCTTCAGATTGTATCCGAAGTACCTACAAGAATTTTTAAATATGATGTCTAAGTCAAACCTTGCTAATATAATTAACATTTTAAATTGTATCTTGTTATTTAAAAAATAAATTTTTATCAAAATTATGTAAATACATTGTCATAAAATAAAAAATACTCACGAATAGTTTTTTTTAATTTTAGAGAGATAAGATAGGGAGAAAAAGCAAACATTTTAATATTATTCACAAGAGTATACATAACCAAATTGCTATAGGTACCTTAAGAAAAAAGTTTCCTTAAATCTGGAAAATAAAATATTAAAGAATTAGCAATATTTTAAATAAAAGTCATAAAAATTATAATCCATTATCAGTTTAGTCCCATGTAATTAACTGTTGCTCTGTTTGATCTTGGTTAGCAGTTTCATGAATATGTCAGTTATTTTAATTAGACTTTTGGAAATTTGTACTTAATCCATTGATTTTTAAGTTATCAGAAACATGTATTCAAGGCTACTTATTAGAGTCTTTTCCATGAATCTGACTGCAGATGACTTTATGAGAAAAATCAAAACTGTGGATGACAAAAATTTAGAATAGCTGTGGTTAAAAATTTGATGAGAATTCATTGTAACAAACAATTAACAAGGAAATTTAGTTACTTCTATTGTGTACAGTACTTTTTTTTTTTTTTGAGATGGAGTCTCGCTCTGTCGCCCAGGCTGAAGTGCAGTGGCGTGATCTCGGCTCACTACAAGCTCCGCCTCCCGGGTTCACACCATTCTCCTGCCTCAGCCTCCTGAGTAGCTGGGAATACAGGTGCCCGCCACCACGCCCAGCTAATTTTCTGTATTTTAGTAGAGACGGGGTTTCACCATGTTGGTCTGGCTGGTCTCGATCTCCTGACCTCGGGATCTGCCTGCCACGGCCTCCCAAAGTGCTGGGATTACAGGTGTAAGCCACCGCACCCGGCCTGTGTACCGTATTTTAAGATAACAACCAGAATCATGATTTACAGCATCATACCAAGACCATCAGACTCTTATACAGTTTACGTAGTTTTTAGAATATTCATATAAACACATCCGCACACATATAATTTTTTAAAGATGAACATCACTTATTAAAGATGATGCAGTTTTTCTAAATAATCAAAAAGCTAATAAAGACAGCACAAAGCACCATAAATTCTTAATAAAACATGAAAGTTCTGTTTCCCAGGCCATTTACTGAAAAGGCAAAGAAAAACCTCCTACGGTATGAGTACTTCTTCCTTTGGGAATCTCATTTAGATAAACTGTAAGTCGAACCTGATGAAACAGTATTTGAATTCAATTAGACACTGGAAAAGTATGTGTCGAAGGTCATGAGTATATACCACATTATAGAAGAATAATGTAAACAAGGAAACCAGTACCTTGAGCAGTGGAATGCATGGCTTTTAGAAAAATTAAAGACACATGAAATTGCCTGGTTACATGGAACAATTTAGACACATCAAGAAAAGCCAAAGCCAGGTGTGGCAGCATCCGTCTTTAATCTCAGCTACTTAGGACACTAAAGTGAGAGGATCCTTTGAGCCCAGGAGGTCAAGGCTGCAGTGAGCTATGAACACATGACTGCACTCCAGCCTGGGTGACACAGCAAGACCCTGTCAAGGAAGGAAGGAAGGAAGGAAGCAAGGAAGGAAGGAAGGAAGGAAGGAAGGGAGGGAGGGAGGCAGGGAGGGAGGGAGGGAGGGAGGGAGGGAGGGGAGGGGACGGGAGGGGAGGGGAGAGGGAAAGGGAAAGGGGAAAGGGAAGGTCACAATAACAGGGTGAGAACTGGGGGTGGGGGGGAAACAGCCACAGGAACTGATGAAAAAGTTGAGAGTGAGAGTCACCACTCCAGTTAAAAAGAAAATGTACCTTTTCAAGGAGAGAAGGAAGAAGAGCAGAAGGCAATGATGCATGACCTGCAAATTGTATGTCGTGAGACGTGGCAAAAAGCTGAACTCTTGAGATATGACTCTGGAAAGCTTTAAGAGCAAAACTCTATCTCAAGAAATGAAATTATCATTTTAAATGAAGAAGGCAGCACTTTCAATTTGAAATTAGGCAGAAACTGTATAACATGAAAAAGCTGTAGTTCAGAAGAAGGTTGAAAGTATAAAGAAATCGATTTCAGAATTAAAATCAAATCCTCTTGCAAGTTTTTACTAGGCGTAGATCAATATTCTGAGAAAATCTTGTTGCTCTGGTCCTGCATCAGTGTATCCCTGAAACCAGGGCTAAATTCTGAAATTCCTTTCCGGAATCCCAGCCAACCCAATTATACACAAAACTCCCTTTCCAAGACCCATCTTTCATAAACCCTCCATGACTCGCTTAGACCTGCCATCATTTTCTTAAACCCTAGTGTGATGGCTAACGTTGAGTGTCAACTTGATTGGATTGAAGAATGCAAAGTACTGTTTCTGGGTGTGTCTGTAAGGGTGTTGCTAAAGGAGATTAACATTTGAGCCAGTGGACTGGGAGAGGCAGACCCACCCTCAATCTGGGTGGACACCATCTAATCAGCCGACAGCGCAGCTAGAATAAACCAGGCAGAAGAATGTGGAAAGACTAGACTGGCCGAGTCTCCTGGCCTTCATCTTTCTCCCGTGCTGGATGCTTCCTGCCCTCGAACATTGGACTCCAAGTTCTTCAGCTTTTGGACTCTTGGACTTAAACCAGTGGTTTGCCAGGGGCTCTCGGGCCTTCGGCCCAGACTGAAGGCTGCACTGTCAGCTTCCCTACTTTTGAGGTTTGGGGACTCAGTCTGGCTTCCTTGCTCCTCAGCTTGCAGATAACCTATTGTGGGACTTCACCTTGTGATCGTGTGAGTCAATACTCCTTAATAAACTCCCTTTCATATATACATCTAACCTATTAGTCCTATCCCTCTAGAGAACCCTGACTAATACACCCTTCTTTGTCCTACAGTGAAATTTATCCAGGAGAGAAGAAACAATAGTGCAGAGAAGAGATGGCAACAAGAGCAAAGTCCCTGAGAAAATGAGAGGAGATGGGATTGGAAGCACAATGGTGTGACTAGCCAGGTGTGTCTTCCACTGTTGCACTGGAGAAGCACTGAAGCACTACATATGAGCTCACAAGACCCTCCAGAGTTTTGATTTGTGGCCCAGAAGAAAGAAAGGTGGACAAGGATGAGAAGATTTGACTCGGATATCAGATTCACTAGGGAGGACTCAAGTTATCCAGCCTGAAATATCAGCAGCCTCTACCACGGATGGATGATTTGAACAGGCAAAGTACTTAGTAGCATTACTGTCTGAGGAAGATGTAGCCAGGGACGGGGAAAAGACACCATTATCCACTGGATTTGGAAGTCAGAAGGAACAACACCTGGCTCAGGAAGGCCACTGGCTGCTGGTGCTGTGTGTGGTAAAAACATTGGGATGACCCTGGAAATTGGGAAGGAATTCCCATTGGGAAAGCATTTCAAAGAACTAGAATAGTTAGAACTGGAAACAATGCCTCCCTGATCTCATCAATAGTACTTCTCTCAGACTCTCCCCTCAGCTCAACACTTTCCCAGGTTTCTGTTGAAAAGCAAAATCTAACTGTCCACATTTTGCTGCTAAAGATTCTCCAGAATATGTTCACTATTTAGCCGAACAGTGTGTCAGTTGTTTACTGACAGTTCTATCTTCTGGGCAAAGCATGCCAGTAATAGCTTCCCCAAATACACATGAGATACCCACACACACACTTAACTTTGGGAAATTAATTTACATTCCGTTTGTTAATAAAGCTGAAAAATTAAACTAAAGCAATAGGGAAAAAAATCCCTGCTTTCAAATGCATTTTTAAATCAAATTCCAAGTGATACCATGAGTTACATTTACTTTATAGAACAAAAAGTCCTCAGTGGTAAGAAATATATGGATTGTATTATATCCTTAAGATATTTTAAAAAATCAAAATCAATCCATTTTAAACATCTATCTTCACACCCTGACTTTAAAAAAAAGGATTTATCAATTAGTTTATCAAGCAATCTATGTGAAAAGGAGCAAGAATGTTTTAGCTTTAATATATTTTCTGATGCGTCTAAGAGAAAAAAATAAATCATTATGGATTGTGCAAAGTGCATTTTATCTTTCTCTCTAATGAGATAGTGAAACAAGAGACATTCATTGCCTCCCTAGAGAATCTCATGATTTACAAAGAATATCCTTCTCTGAAGCATTTACCCCTAAATGGCCAGCCTGTATAGTCAGTGATTACAGGGAATACGTCCAGGCCCCTCATGACCCCTTATCATTTTTCTGGCTAATGCATTAAAAGAGAAAGGGGGAAAAGTTGTAAAAAAGCACTGTGTTAGAGGCTCCCCTTCTTTCTGCCCTACAAGCAGTGTCCTTTAACCTCTGGCATGTGTTGCTGAGTCACATGACAGAAGTTAAAAGGCATAAAGAAGTAAATTTAACATGGAGCCCACAAGTGTCATCAGTAGATGGTTAGTCTTGGGAGAGAAGGAGAGGAGGAGAAGAGATGAAACTGGTCCCTGGACTTTTATGGGATGCAGAACAAGGACCCTGGAAGACAAGAAGGTCCAGAAATGGAAAGAATATGACTATTAGTACTTTCCAGGTCAGAACACACATAGGTGTGCCCTGAACTTCCTTCTTCAACAATAAATGCTGTCAAGAAAAATTACTATGAAATAAGCATACAAATACAAATCAGTGAGTGGTAACACAAATGTAAATATTGTAAGCTATATTTTTATTGGTGAGGTACCACGTTTAACAAGAAACCACAATGCCATATCTATGCTATTTGTATTTATTTATAATAGCTCAAGCTACATCTCTACCAGAAGAGTAAACAGCTCTATCAAAAAAATCTTGTCAAGAGAAAAAATATTTAACTATGCACTTGAAAAATTTGGGTTCTGAGGGGAGGAGCCAAGATGGCCGAATAGGAACAGCTCCGGTCTACAGCTCCCAGCGTGAGCGACGCAGAAGACGGGTGATTTCTGCATTTCCATCTGAGGTACCGGGTTCATCTCACTAGGGAGTGCCAGACAGTGGGCGCAGGCCAGTGTGTGTGCGCACCGTGCGCGAGCCGAAGCAGGGCGAGGCATTGCCTCACCTGGGAAGCGCAAGGGGTCAGGGAGTTCCCTTTCCGAGTCAAAGAAAGGGGTGACGGACGCACCTGGAAAATCGGGTCACTCCCACCGGAATATTGCGCTTTTCAGACCGGCTTAAGAAACGGCGCACCACGAGACTATATCCCACACCTGGCTCAGAGGGTCCTACGCCCACGGAATCGCGCTGATTGCTAGCACAGCAGTCTGAGATCAAACTGCAAGGTGGCAACGAGGCTGGGGGAGGGGGGCCCGCCATTGCCCAGGCTTGATTAGGTAAACAAAGCAGCCGGGAAGCTCGAACTGGGTGGAGCCCACCACAGCTCAAGGAGGCCTGCCTGCCTCTGTAGGCTCCACCTCTGGGGGCAGGGCACAGACAAACAAAAAGACAGCAGTAACCTCTGCAGACTTAAGTGTCCCTGTCTGACAGCTTTGAAGAGAGCAGTGGTTCTCCCAGCACGCAGCTGGAGATCTGAGAACGGGCAGACTGCCTCCTCAAGTGGGTCCCTGACCCCTGACCCCCGAGCAGCCTAACTGGGAGGCACCCCCCATCAGGGGCACACTGACATCTCACATGGCAGGGTATTCCAACAGACCTGCAGCTGAGGGTCCTGTCTGTTAGAAGGAAAACTAACAACCAGAAAGGACATCTACACCGAAAACCCATCTGTACATCACCATCATCAAAGACCAAAAGTAGATAAAACCACAAAGATGGGGAAAAAACAGAACAGAAAAACTGGAAACTCTAAAACGCAGAGCGCCTCTCCTCCTCCAAAGGAACGCAGTTCCTCACCAGCAACAGAACAAAGCTGGATGGAGAATGATTTTGACGAGCTGAGAGAAGAAGGCTTCAGACGATCAAATTACTCTGAGCTACGGGAGGACATTCAAACCAAAGGCAAAGAAGTTGAAAACTTTGAAAAAAATTTAGAAGAATGTATAACTAGAATAACCAATACAGAGAAGTGCTTAAAGGAGCTGATGGAGCTGAAAACCAAGGCTCGAGAACTACGTGAAGAATGCAGAAGCCTCAGGAGCCGATGCGATCAACTGGAAGAAAGGGTATCAGCAATGGAAGATGAAATGAATGAAATGAAGCGAGAAGGGAAGTTTAGAGAAAAAAGAATAAAAAGAAATGAGCAAAGCCTCCAAGAAATATGGGACTATGTGAAAAGACCAAATCTACGTCTGATTGGTGTACCTGAAAGTGATGTGGAGAATGGAACCAAGTTGGAAAACACTCTGCAGGATATTATCCGGGAGAACTTCCCCAATCTAGCAAGGCAGGCCAACGTTCAGATTCAGGAAATACAGAGAACGCCACAAAGATACTCCTCGAGAAGAGCAACTCCAAGACACATAATTGTCAGATTCACCAAAGTTGAAATGAAGGAAAAAATGTTAAGGGCAGCCAGAGAGAAAGGTCGGGTTACCCTCAAAGGAAAGCCCATCAGACTAACAGCGGATCTCTCGGCAGAAACCCTACAGGCCAGAAGAGAGTGGGGGCCAATATTCAACATTCTTAAAGAAAAGAATTTTCAACCCAGAATTTCATATCCAGCCAAACTAAGCTTCATAAGTGAAGGAGAAATAAAATACTTTATAGACAAGCAAATGCTGAGAGATTTTGTCACCACCAGGCCTGCCCTAAAAGAGCTCCTGAAGGAAGCGCTAAACATGGAAAGGAACAACCGGTACCAGCCGCTGCAAAATCATGCCAAAATGTAAAGACCATCGAGACTAGGAAGAAACTGCATCAACTAATGAGCAAAATCACCAGCTAACATCATAATGACAGGATCAAATTCACACATAACAATATTAACTTTAAATATAAATGGACTAAATTCTGCAATTAAAAGACACAGACTGGCAAGTTGGATAAAGAGTCAAGACCCATCAGTGTGCTGTATTCAGGAAACCCATCTCACGTGCAGAGACACACATAGGCTCAAAATAAAAGGATGGAGGAAGATCTACCAAGCCAATGGAAAACAAAAAAAGGCAGGGGTTGCAATCCTAGTCTCTGATAAAACAGACTTTAAACCAACAAAGATCAAAAGAGACAAAGAAGGCCATTACATAATGGTAAAGGGATCAATTCAACAAGAGGAGCTAACTATCCTAAATATTTATGCACCCAATACAGGAGCACCCAGATTCATAAAGCAAGTCCTGAGTGACCTACAAAGAGACTTAGACTCCCACACATTAATAATGGGAGACTTTAACACCCCACTGTCAACATTAGACAGATCAACGAGACAGAAAGTCAACAAGGATACCCAGGAATTGAACTCAGCTCTGCACCAAGCAGACCTAATAGACATCTACAGAACTCTCCACCCCAAATCAACAGAATATACATTTTTTTCAGCACCACACCACACCTATTCCAAAATTGACCACATAGTTGGAAGTAAAGCTCTCCTCAGCAAATGTAAAAGAACAGAAATTATAACAAACTATCTCTCAGACCACAGTGCAATCAAACTAGAACTCAGGATTAAGAATCTCACTCAAAGCCGCTCAACTACATGGAAACTGAACAACCTGCTCCTGAATGACTACTGGGTACATAACGAAATGAAGGCAGAAATAAAGATGTTCTTTGAAACCAACGAGAACAAAGACACCACATACCAGAATCTCTGGGACGCATTCAAAGCAGTGTGTAGAGGGAAATTTATAGCACTAAATGCCTACAAGAGAAAGCAGGAAAGATCCAAAATTGACACCCTAACATCACAATTAAAAGAACTAGAAAAGCAAGAGCAAACACATTCAAAAGCTAGCAGAAGGCAAGAAATAACTAAAATCAGAGCAGAACTGAAGGAAATAGAGACACAAAAAACCCTTCAAAAAATCAATGAATCCAGGAGCTGGTTTTTTGAAAGGATCAACAAAATTGATAGACCGCTAGCAAGACTAATAAAGAAAAAAAGAGAGAAGAATCAAATAGACACAATAAAAAATGATAAAGGGGATATCACCACCGATCCCACAGAAATACAAACTACCATCAGAGAATACTACAAACACCTCTACGCAAATAAATCAGAAAATCTAGAAGAAATGGATACATTCCTCGACACATACACTCTCCCAAGACTAAACCAGGAAGAAGTTGAATCTCTGAATAGACCAATAACAGGCTCTGAAATTGTGGCAATAATCAGTAGTTTACCAACCAAAAAGAGTCCAGGACCAGATGGATTCACAGCCGAATTCTACCAGAGGTACAAGGAGGAACTGGTACCATTCCTTCTGAAACTATTCCAATCAATAGAAAAAGAGGGAATCCTCCCTAACTCATTTTATGAGGCCAGCATCATTCTGATACCAAAGCCGGGCAGAGACACAACCAAAAAAGAGAATTTTAGACCAATATCCTTGATGAACATTGATGCAAAAATCCTCAATAAAATACTGGCAAACCGAATCCAGCAGCACATCAAAAAGCTTATCCACCATGATCAAGTGGGCTTCATCCCTGGGATGCAAGGCTGGTTCAATATACGCAAATCAATAAATGTAATCCAGCATATAAACAGAGCCAAAGACAAAAACCACATGATTATCTCAATAGATGCAGAAAAAGCCTTTGACAAAATTCAACAACCTTCATGCTAAAAACTCTCAATAAATTAGGTATTGATGGGACGTATTTCAAAATAATAAGAGCTATCTATGACAAACCCACAGCCAATATCATACTGAATGGGCAAAAACTGGAAGCATTCCCTTTGAAAACTGGCAAAAGACAGGGATGCCCTCTCTCACCGCTCCTATTCAACATAGTGTTGGAAGTTCTGGCCAGGGCAATCAGGCAGGAGAAGGAAATAAAGGGTATTCAATTAGGAAAAGAGGAAGTCAAATTGTCCCTGTTTGCAAACGACATGATTGTTTATCTAGAAAACCCCATCGTCTCAGCCCAAAATCTCCTTAAGCTGATAAGCAACTTCAGCAAAGTCTCAGGATACAAAATCAATGTACAAAAATCACAAGCATTCTTATACACCAACAACAGACAAACAGAGAGCCAAATCATGAGTGAACTCCCATTCACAATTGCTTCAAAGAGAATAAAATACCTAGGAATCCAACTTACAAGGGATGTGAAGGACCTCTTCAAGGAGAACTACAAACCACTGCTCAAGGAAATAAAAGAGGACACAAACAAATGGAAGAACATTCCATGCTCATGGGTAGCAAGAATCAATATCGTGAAAATGGCCATACTGCCCAAGGTAATTTACAGATTCAATGCCATCCCCATCAAGCTACCAATGACTTTCTTCACAGAATTGGAAAAAACTACTTTAAAGTTCATATGGAACCAAAAAAGAGCCCGCATCGCCAAGTCAATCCTAAGCCAAAAGAACAAAGCTGGAGGCATCACACTACCTGACTTCAAACTATACTACAAGGCTACAGTAACCAAAACAGCATGGTACTGGTACCAAAACAGAGATATAGATCAATGGAACAGAACAGAGCCCTCAGAAATAATGCCGCATATCTACAACTATCTGATCTTTGACAAACCTGAGAAAAACAAGCAATGGGGAAAGGATTCCCTATTTAATAAATGGTGCTGGGAAAACTGGCTAGCCATATGTAGAAAGCTGAAACTGGATCCCTTCCTTACACCTTATACAAAAATCAATTCAAGATGGATTAAAGATTTAAACGTTAGACCTAAAACCATAAAAACCCTAGAAGAAAATCTAGGCATTACCATTCAGGACATAGGCGTGGGCAAGGACTTCATGTCCAAAACACCAAAAGCAATGGCAACAAAAGCCAAAATTGACAAATGGGATCTAATTAAACTCAAGAGCTTCTGCACAGCAAAAGAAACTACCATCAGAGTGAACAGGCAACCTACAACATGGGAGAAAATTTTCGCAACCTACTCATCTGACAAAGGGCTAATATCCAGAATCTACAATGAACTCAAACAAATTTACAAGAAAAAAACAAAGAACCCCATCAAAAAGTGGGCGAAGGACATGAACAGACACTTCTCAAAAGAAGACATTTATGCAGCCAAAAAACACATGAAGAAATGCTCACCATCACTGGCCATCAGAGAAATGCAAATCAAAACCACTATGAGATATCATCTCACACCAGTTAGAATGGCAATCATTAAAAAGTCAGGAAACAACAGGTGCTGGAGAGGATGTGGAGAAATAGGAACACTTTTACACTGTTGGTGGGACTGTAAACTAGTTCAACCATTGTGGAAGTCAGTGTGGCGATTCCTCAGGGATCTAGAACTAGAAATACCATTTGACCCAGCCATCCCATTACTGGGTATATACCCAAAGGACTATAAATCATGCTGCTATAAAGACACATGCACACGTATGTTTATTGCGGCACTATTCACAATAGCAAAGACTTGGAACCAACCCAAATGTCCAACAATGATAGACTGGATTAAGAAAATGTGGCACATATACACCATGGAATACTATGCAGCCATAAAAAATGATGAGTTCATGTCCTTTGTAGGGACATGGATGAAATTGGAAATCATCATTCTCAGTAAACTATCGCAAGAACAAAAAACCAAACACCGCATATTCTCACTCATAGGTGGGAATTGAACAATGAGATCACATGGACACAGGAAGGGGAATAACACACTCTGGAGACTGTGGTGGGGTCGGGGGAGGGGGGAGGGATAGCATTGGGAGATATACCTAATGCTAGATGACACTTTAGTGGGTGCAGCGCACCAGCATGGCACATGTATACATATGTAACTAACCTGCACAATGTGCACATGTACCCTAAAACTTAGAGTATAATAGAAAAAAAAAAATTAAAAAAAAAAAAGAAAATCTATAACCTTAAAAAAAAAAAAAAAGAAAAATATCCCATTTTAATAAAGGATAATGCATATTAGAAAAAAAAAAAAAAAGAAAAATTTGGGTTCTAGTCTCAAACGCTGAAACTTAGAATTAATTAAATTTTTTTGTTAACTTATATTCTTCTCATTTTAGCATATTTCTTCCTCTTTCCTGTTGGTCTCCATGTGCTGCCAAAATGATGCATAATCCCCAGGGTTTACGAGTCTTCATTCTCTGTAAAGTAGGGGTTTTTTCCCAGAGATAGGGAAGGTATCAGGAAAAAAGGAACAGTTAACCGGGTTATAGCTAATTTTACCTCGCTTATCTTTCAGAAAACTATCTCAGTTTGCCATGGTCCTGGATCCCTTCTCTGTAAAAGGTCCACTTTATCATCTTTGTCTTACTCTGAAATGCTTAACTTACTTAAGAATTTCAGCACTGAGATGTATACATACACACACACCCAGAGACACAGAGACATATTCGTATCACTTTATTGAGATATATTTCACATACCATACAATTCTCTTAAAGTGTACAATTCAGTGGTTTTCAGCATATTCACAGAGTTGTGAAACCATTGCCACAATCATTTTTATAACAGAAACATAGCTTCTAAATTCCCTGAGTCATCATACAGATAGAAACCAAGGTCCAGATGGGTTAAGTTATGTTCCCAAGGTTACAGAGCTGGTCAGTGGCTGAGCCAGACCTAGATCCCTGGAAATTATTTTAGCCATTGACATCATCTGGGGCTCCCTTCCCCTGCCCCAGGTAAGTTCTGTATGAATTAAAACCTGCTGTTAAAATGTTGTCTGAGAAAAACATCTGGCATTTTTTATTATTGAGCTCCCTCATATTATATTAAACCGGTCTGATTTCTCCACCAAATTGTTGCATTGCAAGATTTTTTAGAAAGACTTCTAGAACATATTAAAACATATCTACTGAGTACTTTTAACCACAAAACATGGCTATGAAGCCCAGAGAGAATCTGTGATGCCTCTCCTTTCAGGTAAAGTCATAAATTATTTCCGCTCATGCGAAAAAAAAAAAAAAAAAGACTAAATAAGACGTTCTGTTCATTTCATTTTTAATGTACTGATTACAGGTAGTTAAACCAAACTACCCATGACTAGCAAAATATTTCTCCAGTGCCAATAACTTCCAAGGATTTCAACCATTCATTCTGGTTACTGTCAGAAACCAACTTAAATCACCCAAGGGCTTACGTTATCTCTGAGATTTGCTTATCTTTGAGATTTGCCCCTGTGAAGTCCATACCCAATAAAGGAAAAGTTTTCAAAAGAGGAGGTTCATTTCCTGCCAGTGCTAAGGAAGCCAATGTAACAAGTACAGCCAGCGATTACTCTGGCACTGCTCTGCTCTGCTCTGCTCACAGCAGCACTCGGCCTCCTGGCTGTACCAGCTGAGGACACTCCACAATACCTAGCTCACTGAAGCACTTGTTGATTGCTCCTGCCTTTAAATGTCCCCCTTCCATGATGGTCTTCTCTCTCCTGTCATCTACGAGTTCTTTCTTTCCTGTGTTGTGCCACCCCAAAATTTCATCTATTCAATAAATATTTATTGAGTGGTCACTGCTCAACAATTACTGGGCTAAACATTGTCCCTAAATGGGGGTGCTGTCTAGAGTCTGCCTTTAACTCGCTGTGCCTTTTCTCACTTTTGTCTACACATACATTTTTAAATCTCCGCTTAGGCTGGAAATCACCAAAAATCTGTAGCTCCAGTACCAGCCTCACCCCCTGAGCTGCAGGTCAGGATATGCACCCCAACCCAGGCCAGTGACATGTGAATGTCCCAAAGACCCCTCAAAGTCCCTGGGTTCAGTGGTGAATCCATCATCTCCACCCTCACCTGAATAGCCTCTCCTCCAGGGCTCCTTAACACCTTGAATAGCACCACTGTCCACCCAGTGCCCCCAGCTAGAAACAGCATCACCCAGTTTCCATATGGAAAGAGTGTGAGTGAGGGGACAGCAGTGCCTTTCAGCCTGGAACTGGGGCTAGAAGAAGAGAATCTTCTAATTGCAGTTGCTTTCTATGGGCCAATTTGTGGGAGAAGCAGGATGAGACCTCACCACAAATGTGGACGTTGAATGAAATCTGTCTACCCTGGCTCTAGCAAAATGGGGGCTGGGGTTGCGGGGAGAGGTGGTGAGAAGCAACAGACCCAGCGGTGCTGGTGGGGAACAGGTTTTACAACGTGAGCTCTGCCATAGCTGGAAGAGCCTGCAATGTTGATGTTGAAAAACAAATTTGCTTGTCATCAACACACACACACACACACACACACACACACACACACACATCAATTTCATGTCTCCCCTCCTGTTTTCCTGTTTCCTCTGCTCAGAACGGCTTTCCTCCTATCATCCCACACCCTCAGCCATAATTCTTCCTCATACTTAATTCTCAAATGACATGTCTCCTCCTCCGGGAAGCTCTCCCTGACGCCCCCACTGTGTTATTTGTCATCCTCTGTGCGTGGAGGTGTGTCTAGCACTGTTTGTTTACGTGTCTGTCTCCGTGTCTCCCCTGCAGGCTGTCAGCTCTGTAAGAGCAGAAGCGTGATGCCCAGCCCCGGGCCGACACCGGGAAGACGGTGGGGAGGGGAAGGACCGCGGTAGAGAGCCCCAGCCGGGGAGCCGGGCACAGTCCAGACGGGGCCATTTCGATGCGCGCGCGGGGAGCTCAGCGGGACACAGCCAAGCGCCAAATACACAGCATCTCTGGAGGCGCCGGTGGCCGGTGGAGGATGGGCCCCCCACGAGGCTCTCCCAACCAAACGGCTGGAGACTCGGGGGAGGCCCTGCCGGCATCGTACTCCCTGTGGTCGTCCTCCCCTCGCGCGGGTAGGGGCCCCCCCACGCCCACTCCGTCTCCGCCTCCCGAGTCCCCGCGGCCGCCACCTCTGCCCTCCGCTCCGCAGAATCTCTCCGATTTACAACGGCCCAGGGCAGAGCCGGGGGCCAGGGAATGGGAAGGAGAAGGCGCCAAGACGCCGAGGAGAGAGCAGGCGGCCCCTCACCCCACCCTCGCGCCCTCCTAGGCGGGAAGAAATTGAGCCCCGAGAGAGGCCCTTCAGGGAACAGGAGTCCCAAAGGCCCGGGAGCCTCGGGGGGCCGCAGCCTCCGCGTCCCCCTCCCTCCTTCCCTCCTCTGCGCCTCCCTACCTGGCTGGCTTTGTGGAACTGCTTCTTCAGCCCGGCCACCGACATCGCGACTGCGACCGGCAGGGGCGGGGTGGTCTCAAGGCTCGGCTGGGCCACGCGGCCGCGACGCGCTCGGGGAGCGGGAGCCCGGGCCGGTCCCCCCGCGGCTGGGCTCCGCCGGGCCCGCCTCCCACGGCCACGGCCACAGCCACAGCCGCTGTCACACTCGCACACACGCGCGCACGCCGATGGCAACACTGCGTTCCAAAGCCCCTGCGCAGCCCATTGGCCAAGCCGCGGCGATATGCAAATGAAGCTGCTGGGGCCGCCCACGCTTCATTGTTGCGTGGAGACCTGGGCTACTTGAGCCGCGCAGAAGACCGGCCTGGGAAGCTGGGCGTGGGGATGTCCTGGGGGTCGGGGGAGTACAGTCACACAGTGCTTCTTGCTGGGCGCGGGACGATATAGATCTAGCTCTGAGATTGTCATGGGTACCGGGAGAGAGATCAGTTCTCTCTGCTTCTGTCTTGGTGCCGAACCGGCTTTGGCTCACAGGCAACATCGCCTCCCTCCGGCGCATTTTCGCTCGGTGTATGTTTAAGAAAGGAAGGCTCAGAAATGCGCCTAGGGAGGGACAACAAATGCAACTCGATGGGGGACCTGTGGTAGGAGGAAGCGGTCTGTGGGTGGCGGGCTTTCTTCTCTCTCCACGCGGTGCTCTGGGTGCAATCTGCTCAAATGATTTTGGTCTTCTGGGAGCCCTAGAGTTATGGAGTAATTTACTAATAAATACGGTGCTAGCTCACTTGGTGCTCTGAGCCCGCTGTCAACGGCACTAAAAGCAACCATCTCCAAGGTGCCATAAAGAGCTCGTTGCATATCCGGCGGAGTCCACCAGACCAGGAACCCAGCTCTCTCGGTAACCCCTACCAGCTGTGTCAGTTACAGAGTGTCCATTTGCACAGAGTCCAGAGGTCGACGCACTCACAGCTAAGCCCAGCCAGGGACATGGAGCATTGCGTTAACCTCGTGTTAGAGCTATCCCCAAAAGGTACAGCATCTTCGCTGAATCTGGCTTCCAAAGGTCCCGAGGATTCCCAAACCTAGAATATATGTTTGGCAACGCTTCACACTGAAAAACAAAAACATTTCCCACCTTCAGTCTCTTTTTGGGCCCTTAGCAGGTCCCATCTGGGGTGACGAGCAGTCCCTGTCTGCCCTGGACACTTCGGGTATATGCCTGTGCCCTGGTGTCCACCTGCCATAACATTTCTCCAGGACAAAAGTCATGCAGTTCCTCCCCTAGCTGTTAGCTCCCAGCGCCCAGTCGGGGCTAGTCCTAACCCTGACTTCATCCTAGTGAGGACTGGGCAAGTAAGTACACACCTCTCTGGGCCTTGGTTTCCTCACTTCTACTTGAAGCATGTAGACTGGAATAAACAGTGTTCCTCCTCTGATACTGGGGAAAAAATGCTTGAACTTAGTGGAGATCGTGGGATAAGGGCAGCCAGTCAGAGGGTTAATGAGCATGACTTGGGTGAGTGTTGTGGGCTTACCTGCCTGACACCAGCCACTGATAGATAACTAAAAAGTGTGAGGGTGGTGACAGCTGGGTCAGAATGGCGTAGCAAGATGACCTGTCCATACAACAGTTCAAATGCCTCTCAACAGTGGGCTTCACCGCAGGCCAACCACTACATAAGGCAGAGAGCCAGCTGCAGCTGGAGTCCAGGATTGGCAGGTCTCTCTTGTCCTAGGCTATTCAGGGCTGCTCAGCTTCCTCTTTCTCCATGCTCCAGAGAGGTTTAAATAGCACCGGTTCTATGGTACCTCCCCCTAGACCAATCCGGCTCTGTGCCCTTTGGGAGGAGGGGGGTGCTTTTTTTTCAAACAGTTTATTGGCATTTCCTCCACAGTCGTTAGTACATTCAAGTTTCTCACTTCAGTTGATTTTGGTAATTTATCTCCTTCATTAATCAAGTATAGAGTTGAAGATCATACTTTTTAAACTTCAGAATCTTTCATATACATTTTCTCCTTTGTAAAAGTTTTTGTGATTTGTCTTAATTTTTTCAGTGAATAGATTTATTGGAGGTTTGCTGATTTTATTGGTCTTTCAAAATATTTTTGAAGGTACTCATCATTGCTACAGATTTTTCTCTCTCATTGATTTTTCTTTCATTATTCTTACACATTCCTTCCTTCACTTTTGTTCAGAAGACTAGTGAGAGTTTGAGGGTTTTAACAATAGAAACTGACTCTAGCTAACATAAGCTGGAAAATATGTATTGGAGAAGGATGTCAGGCAGCCTGGAGATTCACAGGAGGGGTGTAGGGAACAAGGTGGAGGGGATGAGCAGGAATTAGGAATCTGAGCACTGAGATCCACAGGGTGTCCAGGAACAGCTTGATTGGGATATGCTGGCTCTGCCACTGAGCCCTGGCCATGGCTACCAGAATGAAGGCTGCCCTTTCAGGCAGTCACTCCAGCTGCATAGTAGCAAGGGCAGCATCTGATTGGTGGATTCACTCCATGGCAGATTTCCCTACTATAGGAGGAAGCTTCAGAGGTTAGGCAGCCAAATTTTATATATATATATATTATATCATATATTATATATATATAATATATACATTCTTTAATATATACCATGTTAGAGAATATATAATATATATTAGAGAATATATATAAAAATAATATATATAAGCAACAACAAATGCCCATTAAAGTGTATTTGGGTATCCTTAATCTCATGTCTTTTATTTATTTTTATAAAACTATAAATTTTCCTCCTGAGTATGGCTTTGGTTTCATACCTTGTTTTCATGAATGATATGGATCTCCTATTTTCTAAATAAAACTTGTCATTACAGTTTTGAGTTCCTCTTTGATCCAAATGTTATTCAGGATAATTTTTTAAAAAGCTTTTCTAGGCTGGGCATGGTGGCTCACGCCTATAATCCCAGCACGTTGGGAAGCCGAGGCAGGCAGATCACGAGGTCAGGAGAGCGAGACCATCCTGGCTAACACGGTGAAACCCCATCTCTACTAAAAAGTACAAAAAATTAGCCAGGCGTGGTGGCGGGCACCTGTAATCCCAGCTACTCGGGAGGCTGAGGCAGGAGAATGGCATGAACCTGGGAGGCGGAGCTTGCAGTGCGCCAAGATCGCACCACTGCACTCCAGCCTGGGCGACAGAGTGAGACTCAGTCTCAAAAATAAAAAAAATTAAAAAAATTAGCTGGTCATGGTGGTGCATGCCTGTAGTCCCAGCTACTCTGGAGGCAGAGGCAGGAGAATCACTTGAACTCAGGAGGTGGTGGTTGCAGTGAGCCAAGATGGTGCCACTGCCCTCTAGCCTGGGCGACAGAGTGAGACTCTGTTTAAAAAAAAAAAAAAAAAAAAAAAAACCTTTTCTAGGTGGTTTGATTTTTTAAAATTTATTCTATGTTAAATTCTAGACTTGTGATACTATCGTCAAATAACATGTCTTGAAAGGTTTTTTTTAAACATAGCCTGTCATGTTTCATTGTAAACACATATCATAGAGGTTTGAAATACTGTTCATTTTGTGTTTCTAATGTACAGTTTTTTAGTTCATCTGTAACAAGAGTGTGTATTCTACACAGCTTCTAGCTCAGAGGAAGATTTCCAACTCATGCTAGCTAGAGCCCCCTTGGCCAGCTCAAGGCTTTCCCCTTCACGTCACCATCACCCTTCAATCACTAAGGGCCCACAGCTCCTCTGTTTAGGGAAGGGGGGTACAAGTGTATACAAGTGTCCTGGACTGTTTGACAGATTTGTCTACATATGGAATGAAATTGATGGGGACTGGGAAGTGTCCTGAGGCACTGACACACATCCCTCTGAACTGAAGGATTTTTGGGCATTTGGTGGTCTTCACAAGTCAATGACAAGAGGGACACTGTGGTTGTCTCTGGCACTCTGCCAGATGGCCCATGTTCTGGCAGAGGTTTCAGTGTTCTCTTAAGCTCTTTTTCTTTTTTTCTTTTCTTTTTTTTGGAGATGGAGTCTCGCTCTGTCGCCCAGGCTGGAATGAGGTGGCACAAACTTGGCTCACTGCAACCTCCACCTCCTGGGTTCAGGTGATTCTCCTGCCTCAGCCTCCCAAGTAGCTGAGACTACAGGCATGCACCACCATGCCCAGCTAATTTTTTTTTTGTATTTTAGTAGAGACGGGGTTTTCCGGAGCTGAGGCAATCAGCCCACCTCAGCTTCCCAAAGTGCTGGGATTACAGGCGTGAACCACTGCTCCTGGCCTATGCTCTTTTTCTTGTGGCCTTTGACTCACCTCCAGGCCAGCTTTTGAGTCTAATGAGTATTTGCATTCCTTGTGTCTGGTTCTGTAGCAAGTGACTCATATCTATCTGGGGGGCATTGTTGGGGGGCAGAAGAATTCTGGGTAGGGGTTAGAAGGGGAGGGAAGCATGCTTATTAATGTTCAAAATATCCCATCATATATCTCATAAATCAGGTATGAGCATGTTCAAATGCTCTGTGTTCCAATATTTTTCTTTTTTTTTTTTTTTTTTTTTTTTTGAGATGGAGTCTCGCTCTTTCGCCCAGGCTGGAGTGCAGTTGCGCTATCTCGGTTCACTGCAAGCTCTGCCTCCTGGGTTCACACCATTCTCCTGCCTCAGCCTCCCGAGTAGCTGGGACTACAGGCGCCCGCCACCGTGCCCAGCTAATTTTTTGTATTTTTAGTAGAGACGGAGTTTCACCATGTTAGCCAGGATGGTCTCGATCTCCTGACCTCGTGATCCGCCCGCCTCGGCCTCCCAAAGTGCTGGGATTACATATTTTTCTACTTTATTCGTCAAAGAGAGGTACTATATTCTACTCTACAATCTCTTGCTACAATTGTGATTATGTCTGTTGCGTCTTATATTTGGGACTTTTGTTCTAAACATTTCAGTGCTATGGTATTCTGTTTATAGGTATTTATTATTGTCATATCTTCCTTGTCGATTTTTTCTTTTATCTGTAGAAAAAAACATATTTTGTCCTACTTACAGCTTTTTGCCTTCTATTTTACTTTGCCACATACCCATATTTGTATCCTTACTTTTTGTGTATATGTGCTTCTTATGTCTTAATTGGTCTTTTGGCCTTTCATTTTGTTGTAGACACGTGCTGCTATAAACAGAGTAAAATTTAATTTTGTTTCTGGACCAAAATATGTCTTTGCCGTTTCCTAGAGAGATTTAAGCATTTATATTTATTACAAAAAGAAAAATTGTCATTGTGTGGTATGTTATTATTTTTCTTCTACATAGTTCCTTTTTGGGTTTTTTTTGGGTTTTTGTTGTTGTTGTTGTTGTTGTTGTGTTGTTGTTTTGAGACAGGGTCTTGCTCTGTTACCCAGGCTCTGGAGTGCAATAGCACAATCATGGCTCACTGAAGTCACAACCTGGGCTCACGTGATCCTCCCACCTCTCCCTCCCAGGTAGCTGGGACCACAGGCACATGCCACCACACCAAGCTGATTTTTTTTTTTTTTTTTGTACAATGGGGTCTCACTATGTTGCCCAGGCTGGTCTCAAACTCCTGGGCCC
Organism: Homo sapiens; assembly: GCF_000001405.40. Classification (NCBI taxonomy): domain Eukaryota; kingdom Metazoa; phylum Chordata; class Mammalia; order Primates; family Hominidae; genus Homo; species Homo sapiens. The sequence continues at coordinate 83,442,022 of NC_000015.10, read as the reverse complement.
GAGTGATTCTCCTGCCTTGGCCTCCCAAAATGTTGGGATTATAGGCATAAGCCATCATGCCCAGCCATAGTTCTTTCTTCTATCATTATTATCTATCTATTACTCAGATTTTCTTTGCTTTTTCTTCCTCTTTGCTTTTGGAAATTATTCATCTAATTTTTACTCAATGAGTGATTACCACTGACCTAAAATATATTTGAATTTATATTCTCTATCAGCATCAATAATTAAACACTTTATGGAAGCCACGGCATGACTAGAATGAGCCATGGTCAGAGCACATCCACTAGGGCCACCTCATCACCTCCTTCTACTCAGACCACCTCCTGCTCCATATGAGAACCCTCAGGCAGAGACCAGAATGGGCCCAGTACCTTTTTTCTGAAACAGCAAATGAACCAGGGGGAGACTAGGGTGCAGAGTGTTGGTTTTAAGACACGGGGGCAAAGATGGAGTGACGAGAATTTAAAAACAAGTTTTGAGATAAAAGAATTGTGAAACTGTTTGAAATTCAAAATATTTTCATAAGTATATATTTTCTATTATACAATAACATTTAGAGGAAATTTGGAAATCATCAAAAAATAAAAGGATGGAAAAACTACCTTTGGAATCATATTTGAAACAATCACTCTTAATATTTTGGTATATTTTTCTTGTAGAGTATTTTTCCTGTAAAATTTAAGCATAACAGTGACATGACTATGCATACTGTATTTTCTTTGTTCTCTTAGTTAACTGAGCATTTCCTATATTGTCTAGTCTTCACACACAACATTTTAATGACAACTTAAACCATTGTAGATATATCAAATTATATTTGATTATTTTCCATTAATACACATGTAAAGGTTCCCACCCCCCATATTTTTCCTGATTTAAATAATGCCACATTAAACATCTTTTTCCATATTAAAGTTTTCTTTCTATATTTAGGAATGGACTTTCCTTAGGATGGACTCCACTCTGAGATGTAAAATTAGTGCATCAAAGAATTTGAACAATTCTAAATACTATATATATGTATGTAAAATGCAGTTTTCATTGCTCCCATGATACACAGTCATTAGAGAAGCATCTTGTAAAAAAAAAAAAAAAAAAAAAAAAAAGGCGGGAGGAGGAGAAACGAGGCAAAGAAACATGGATATGGGATTTGTGTCTTCCACTTGCCTTGAATTGAATTTAATGTCATTAAAAAATTCACTGGCCAGGCGCAATGGCTCACACCTGTAATCCCAGTGCACTTTGGGAAGCCAATGCGGGTGGATCACTTGAGGCCACGAGTTGGAGACTAGCCTGGGCAACAGGGCAAAACCCCGTCTCTACCAAAAATACAAAAAATTAGCCGGGCGTGGTGGTGCACACCTGTAGTCCCAGCTACTCAGAGGCTGAGGTGGGAGAATCACTTGAACCTGGGAGGTGGAGTTTGCAGTGAGCTGAGATTGCACTACTGCACTCCAGCCTGGGCAACAGAGTGAGACCTGTCTCAAAAAAAAAAAAACACAAAAAACAAACAAAAACAACAACAACAACTCATCAACCTGTAGCCTAATACACGCTCCAGATTGCAGTGCCTGGCAGACCTCGGAGAGCCAAGTTCAAATACTGATGCCTTCTATTAACCTTAAAATGTTAGCTTAACCATGACCTCTCTACGTCTAGCTTTCTCTCTCTCTTTTTTTCCTGAAAAAAAAAAATCTCTTACCCAAACTTTCTTCTTAGGAGGCCTCCTGGGTTACTTGTGCATGAAAGGGTGGGGCTTTGGCCCACTAACTGCATAGCAGTTGTGCAGTGTGCCAAGTATTTAGATAAACCAGATCTAGAAGCATTATTTCTCTCAGTTGAATTCCCTCACATACCTGGCTGCAGCAGAAAGCTGAAAGCACAGATACTGTTTTTGCTTTCCTTGTAACTTCATAGGTGTTTTTTTGTTTTTTTTTTCCACATCTGGGAAAGATGTGTGCCCACCGATGAGGTAACAGCAGACATGATGAATCCCAGATGTTGAACATGGCAATTTGCCTTGAACTCACAAGATCACAACTGGGAACAAACGTACAGATTTTCTTTGCTTATTGTTTTACAAGAAGCTGAGGGAAAATCAATTGACAGTTAAGAAAAGGCCAGAAAGACTTTTCATTTTAAAATGTAGAGGAAAAATCTGAAGTATTTTTATTTGTTTAAAAATGAGGATGGGGCCGGGCATAGCGGCTCCCGCCTGTAGTCCCAACACTTTGGGAGGCCGAGGCAGGCCACTTGAGGCCAGGAGTTCGAGACCACCCTGGCCAAATAGAGAAACGCTGTCTCTACTAAAAAATATAATTACTTGGATGAGGCCGGGCGCGGTGGCTCACGCCTGCAACCCAGCACTTTGGGAGGCCGAGGCAGGCGATTCACGAGGTCAGGAGATTGAGACCATCCTGGCTAACAAGGTGAAACCCCGTCTCTACTAAAAATACAAAAATTAGCCAGGAGTGTTGGCGAACGCCTGTAGTCCCAGCTACTTGGGAGGCTGAGGTGTGAACCCTCAGCCTTGAGGAGAATGGCGTGAACCTGGGAGGCGGAGCTTGCAGTGAGCCGAGATCGCGCCACTGCACTCCAGCCTGGGCGACAGAGCGAGACTCCGTCTCAAAAAAAAACACACACACACACAATTAGTTGGGTGTGTGGGTGTGGTGGCACTTGCCTGTAAACCTAGCTTCTTGGGAGGCTGAGGCACGAGAATCACTTGAACCCAGGGCAGAGGTTGCAGTGAGCCGAGATGGCACCACTGCACTCCAGCCTGGGTGACAGAGCGAGACTCTGTCTCAAAAAAAAAAAAAAAAAAAAAAGGATGGGGTAAAGAGCACACTGCACAACTGCTATGCATCTCAATAGTAAAGGCAAAAGGGAATTAATGCATGTCATAGTTATCTACAATGCTTGACTCTGCTTTTCCGGAACCTATCAACAAACATTCAGTTAGAATTCTGGGCCATGCTGTAATTCCAATTAGCCTTTGTTAATTACATAGGTGCCATTTTACATTTCCATATTTTACCCTGGAGGATTTATTTTTCACTTCTACTAAAGAGATGCATAAAAGTTTGTGTTGGGGATGAGGAATTAGCCGAGCGACGCAGATGGCGTTCATAAACCCCTGCTGCCACCTTGTGGTGGTGTTGAGAAGCGACAGAGGTAAGCCTTTCTGAACTGTGAGTCTATAGTGGTTAGTTTCATGTCGTTTACTTCTAACTTTTAAAAAAGCACACTAGCATCTTGAGTCTTGACACAACAGCTCATTTTAATGGTGTGGCATGCAAAAATGTTGCCACAGAAATTTTCAGTTCTTACTGGAAGAATCTCAAGAAGAGCTGTCCCATCCCTATGGCATCAGCCATATAGGTAGAAGAACACATAGAAAATGGTATCATGCTACCAGAGGAGGAATTCGGAGAAAAAGGAAGTGACCACTAGAGTCAATGGTTACAATAGCAGTCCCCGGCTGGGCGAAGTGGCTCACACCTGTAATCCCAGCACTTTGGGAGGCCAAGGCAGGAGGATCACTTGAGCCCGGGAGTTCAAGGCAGGAGTGAGCTATGATTGCACTCCAGCCTGGGCAACGGAGAGAGACTCTGTCTCTAAAAATCAACAAAAACAACAAAAAGCACACAATGCCATCATTTTCTATCTATTCCCTCTACTCACTTTATTCCCTTCCATGGCACTTTATCTACCTGATATTTTAGTATATATGTATATATATACACATACATATATATGTTTTAGATTGTCATTTATCTCCCACTACCAGAGTGAGTGAAAGCACTATTAAGCAGCACTGCCCAGTTGAACTTTCTATGATGATGGACATGTTCTCTATCTGTGCTGTCCAATATTGGCAACCACTACCCAACTGTGGCTATCAATCACTGAAAAGTTGACAATGGATGCTTTCATTTTGAATTTAATTTTAATTAATTAAAATTAAATAGCCACACGTGGCTAGTGCTACTGTGTTGGACAACGCAGCTTTAGAAGGGCAAGAGAATTAATCTGCTTTATTTACTGCAACCTCCCAATACCAGAGAATAGCTGGAGTCCTAGAGCGGCTCAAAAAACATAAATATTCAGTTAATGAATAAATAAATAACCATGAATAGAGCAGACAAGCACCTAAAATAATGTATCAGATTTAACATGAAGTTGGGGGTGATGATTAAAGAGGAGTGGTGGTAAAAGTAGGTGGTGTTAAGGGCCAAGAAAATGTGAGAGGTCATTGTCATGTTGTGCATTCAGGGGGAAGTGAGCAGTGGTCCTGCTAGTACTGACCTCCAAGGAACGGTGTGTTTTCTCTGCAGCCAGAGGTTGCACTAACAGCTGGGAATCCTGCCGTGATGGTCAGCAGCGGAGGGAGCACAGGAAATAGGGTCTTCTCGTGGGGACATCTGGCCAGGTGTCCACAGCAGCTGTCACAAAAGATAGGAAGTTCCCATCTAATGTGGCCTTGTCCCTGATCTTGTGGGAGCCCTGGCCCCTTAAGAGCACTATGAGATTGATAACAATGTCCTCACAGGTGTTGTAGGACCTAAGGAAGCGCCGTTAAATGCACGAGACGTTTAATTAGTAGCATTATTACCTATGGCTTGATCCTTTCCTGGTCACTGGTCAGGGTTACATAGAAATCTCTGGCCTTCATTGGCCATGGGAGATTGTTGCCCTAGATCCCACCGGTCTAAGCTTGCTTAAACTCCTCTACCTGTCTACTCCAGTCACCAACTGGTACTAATGCTTTAACTGTGCCCATTGTCCCCATTCCCCTTTGAGAAAAAATGTCAAATTCTTTTTACAAAATATGCTAAATGAATGCATTGAAGACACCAGTCATCAAGACTCAGAGGCAATAGTTACAGAATTGTATTTTACTAAATTATTCTAAGAAAATCCAGAAAGAATGACACATTTAATTTTAAGGCCAAAATGCTTGCTGGGCCACTAAAAAGTGTGCTTTTTCTACCCATTTTTCTATGAGTCATAGAAAAAAAATAAATCCCCAGATTGACTTTATATTTCTCTTTTCAGTTGTCCTTGTGAAAAGAAATTGTGGTTCCCTTTTAGTGTAAGATGCTGCTGCATTTGCAAATGTAGCAGCAATGTACTTAGCATCTGGTATTTCAGGAATCTCCCCCTTGTGTTATGTGTGCCTCTAATCATACAAGAAAAGTTTAGACAGTGTCTATCCCTGAGTTGATTTGTATTTTAGTTAGTCTATTACTGTTAGGATTACGGTCTATAGGGGGCAGTGAGGGACCTGAAAGTAAAACAGCGGAGCTTTAAAATGCACACTGTCCAGGGTGATTCCATCGCTCTCTAAAGCAGTGCTTTACAATCTTTAATGTGCACGTGGATCCCCTGGGGCACCGGTTAGAATGCAGGTTCTGTTTCCCTGGGTCTGCACGAGGGCCCAAGGCCTGAGCCTCTGCATTTCTACCAAGCTCCAAGGTGATGACAGTGTTGCTGGTCTGGGACCACAGTTAGTAGCAAGGCTGTAGGTGACAAGTCCCCATCAGTCTCACAGAGACCCAGGATGCAGTTTTTCTACTTAACACACCTTCGTTACATGAATAGTGAACATGCACAGCCAACAGCTCCTGAGTTCGATAAATTGACTGGATGGAAAATAGCTGAGTACCAGCTATGTCTTTCCCTTGGCCATGGGGATGGCATTTTTTCTCTTCTGGGTTAGCATCTCTGCTGGTAAACTTTAGAGGCTGATATCATCATCACTTTGGCCCTGGTGGGTATAAAGTTCTGAGCCTGATTTTGCCAGATTTTGTCCAAGGAATAGAATATGCCCCAACCCATGAAGCACAGAACTAGTGGCCTGCAGCCACCTTCCACAGCCCAGGCCATAGGAGGCCCCTGGATATGCGAGGGGAAAGAATTCACAGTGTGCACAGAACGTGCCAGGCCCACGGTGCACTCTCATGGCCACTCTTTGAGATATGCGTGACCAAGTCAGGGATGAGGAGACAGAGCTCGGAAAGATGAAGTGTTACGCAACAAAATGTGATTGACTCGCCTCACAGGCTGTGGCTACAGAAGCCCGCACATTGGCCTGGAGAGAACCAGGACCTGGGTGCACTTGACTATTCCTTGCTCTAAAGCACACTAGGTTTCATTCATTGCTTCATTTATTTGACACACATTTATTAAGCACCTAAGAGTGTCTGGCCTTGTGCTGGGAGCCAAGTCAGTAGAGATGAAGGTTTTTATTCTATAGAAGCTCACATTTGAAACACATGGGCAGCTTTCCATAAAGTGTCCCATGTGGTCTTAGGAAAAGCAGGAGTCTAGAGAAGTGGCTGGAGTCTAGTGAGTCCCTGCCTCTGACTCCTTCAAGTGCTTTTCCCTGACCAGAGAAATGCAAGACTATTCATTTAGTATTACATGGTGTGTATTTGGAGACTGGATTACTTTGTGCCTTAATGTGATCTTTATTTCACTGTAGTGACGGATGGCTTTATTCTCCTCACTACCAGACCCTGAGCTGGAAAATTTGGCTTAGTAAGCCTGTGTTAGACTCACTGGCACTGTTCCATCCTTGTGGCTTTGCCTGACTCCTGACCCTTTCCTGCCCACTCCCTCTGGGGAAGGAGAGCCAGTGCAGCTGAAGTGATGGAGGACTTTCAGGGTGCCGACGCACACACTCCGCACCCAGCCTCCTCGTGCTCTGCCAGCTCATTTTGGTCAAGCTTCTGGAAGACAAAGTTTACCTTGCCCGCTTCTGTACACACACACCCCCCCCCCCCGCCCACGAAACTAGTACAGAACCTGACAAACTGCCCACACACAAAACAATTTTTGAGAAGCCACTGAATGACTTAAAAATCTTACCCATGGGTTTGCAGAGCAGGAAGGGACTGACTTCAAAGTTCATTTCGTTTTGGGCAAAACTGATGTAAGCTGTTAGAAATCAGGATACTGTTTACCCTTAGGAGAGGCAGTCCTGACAGGAACGGGTCACGATGAAGCCATGGGTGCCGCTAATATTTGAATTCTCAGTCTGTGTGCACACGAGGGTTAATTCTGTGAGTCCATTGAGTCCTAGTCTTAAAATATGTGCACTTTTCTATATGCATGAAGAAACTACATTAAGTTCATAGCTTTTGACTACATCTAGCAGAAAGTTTTAAAAGAGGAATTAAATAATAATGCTTAAATCAATGACAATGCACAAATGCCCTGAATTTTCTCCTTTGCAGGTCCATCACTTCTGTTTAAAAACAAAACAAATCACCAATCACCTAATCCTGGCCACCCCCGTGCAATACATTTAAGGCTCAAAACTTCAAAAACAACCCGTCCTCTCCTGTTTTCCATTCTGCTTTTGCCCTTCCCCCGACTGACACTTGTGGGATGACCTCACCTGATTTCTATATAGAAAATTGTGTCCAGCTGGTGTTAGTTCCCTCCAGCCCCCTCATCTCCACTTGAATGTGATCCTGGGAACCTGCGTTTTCCTCTCATACTTCCTTCTGATTGTGGGGAAAAGGACCCCCATCTCCTCTTCTCTCTGCAGCTCACTTCCAGGAAAGTGTGGCCCTCACACATCCCCCCAGGAGGGGAGCATGCCCGCCCTAAGGTAGCAAATGCTGGATGTTCCAGACCTGGCCCCAACTCATTTTCCAAGTTCTTCAGTTTCAGGAAAATAATTTGAGACTCTTCTCTACCTTTGAAGGACATTGGTAGGGTTGTCTCCTGGGATTTGTGAGTTTATCTTTTATACAATCTTGACCCTTTGATTTCTGTCTTACATTTTCTTGATTTCCCAATATGGGGTCTAATTTTAAGTGGTTCTGGAAGTTTGGATGTTCAGGCTCTTGCAAATAATTTGGTTGAATGGACTGAAACACTCGAGTTTCCCTGAATACCTGAAATTTCTTAACTCTCTAAACTGGGTACTTTGGCTATGCAGTCTCAGAGTCCAAGGTCCAGCTCTTGTTTTTCTGTTCTTCACAAGACCCAGATAAAGTGTGTAGGAGAGAAGTACCAGGTGCCACCCAATCTCGGTCCCGACTTGCTGGAGGGCCCTGAAGAAGCTGTTTGCATAAAAGCCAAAGCATCGATTCCCTTAACGACACATTTTTCTAAAATTTACAGTTGTATGATCTATTCTAGTTCACATGTGACATGAGATTCCCACAGGCATTTAACCTAGGGAGTGAAGTCTAAGTGTGCTTCCTTGAGTAGGCATCTTGTTCAGGGCACAACCCACGCTTTTGGAGATTTGGGGTAAGTTTTGATGTCTTTCTGATTCCTCTACTTTTGATCATATTAGTAACTATTTTTTAGCCAATCCTTCTAAGGGTACTTCAACTTTATTTTCATGTCTCTAGTACATATTTAACAAATTCCTAGAATTTATATCCAATATATCAGATGTATCTCTTTGAAGTGTCTTATTTCCACTTTGCTGCCTAAAAATTGATTTTATAGAACTTGGTGCACCATAGGAAACTATTAAGCAAATCGTGGCATACAGAGGGTTTATACCAAATTAATGAGGCCGCCCAGATAGAATGAAAAAAGGCAAGAGCTATAACATAACTTCATTCAGCTCCTTTGCACTTTTATTTATTTATTTGTGTACCTTTAAAAACAAAGAATTAGGGATCATAAAATTCTAATTGATACATCCAACATTATTTGCTTAAATTTAAAAAATATTTTTGTAATTTTTTTCCCTCCTCCATTTTCTTCCTAGAGCCCACCCCCTCCAGGCTAAGATAATTGAACAAGATGCTCATAATATTACCCAAGTCTTAGAAGAAGACAGACACTCCTCAGGATAATAAAACACAGGAGATATGCCAACAGCACAAGATATCTGATATATTTTAGGTAATCCACCTGGAGACCAGATGACCATAATGGCCTTTTTCCATCCCACCAGCCGGATCTGAGGCTCCCTTTACCCTGTCTCCAGCAACGGGTCTGGACAAAACAGGAAAACCCACTCCAAAGGGCTAATCCACAGACTGACAATGCATAGCCAGGGCCAGGGCCCAGGAAAAAGATGAGGGGTAAAAGGGCTGACAGCAAGAGATGGGACGGAAGAGATCCAAGGGCATCTCCTTCTGCTTCTGCACTGACAGAGTCATTATGGACTGCGAGTACATGTGGAAGAGATACTGAGAAGACAGAGAAATATGATTGACTATAAAGGGTGCCCCCAAGCTTGGAATAAGGCCTACTACTCAGAAATGGTACATGGGGATGAGCTGAGTAGACTATTCCTTAACCACTCCTTTTACTCCGAATACAATCATGACAAAACAACATTTTGGTTAATAACGGGCCACATATGCAATAGTGGTCCCATAAGATTTTAATACTGTTTTTGTTTCTTTGCTGCTTGTTTGTTTTTAGAGACAAGATCTCACTCTGTTACTCAGGCTGGAATGCAGTGATGCGATCATAGCTCGCTGCAGCCTCCAACTCCTGGGCTACAGCTATCTGCCCACCTTACCTCTCAATAAGTAGCTAGGATTACAGGTGCAAGCCACCATACTCAGCTAATTTTTAAAAATATTTTTGCAGAGATGGAGTTTCACTATGTTTCCCAGGCTGGTCTCAAATTCCTGGCCTCAAAAGATCCTCCTGCCTTGCCTCCCAAAGCACTGGGATTATAGGTATAAGTCACTGCACCAAGGCCTAATACTGTATTTTTAGTGTACCTTATTTATGTTTAGATACACGAATACTTACCATTATGTTATAATTGCCTACAATATTCAATACAGTAGCATACTGTACAGGTCTGTAGCCTAGGAACAATAGGCCACACTATATAGGCTAGGTGTATAGTAGACTAGACCATTTAGGTTTGTGCATGTATACCCTATGAAGTTTGCATGATGATGAAATCACCTCATGATGCATTTCTCAGAACCTATCCCCATTGTTAATTAAGCATGACTTTAGACCGATTCTATCACTTGAACAATGAAGTTAAGAATTGATTGAAGGAAGTTTTCACTTAACCAAGGCAGATGGAACACACATGTTTACCTCCACCTCTTCCCAAAACCTCATAGAAGGACACTAAAGGAATAAGAAGGAGAATGACAGACTACAGATGTCAATCAAATTTGTGAATATGTAAAGCAGTTGTATGAATGGTACAGACTTAGCTGTGAAAGCAGAAATCTGACTGCCTGCAGGGGAAGAGAAACTGGTAAAAAGAAACTGACTCCCAGCCCAGAAGCCTGGGAAGTTTCAGGAATTGAGATAAAAGCACTTGCAAAGGGAGAGGACAGGATGGGTTAAGCAGTGCGAGTGAGTTCCTAAAAGCAGAACTCACTCCAGGAGGGCTGTCTGTAAGGGAAAACCAGGAAACTCGGATGTTACTTGAGTGTGTGTGACAGCATCAGAAATGTGTAAGAGTTATTTCAGAATGTTTGGGGCTGAATCAGTGATAATTAATGTCTATAAAACTCAGGAAATAAAAAGTAAGACAATTATTTAAAATGGTATAAGTTAAGTAAAATCATAATACATGCTCTAGCTATGAATAGTATTTTCATAGTCACAATGACAATACAAAATCTTCACTTGACAAAAAAATGTGATATAGGTTGGGAGCAGTAGCTCATGCCTGTAATCCCAGCACTTTGGGAGGCCAAGGTGGGCAGATCACCTGAGGTCAGAAGTTCCAGACCAGCCTGGCCAACATGGTGAAACCCCATCTCTACTAAAAACACAAAAAGTGAGCCAGGCGTGGTGGCAGGCACCTGTAGTCCTAGCTACTTGGGAGGTTGAGGCAGGAGAATCACTTGAACTCAGGAGGTGTAGGTTGCAGTGAGCTGAGATAGTACCACTGCATTCCAGCGTGGGCGACAGAGTGAGACTCCGTCTCAAAAAAAAAGTGATAACTACACTGGGAGGACGGGGAGAGGGAATGTATGGTGGTTTAGAAAGTATAATAGAATTTCAGTCATAAAGTCGATAGATGATTTCTAAAATTTCAAAAATCATAAGCAGTAGTATAAACATGTTGTGTAGAAATATCAAGATTTTAAAAAGAGAGACAGAAGAAAAACTTAGAAGAGTTTTAAGGATTTCTTCTGAGTGGTGAAGATGGGAAGCAGAAACTGAGGTTCCAGGAGACTACAGTAGAGGACTGCCTACTTTCCTATAAGTCACTCAGTATCATTTGTCTTTTAAAATTATGCACATATATTGCTTTGGTCAGAATTAAATTACTTTTTAAAAAGGAATTTGTTAGGCTTTTTTTTTAATTAAGTGTGTGTGCACATGCGTGTGTGCTTTTGGTTGAGAAAGAATTAGACCACAACTTTACTGCTCCTAATCACCAGCAGATGTGTGGGGTTCTTCATGGTATAAGGGGGGGGTGGGATTGGAAGAGACCACAACATGTGACCAGCCTAGCAGCGGACCAGTAAGACTGATTTGGTCTGCCGGCTACTCCTTCCTTTCCTCTAACTTAAAGTGCATAGCTGCCTAGAATTAGAGAGCTGTGATGCAGGGTCTAGCTATATTTGTTTGAATTCCACTGAACTGAGCCAAGAGGTACCTGCTTTGGAAGCTAAACAGATTGGTTCTCGGGGATGAAAATAGCCCCAAGACATGTTGCATGGAGGGAGAAAAGACTATTTAGAGATAGCAGTGGTATCTGTGCTAGAGCTACTGAAAGTGCACCTGGTTTGAGAATAGACGTGTCAATTGAGGACTGGGATCACACCTTATTTTGCAACATGGAAGATGCTTCCCACACAGGCCTCCCAGAACACATGCAAGAGGAAGTAGCCCATAGAAACTAGTGGGTACAACTTCATTGTAGGGTGCAATTCTTTTTTGAAAGTTGAGTCAACTTTTAGAAGGATGGCAAATCTATAAACAAAATTGAGCTGGCCTTCCACATTTGCTGGTGTAGTGACTAAGTGGGCTTCTTGGGTGCTTAACTAGTGTTTACACAGTATTTTGTTCATCCTTAATTTTAACCCATATATATATCCTTGTTTTAAAGTGAGTTTCTTATAGATAACATATAATTGGTTCTTCCTTTTTAAAATTCAATCTGACAATATCTTTTAGTTGGAGCGCTTAGACCATTTACATTTAATTTAATCATTAATAAGGTTGGGTTTAAATCTACCATCTTTCTATTTGTTTTCTATTTTTCCCATTTGTTCTTCATTCCCTTTTTCCTCTTTTTCCATCTTCATTTGTGTTAATTATTACTTTTTAGGATTCCATTTCATTTCAACAATTGGCTTATCAACTATAGCTTTTTGTTGTGTTTTGTTTTAGTAGCTGCTTTAGGTTTATAATATTCATCTTTAACAACATCACAGTCTACCTACAAATAATATTCTACCACTTCATATATTATGTATGAAACTTACAACAGTGAACTTATATTTTTCCCTCCCATCCTTCGTGTTCTTCTTTTCTTACTTTTTATGTCTACATATATCATAAACTCCATAATATACTTTATTTTATTTGTTTTAAACAGTCAATTGTATTCAAAATAATTTTTTTAATGAAAAAAGTGTATCTTTTTTTTTTTTTTTTTTTTTTGAGATGGAGTCTCACTCTGTCACCCAGGCTGGAGTGCAGTAGCATGATCTTGGCTCACTTTAAGCTCTGCCTCCCAGATTCACACCATTCTCCTGCCTCAGCCTCCCGAGTAGCTGGGACTACAGGCACCCACCCCCACGCCTGGCTAATTTTTTGTATTTTCAGTAGAAATGGAGTTTCACCATGTTAGCCAGGATGGTCTTGATCTCCTGACCTCGTGATCCACCCACCTCGGCTTCCCAAAGTGCTGGGATTACAGGGGTGAGCCACTGCACCCAGCTGTGTATCTTATATTTACCCATGTTTACCATTTCCAGTGCTCTTTTTTTCTTTTTCTTTTGTCCAAGTCTCGATTTCCATCTGGTGTCATTTTCCTTCTGTCTAAAAAAATTGCTGTTATATCTTTTGTGGTGCAGGTCTACTGGCAATGAATTATCTCAGCTTTTTTGTGTGGGAAAAAATTTTATTACACACTTATTTTTGAAAGATATCTTCAGTGGATATAAAATTCTAGGTTGACAGATTTATTTCAGCACTTGAAACAAGCCATTCCATTTTCTTCTGGCTTGCGTATTTTATAACCAATAGTCTACAATTTTCCTTCTCCCAGCTTTGTTCCCTTGTTTGTAGTGTTCCTTTAATTTCTGGGGGTCTTTTGAATTTTTTTAATCCCTCATTTTCAGCAATTTTACTCTGATGTTCCTTACTGTAGTTTTCTTTGTCCTTTTTGGGGTTTGCTGAGTGTATTAGGTCAACAATATACCATAGATTGGTGGCTTAAACAAAAGACATGCATTTCTCCCTGTTCTAGAGGCTGGGAAGTTCAAGACCCAAGCTGCTGGTAGATTTGGTTCCTGGTGAGGGCCCTCTCCCTCATTTGCGGATAGCTAACTTATTGCTGTGTTTTCACCTTGAAGATAGAGAGACAGAGAGAGAGAATGAAAGAGAGGCTGCACATGAGAGAAAGCAAGCCCACTCTGGTCTCTCTCTTCTTATAAGGACACTAACCCCATCATGGGGGGCCCACCCTCATGAACTCACCTAAACCTAATTATCTCCCAAAGGCCTCCACCTCCAAATGCCATCACATTAGGGGTTAGGGCTTCAGTACATTCACATTCACATTCACACAGAACACATTCAGTACATAACACAAAACCTCTTGGATGTGTATGTTTACATTTTTAAATAAATTTGGAAAACTTGGGACATTATTGCTTCAAATATTTTTTATTCCCTCTCCCTTTCTGCAACTCCTGTTACACAATTCTCACAGGCTTTTTCTTAATGCGGTTCTGTCTGCCTTCTAGCTAGAGTGATTTTTTTCTTAGAATCATCTACTGAGTTTTCTGCACTATTTTTTTTCAATATTGTGGTAAGTTTTCCTTCCGCTTTTTTTTTTTTTTTTTTTTTTTAGATTGAGTCCCACTCTGTCACCCAGGCAGAGTGCAATGGCGCAATCTCAGCTCACTGCAACCTCTGACTCCCAGGTTCAAGCGATTCTCCTGCCTCAGCCTCCCAAGTAGCGGGGATTACAGGAGTGTGCCAACACACTTGACTAATTTTTTTGTATTTTTAGTAGAGACAGGGTTTCACCATGTTGGCCAGGGTGGTCTCGAACTCCTGACCTAAGGTAATCCACCCACTTTGGTCTCCCAAAGTGCTGGGAGTGCAGATGTGAGCCACTGCACCCGGCCTTTTCAAAATATTTTAATGAGAAGCCAGTAGAGACTGCACTGGGAATTGCTGACCAAACATTAATTTTGAACCAGAAGTTACCATCTTGCAGCCAGGCACAGTGGCTCACGCTTATAATCCCAGCACTTTGGGAGGCCAAGGCAGGCAGGTTATTTGAGGTCAGGAGTTTGAGACCAGCCTGGCCAACATGGCGAAACCCCGTCTCTACCAAACAATAGAAAAATTAGCTGGGCATGGTGGCACACGCCTGTAGTCCCAGCTACTCCGAGGCTGAGGCAGAATTGGTTAAATCTGAGAGGCGGAAGTTGCAGTGAGCCGAGATTGTGCCACTACACTCCAGCCTGGGTGACAGAGTGAGACTCCTTCTCAAAAAAAAGTTACTGTCTGCATTTTTTATTATTTTTAAAATTTCTATCTTCTGTCCAACAATTATTCAATGCATGGACTTCTATAATTTACTTCTTCATTGCAATTACACCATTTACTTATGTAAAAATATGTTCTTTGTTCCATTACAATTTTTTTTTTTTTGAGACGGAGTCTCGCTCTGTCACCCAGGCTGGAATGCAGTGGCGCAATCTAGGCTCACTGCAACCTCCACCTCCTGGGTTCATGCCATTCTCCTGCCTCAGCCTCCCGAGTAGCTGGGACTACAGGCGTGTGCCACCACACCCAGCTAATTTTTTGTATTTTTAGTAGAGACGAGGTTTCGCTGTGTTAGCCAGGATGGTCTCAATCTCCTGACCTCATGATTTGCCCACCTCAGCCTCCCAAAGTGCTGGGATTACAGGCGTCAGCCACCGTGCCCAGACTAATTTTATCATCTTGTTCTCTGCTTTTTACCTGCTAAGCTTCTTTATTGCTTCTTGAAATGCTCATTTCCCTCGAGTTCCATGTTTTTCTTCCTTCTCTGCTTGCTCCTTCTTAGTCTCATTCACAAGCTCCTCTTTCTCTATCCATTCCTAAAATATTGGGATTTCTCAGCATGCTTCCTTGGCTCTTTTCACTCTATATTCTTATTATTTGGAAACATCTCGTCTATTTCTTGGACCTTAATTATTATATATATACTGTTCACTCCAAAATCTATATGTCTGGTTGTGATAATAGGAAACTTACTTAAATCTCTTGTTCTCTGTTTCTTTGTCTGTAAATTGGAGGTACTATCTCATGGGGACATAGTAAGAATTAAGAGAATTAACAAAATATTCAAATTCATACCTAGCTCTTAATAAGTACTACATGAGCGTTAGGCATGATTAATATTGTTGTTGTTGTCATAGCTCTGAGCGATCTCCTGAGCTATAATTTACATGTGCGAGAGAGCTGTATATCACTAATTGGATGTTTCATAAGCATCTCAAACCCAACATGTCTGTTAATGACCTCATCATCTTCTCTCCCAAACGTGATTCTACTTCAGTAAATGTCACTGTCTGGCTGCCCAAACCAGAAACATGGTTTTCGCCATGACTGCCACAAATAAAAAGCCATAACTACAGTGAGTCTGCCCTACTTTGTACACTTTCCTGTGTGTGCACACATGTACATATGCACACATATGTGTAAATGTGTATGAACAGTAGGCAACTTTTCATACATATAAATTGAGTGAGGGGCCTCAGGTGGTGGAAATTATATTAGAAAGTTGGAAAGAGGCATGTTCAGGAAATGGGAAGTCGTTTAGAGGGAGAGAGCTGAGTAGAAAGTTCAGGATCAGGTTGAGGGGATTATAATTCCGGTAGGAGGAGGGGACTGTGATCCTTTAACCTGGTCCAATCTTGGTCACTTGTTATGCTAATATAGTTGCATCTACTGTAGCCTCATTTGGGTGAGTCTGGCAGTGCCAGCTGTTTAGTAGGTACTGCTTGGAGACAGGATTTGATCCATGGAAAAGGAATCAATAAAGTAAAAAAAAAAAAAAAAAAGTGGGATTAAGCACCTAAGTGAGGAGACAAACATCCAGATGACCTTCAAAATACTGTTGGAAGAAGCTCTCTGACTAAAATCTGCAAGGCTGGACCAGCCACCTATGTGGGAGGTTGTGTGGACTGTGTCTCTAGACTGAGAGCTCGCAGTGCTGTGAGCAGATGACTATGGGAGAGGGTACTGGCCCTCGTGCTTCTGAGGGCCCAAGACTGTGATGTCCCATATGAAGAGTGAATGAAGGCCAGACACTAGTTTAATGCTCCCATTCAGATGTGTAACTGTTCTCAGTAGACTCAGAGAAAATGGTAAGGACACTAAAATTTTAGAATGGAATAGAAAAATCTGACACCTAGAAACATTAATTTTCTGAGTTGGCGCTGTTCTTTCCCTACGCTATGTCCATTTATTTCTTGTCTCAGTAATTTGTCAAGACCTGCTTGTCCCATTCCAAGTGATTTCTGTCATCCCGCTAAGAGTTTAGTCATATAGGACTGCATTTGGGCAACGGCACAGTCAATTGCTTTTCTATTAAGGATGTGAGCATCCTTGCTTACATGTGCACACACGAACACGCCAAAAATACCAAACTCATTAAGCCCAATTAGCACGGTCCCTAAGGCGCACACACATGGTCACCTTACAGGTTTGGATGGATCATCCATTTTCCCCCATGAGTTTTCCTGCCTCCCTGCTCTACCTCTCATAACAGTCGCTGTGGCCTGTTCATTTCCCAGTGTGCCTTACAGGAAACTTTGACCTGCACAGTCTCAGAAAATTTTGTTGTCCATAGTGTGCTGCCTCTTCCTGAAGAAGGCAGCAATGTCCCAGCACAAACTCAAGTCCTCAAAGAGGGAAACATTCACAAGGATTTTATTAGATGATTTTGTTAGATAAAACTTTGCCCATTGTGAAGTCTCCTCCCAATTTCGTACATGTCCCAAGTCCTTAACAATGAACCAAATCCCATGAGCCAAACAAAGAACCAGGAGTGTTTAATTCACCTAATTTTCTTCCTTAACATTCCATGGCAGATGTACCTATCAGGCTTCCTGCAACGTTTTGCTCTACCTGCAACCCTACAACCTGATAGAGGCCTTATTAATTCAGCTGGGATGAGGACAATTCAGATCAACCCGATTATCTGGGCAGAGAAAAACCACTCTGTGAACAACCACCATAGGCTTTCAGAGGGAATACCAGACCTCTCCCAAGAAAGGGGGCCCACTTCAAATACTTACTTTCTCGTTGTGGAACCTGATAGGATTTGCTTCAATTCTGAGTAATCCTCCTTTAAGATGCCCTGCACCAGGTGGATGATGGTGTCTCAGTTTTGTCTCCATGGTTCACACATCCATGGAAAGCAGATTAGATGAGTGAGAAATACTTTTCCCATCAAGTATGCTCGCCCCTGCGTCCCAGTAGAGCTAAGAAATGATCTGAAAGATGGAGATTGGAAAGCATTGCAGGCAGAAGTAGAGCATGTGCAAAGGCCCCGTGGCAGAAAAGGCCACAGAGCTGAAGGAAAATCAGTGTCCTGGACCGCAAAGTCAGAGGAAGCATGGTATGATATGAGGCTGGAGCAGCAGACGGAGCCAGACAGTGTGGGTCCTCTTAAAGACCTGGGTCTGAACGCAAAATATAAAGGGAAATCATTGAAAAATTGTAAAGCAGTAAGCAGAGGAGTGGCCTGATCCTATTGGCAGCTTCTGTGGAGGAACTCTGGGATGGAGAACAGATTGGAGGGGTGCTGGTGTGAAGGCAACGTTTCAGACATTAGGGTGGGTGAGTTGAGCCAGGGCAGTCTGGGAGGTAGAGAGAAGTGGACGGATTCCAGAGACAGTCTCAGGTAGAAGTGACAGAATTTGGTGATGGATTGAATGAAGAAAAGGGGGTGTCAGCCATGATTCCTCACCCCTGAGGCTGCCAAGAGCTTAGCTCAGCTTTTCTCCTTCTCAGTTGCCTTTTCTGGAACAGGCAGATCCTCCAAAGGGAAAAGTCGCCCCAGATGCTAAGCTCATATTTCAGGTGTTCCTTTGCCTCCAAGATTTCGGCTCTGTCATTTTTCACTGCTTTTTGGGGGGTCTCCGATGCCTCAAGAAAACTTTAGTCCAGTTTTTCTAGTTGTCTATGGGAGAGGTTTGGCCTGAGTTGCCTGGCCTGTCCTTACCTGAAATGGAAGATGTAGCCTATGTAGTCTATGCCCAGCTCAGAGACTTCCCTCTCTCCCTCTCTTTCTGCTCCCTCACGGAAATGACTGAGCTCTGAGAATCAGGAGACACAAATCCTTGCCCAGACCCTACCACTCACCTTCCCCAACCTTCCCCAGGATCCTGGGCATGTGTGTCCCCTCCCCACTGTGAGCCTGTTTTCCCACGTGGTGTCTTCTTCCAGTGCCTCGTGGTGTGAGGTGGGATGCAAGTACACTGTGATGTTTGTTTGGGGTGATGTGACCCACGATCTATCAGACCCCTGTGTGAGCCATGTTCTGTAGTCTCTGCCACCAGCTCTGACTCCAGAGACTAAAGCTGGTCAGGCTCTATGGAAACTTTGAGGCAGCCACTCCACACAGTCTGATGTTCCCGGAGTCCCTTCCAGCCTCACAGTGGCAGATCCAGGTTTCATGGACCTGAAGCTTATATAACTTGAGAAAGTTATATCTCTTACATCCCTTTAAGAAAAAGAATACTACAGGACAAATACAAAGTCAGGTATAAAAGTGAATAGTTGGAAAAGGAAATGTCAACAATTCAAATTTAAGAGCTCATACATATCTGGATTAATCTAGGTTCAGACAGAAGGCACAATTCACAAAGGGATTTGGACAGGTAAAATTTAATATAAAGAATGATTAACTACTAAGGGCTAAAGAGAACATGAAAGAACACAGGGATCATGGTTAAAGGGCACAGCCATGACCTCCAGAGCTGAGAGTACTCATGGAAAAAAACAAATTTGGAAGAACCCCTCCAGAGCTGAGATTCAGACCTCGATAGAGAGTGCTGTGGGTGTGGCCCACCGATTGGTGTTGAAGTTTGCTGAGGTGTCACAGGCCCAGTCAGGCAAACAGTAAAACCACCTGCTAAAGTGTGGGCCAGACTTGCTGGGAAGCCACCCACAGTGGGTAATGGGAGGTTGCCTATCAGGGTACCAGGGTACCCTAGTACCACCCTCACAGACACACTCAGGAACAATACCTTGCCTCCTTCAATCCAATCAAGATGACTCAGTATTAACCATCACAAGTCTACCCCTTGTCTACCCAGTCAGAATCCACTGGAAGCTACCCACTGCGATGTCCCTGAAACTTGCTGGGGTAAGCACCATGGGGTATGGCCAAAAGCTCCAGAAATAAGAAAATAAGAAAATGCACCAGAAACAGGAAGAGAAGCTCCTTTGTCCTCCAGTGTCCCTCCAGCTTCCTTCTCTGGCAAAACTCCACATTATGCCAGCTGGTAAGGGAGCCACGTTAACAGGGTCCGGTTCCAGGATCATAAGGCAGAAAAAAGAAGGGTGGGTGAGAGCTGAGAGGAAATAAACTGACAACTGAAACAAATGCAAACCAAAACCACAATGAGATAACCTCACGCCTGGTGGGATGGCTACTATCAAAAACTCGAAAAATAAAGATAGCAAGTGGTTGGTGAGGATGTGGAGACAATGGAATCCTCACACACTGTTGGTGGGAATGTAAATTAGTACAGCCATTATGGAAAACAGTACTGAGGGTCCTCCAAAAATTAAAAATAGAACTACCATGTGACCCAGCAATCCCACTTTTAGGTATAAATCCAAAGGAAAGACAACCACGATCTCAAAAGATACCTGCACTTCCATGTCCATTGAGCATTATGCACAATACCCAAGATGTGGAATCCAGCTGTGTGTCTCTCAGTGGATGAACAGATAAAGAAATTGGGAGGCCGAGGTGGGCGGATCACTTGAGGTCAGGAGTTTAAGACCACCGTTGCTAACATGGTTAAACCCCGTCTCTACTAAAGATACAAAAATTAGCCAGGCATTGTGGCGGGCGCCTGTAGTCCCAGCTACTCGGGAGGCTGAGGCCGGAGAACCACTTGAACCCGGGAAGTGGAGGTTTCAGTGAAATGAGATCATGCCACTGCACTCCATCCTGGGCAGAAGAGCGAGATTCTGCCTCAAAAAAATAAAAATAAAAATAAAGAAAAGATGATGTGTACATACAATGAAATATTGGCCAGGCATGGTGGCTCACACCTGTAATCCCAGCACTGTGCAGATCACCTGAGCTCAGGAGTTCAAGACCAGCCTGGGCAACATGGTGAAACCCCGTCTCTACTAAAATACAAAAAAAAAAATTAGCCGGGAGCGGTGGCCCACGCCTGTAATCCCAGCTACTCAGGAGGCTGAGGCAGAAGAATTGCTTGAACCCAGGAGAAGGAGGGTGCAGTGAGCCAAGATGGCGCCACTGCACTCCAGCCTGGGCAACAGAGTGAGACTCTGTCTCAAAAAAAAAAAAAAAGAAGAAAGAAATATTATTTACCCTTAAAGAAGAAGGAAATCAGCTAGGCGCTGTGGCTCACGCCTGTAGTCCCAGCACTTTGGGAGGCCAAGGCAGGCAGATCACAATGTCAGGAGTTTGAGACCAGCCTGACCAACATGGTGAAACCCCATCTCTACTAAAAATACAAAAATTAGCTGGACATGGTGGCACGTGCCTGTAGTCCCAGCTACTCGGGAGGCTGAGGCAGAAGAATCACTTGAACTCGGGAGGCGGAGGTTGCAGTGAGCCAAGATCATGCCACTGCACTCCAGCCTGGGTGACAGAGCAAGACCCCATCTCAAAAAAAAAAAAAAAAGAAGGAAATCTTTCCTTTTACAACAACATGGATGAAGCTGGAGGATATTATGCTAAGTGGAATAAGCCAGACAGAGAGGGACAAATACTGCCTGATCTCACTTATATGTGGAATTTTTTTTTAAGTCAAATAAAAAAAAACAGAGTAGGATGGTGGTTGCTAGAGGCTGGGGGAAAAGGTGTTTGTCAAAGTGTACAAACTTTCCATTATAAGATGGTTAAATTCTGGAGATCTAATGTCCAGCATGGTGACTATAGTTAATATTGTATACTTGAAATTTGCTGGCTGGGCGTGGTGGCTCACGCCTGTAATCCCAGCACTTTGGGAGGCTGAGGCAGGCAGATCACCTGAGGTCAGGGGTTCGAGACCAGCCTGACAAATATGGTGAAACTCCATCTCTACTAAAAATACAAAAATTAGCTGGGTGTGGTGGTGTACGCCTGTAATCCCAGCTACTTGGGAGGTTGAGGCAGGAGAATCACTTGAACCCAGGAGGCGGAGGTTGCAGTGGGCCAAGATTGCGCCACTGCACTCCAGCCTGGGGGATGAAGCGAGACTCCATCTCAAAAAAAAAAAAAGAAATTTGCTAAGAGGGTAATCTCAAGTGTTCTCACCACATGCTCAAAAAGGTAACTATGTGAGGTACTTGATATGTTAATTAGCTTGACTGTGTTAATCATTTGACAATAATATATGTATATCAAAACATCACCATTTTGTTTTTTGGGTTTTTTGGTTTTTTTTTGAGACGGAGCCTTGCTCTGTCGCCAGGCTGGAGTGCAGTGGCATGATCTTGGCTCACTGCAACTTCTGACTCCTGGGTTCAAGCGATTCTTCTGCCTCAGCCTCCCAAGTAGCTGGGACTACAGGTTCCTGGCACCACGCCCAGCTAATTTTTGTATTTTTAGTAGAGACGGGGGTTTCACCATGTTGGCCAGGATGGTCTCAATCTCTTAACCTCGTGATCCACCCGCCTTGGACTCCCAAAGTGCTAGGATTACAGGTGTGAGCCACCGTGCCCAGCCGATAATGAGCTTTTTTTCCATATGTTTGTTGGCTGCATAAATGTCCTCTTTTGAGGATTGTCTGTTCCAACTTTTGCCACTTTTTGATGGAGTTGTTTGTTTTTTTCTTGTAAATTTGTTTAAATTCCTTGTAGATTCTGGATCTTAGACCTTTGTCAGATGGGTAGGTTGCAAAAATTTTCTCCCGATCTATAAGCTGCCTGAAAGACATGCACATAAGAAACAGTACAAGGTCATCAGGTGATAGGCTCCCAATTTCTTTTAAAAAGATCCAAAAATGAATTTGTACAGAATAGGGGCTTTTCACTCACCTTGGGCTTTTATACCTTTCAGAAAGAATAATGTGAGAAGTAGGATAGTCTCTTATTTAAAAGTAAAAGATGACTATTTTTGGTTGTCTGAGATTCGTAGACATTTTTCTTTGTTCAGGCAAACCCCTCTCACCCTTCCTCCTTATGAGGGCACCATCACCATCCCTGACTAAGTACCTTAGTGGTCTCTGAGCATCATTTGTATGTGCAAGTACAGGAGCCAAGATACTGGAAAATGACTTTAAAAACTCTTCTGTGGTACCAAGAAACTCACACAAACTCACAGATTGTATAGAAGAGTGTGTGTCTTGGAGCAGGGTTGGGTGAGGGTGTAGAATGAGAAGAGAAAGGGGCCTGCAGTGGGCGTGGAGAGGTGGTAACAAGGTTGATAATACTTGGTGACATATTAACCAAAACAGCATGGTACTGGTACCAAAACAGACATATAAACCAAAGGAAGACAACAGAAACCTCAGAAATAACTCCACACATTTACAACCATCTCATCTTCAACATCCCTGACAAAATCAAGCAATGGGGAAAGATTCCCTATTTAATAAATGGTTCTGGGAAACCTGGCTAGCCATATGCCAACAACTGAAACCAGACCCCTTCCTTACACCTTTTACAAAAATTAACTCGAGATGGATTAAAGAGTTAAATGTAAAACCCAAAACCATAAAAACCCTAGAAGAAAATCAGGCAACACCATTCAGGACATAGGCATGGGCAAAGACTTCATGACAAAAACACCAAAAGCAATTGCAACAAGAGCTAAAATTGGCAAATGGGATCTAATTAAACTAAAGAGCTTCTGCACAGCAAAAGAAACTAACATCAGAGTGAACACATTACTCTTAAGGAGCAGTTTGAGAAGTGAGGCGGCCTCTTGGGATAAACATCTAGACCCCTCCCAAGGGACTATTTGAGAGGCAACAGCAGTCACCACAACTCCAGTTGGTTATTTATTTTTAAGGACACGGTTTCACGAACACAAAGTCATATCACATAGAGATATTTTTATCTTCTTTCATCAACCGTATCACTTCTTTCAAACATAATAAAATAACTTTTGAAACAGGGACGACTGTGGTCATAATCAATATTTCTCCCCGAGCTGAGCCTACTTCAGAGAACAGTGCATATTGGCAGGCTCTGCTCGTATCTGACAATCACAGACAGCAAGCAGGAGGGCAACGAATGATTTTTCCAGGCTCAGTTCCTACCCTCACCCCAACCCATCCCGCATTACAGGATCTGCATTCGGGGCCACTCTCACTTGGATGGAAAACTGGAAAAGTTTGGCATGTTGCTAACTATGTTGTTATTCATGGTCCATCCTCCACCCACCCACCCCCGCCAGCTTTCCTATAGGTTCCTGGGTATAAAACAGCACTTACGGGTACTGAAAGTTTAGGGCTTTTTAAAAAAGTTACTCATAGTGTGGGCTTGGGGACAGGGAATGGGGGCAGCATCCATCACGTGGAGAAGGAAACAAGGCCCACAGAAGTTTACTTGCTTCAGCCAAGTCTCTGCTGGCCACCTGGTATTCTCAGGTCAAGCTATGCCAATCTCCCTACATACTCTGACACCTTATTTATATTTATATTTTTTCCTCTGTCACAAGAGAGAACTCAACTATCACTCAAAATCCAGACCCAATTTTAAAAATAATTAATTATAATTTTACAATTACTTTTTTAAATTGTATGTTTTTTTTTTTTTTTTTTTTTTAAAGACAAACTGGGCTAGGTGCAGTGGCTCACACCTGTAATCCCAGCACTTTGGGAGGCCAAGGCGGGCGGATCACGAGGTCAGGAGATCTAGACCATCCTGGGTAACACGGTGAAACCCTGTCTCTACGAAAGATACAAAAAATTAGCCGGGCGTGGTGGTGGGCGCCTATAGTCCCAGCTACTCAGGAGGCTGAGGCAGGAGAATGGCGTGAACCCGGGAGGCGGAGCTTGCAGTGAGCCAAGATCGCGCCACTGCACTCCAGCCTGGGTGACAGAGCGAGACTCTGTCTCAAAAAAAAAAAAAAAAAAAAGACAAACTGGAAAAATATTTGTAATTTTTATTACAGACAATGGGTTTCTATGCCTAATATATTGAGACTCTAAAAATTCTACATACCAACAATATGTAAATAGTAATGTACTAAGAAAAAAAAAAATACCACTTGCAGCAGCCACTGGTGCCTTGGAGCACCAGAGAAAGGCTGGGGAACAGGTGGAGGTGGGAGAATCCATGCGCTATGCTTTACCGCTGGGCCTTTGTCCTGGGCTGAACTCTTCCCACCTTCCCCCCAAATTCATATGTTGAAGTCCTAACCTCCAGTATCTCAGAAAATGACTGTATTTGGGATAATGTCCTTAACGAGTTAACTAAGTTTAAATGAGGTTACTAGGATGTGTCCTAATATGACTGATGTCCTTCTGAGAAGAAGAAACTTGGACATTCACATGCACAGAGGGAAGACCCTGTGAAGACTCAGGGAGAAGGCAGCCCTCTGCAAGCCACGGAGACAGGCTTCAGGCGAAACCAGCCCTACCAACACCTGCAGCGCAGACTTCAGCTTGGAGGACTCTGAGAAAATAAATTTCCGTTGTTTTAGGCCACCCACACTGTGGTACTTTGTGATGGCAGTCCAGGTAAACAAATAGAGCCCTGAAGCAGCCCTGTTTGACCTAAAGAATCACACAAGAGGCTGGGCGTGGTGGCTCACGCCTGTAATCTCAGCACTTTGGGAGGCCCAGGCGGGTGTATCACATGAGGTGGGGAGTTCAAGACCAGCCTGACCACCATGGAGAAACCCCATCTCCACTAAAAATACAAAAAAATTAGCCAGGTGTGGTGGCGCATGCCTGTAATCCCAGCTACTCAGGAAGCTGAGGTGGGAGAATAGCTTGAACCCAGGAGGCAGAGGTTGCAGTGAGCCAAGATCACACCACTACACTCCAGCCTGGGGAACAAGAGCAAAACTCTGTCTCAAAACAACAATAACAAAAAAAAAAAAAAAAAAAAAAACAAAAAACACATCACACAAGACTCTCTCACCTTCTATCTTCATGTCTCCCACTTGTTGGCTTTCCTGGAAACATGGCCACTGGCAGATTCTGTGTCCCAAAAAAGAGTTCTGGTAGGTCCAACATAGGTCAAATCTCCATTGATTGACCAGTCACTTGAAGGGTGTTGTTAAATGATTGACTCAGGTTGGGTAAAATGCCCACTCTCTACCAATCAAAGGTGCCACCTACCACTGACACTCAACTTGCTACTTTAAAGCAAGCCATAGGCTGGGCGTGGTGGCTGTAATCCCAGGACTTTGGGAGGCCGAGGTGGGCGGATCACGAGGTCAGGAGATCAAGACCATCCTGGCTAACACGGTGAAACCCCATCTCTACTAAAAATACAAAAAAAATTAGCTGGGCGTGGTGGCGGGCGTCTGTGGTCCCAGCTACTTGGGAGGCTGAGGCAGGAGAATGGCATCAACCCAGGAGGCGGAGCTTGCAGTAAGCCGAGATCGCGCCACTGCACTCCAGCCTGGGCGACAGAGTGAGACTCCATCTCAAAAAAAAAAAAAAAAAAAAAAAAAAAAGCCAGATTTCCCACCTGATATTTGCTACTCTCTGACCTTCCAAAGTGCCACCCTGAGCAGAGCCACTTACATGAACAGGTGAGAGAGTCAATGACCAGTGGACTCTGGAAATCCGGAAAGATATACAAGGTCCCAAAATGTCCCCCTTGACCGCAACCGTTCACTATGTCTCAAATATTCTCTTGGCATGTTGCTTTTTAGAGCATCTCCTGCTATGCAACTTCTTTTAAAAGACACACACTCCTGGTAGTGGTTGTAGGTGGAACTGATTTTTACTATGTTATTAATTTCTTGGTTGCCTTCTTTTTTCTTTGTAGGAGAATCAGAGAGTCCTAGAGACTGTGGGGAAAGTCCAAGCAAAAGGGAAGTGAGGTGCAAGAGTTTCACAAACTTAAAATTTTCATTGGACTACCTCTGCCTTTGAGCAGGACAAGTTCCAGGAAAGGAATTTTTCGTGTAAAATACAGAATCGTCATCAATATGTGGACTTCTCATTTGAAATGGCACCTTAATCTAGGGATCCTGATGTATTCCTAGATTTATAAAAAGCAAAATTCACAAGTTCTTTATAATTGTGCCTCTCTTGATACTGTAATTTAACTATGTTCCCCAAAAGAAAAAGCCAAAGAAATATCACAATATACAGCTTCTATCTCCTACCACCAATTTAAAGTTGGGTACAAAAGCCCTATCTTTCCCAGATCACCAGCTTTTAGAAGTTTCTTGTTTTCAAGGTTTTATTTGTGGCAGCCAACTTCATGAGGCCTGGTCATCCACTAGAATGGAGCTGTGGAAAGCAGGCTGAGAATGGACCTAAACCTAAATGGT
The DNA here is from genome assembly GCF_000001405.40 of Homo sapiens. Lineage (NCBI taxonomy): Eukaryota > Metazoa > Chordata > Mammalia > Primates > Hominidae > Homo > Homo sapiens. Next base: position 83,415,210 of record NC_000015.10, on the reverse strand, counting down.
GGTCAAGTCCCAGGAGAGCAACTTGGGCAAATGATGGCAAAGAGGGTGATGGGAGTGGGCAAGGGGTGGGGTCAAAGGAACCAGGGCTAAGAATTTGAGAAAACGAGGCCGGTATGGCAGGGACCCCCTTCTGCACCTGGCCCTGGCTACAGCTGTGTGCCGATGGGATTTGGCAGTGCTTCTAAAAATGTCTCCATGGATACCCTGGTGGCTTCTCATTCTCCTGGTTGACTTATTTAAAATATAGATTCCTGAGCTACCCCTCATCCAGAGCCACCTTCCCCAACCAGACTCACTGAATCCAAATCTGTAGGGTCAGGGCTCAAGTAAGAGCATTGTCACAGTACCCCCACAATAATTTTTATGTATGCAAATTTTTAGAACTTTTCTGAAGTAGAGGTTTGCACTTTCAGAGAAAGTAAGTAGATGCACCTAGGTAGGGGGGTAGTCTTGATATCAAAACAGCAATCAAGAGAAATACTTTTCCAGCTTAGCAGAGCTGGAAAATCTTGCCCATGAACCCCTGTTTCATGCCCGAAACTTAGCCTTTCCAAGCTCCCCATTCCTGGTCTCCTGGTACTCCTACCCAAGGCTCAGCTTGACTCCTGCATTCTAGACATGAGGTGGGAAGTCCTCAGATTCTCCTCCCACAACTACATAGGGACTTAGAGCAAGGTCACTCCTCCTGGAAGACCGGCCTAGGATGAGGTATTCCCATGCCAACGTGGGCTGTTTTCTCCAGCTTGTTGAGTGGGTTATTTGGTTATTTTGACTCCCATTCTGTGTGTATTTCTGCTGGTGCAGGGGAACTGACTCCCTGGTCTCGACTGCTGCCTTTTGGAATTATTTTCACCTGAACCATGTCGGGAGACTATTCTTTGCCTGGCTGGGTATTTGCTTGAGACTCCTTCCAACCAGTCTCATCCTAAGTGCCTATCAAGTATGAAACCTAGTACTTAGTAGTTGCTCAATTAAAATGTGTGGGAAGGATGGGTTCAGGAATGGGTAGATGCATCGATAGATGGATGAATTGTGGATGGGTTGATGGGATGAATTGATAGATGTGTTGCCCCTTCCCTTCTAACTAGCCCCTTTGCCCACCAGGTGGGGAGATGGCACTGATCTAAGGTGAAGTCACAAGACCACAGATCTGTATTCGTAATGCTGTCATTCTTGGGCAGCCTCTGGTAAACCACTTCCATTAGGGCAACAAGAACAGCTATGTAACTTTAGACCACCAGCCTGTGACTCCAGATGATGGAGATAATGGCTGTCAACCTCCAGATCCAGGCTATTCCTTTGGGTGGCTTACAGGGCCCATATTCAATAACAAATTGATCCCCTCTATGCTTCACTTTGATACCTTGAAACATGGCCTCATTCTGAGGCTTATTATGTAGCCAAATTGAAACTTTAGATCTTTCCACATGAAAATCACTGCAGTTACAAACATTAAGCATTTGAAGGAAACCAACCACACACTTACTCAAAAGAGCTATGTCTCATCTTCTCCATCTGTAAAACTAGGCCCAGTCCCCAGATCCCTCAGGATGAACCAGCAGCTCCCAATGCCAGGAAAGTGCTTCAACAACATCAGGTGAGCTGTACAAATGAGAGGTAATTTGACAAGTCAGCCAGCACAGAGCAGTCAGTCAAGTCAATGCAGAGTGCGCTAATGCACTTAAAAGCCCAGAAGCAAGCCCAGGCTGAGTAATAATGGCCTAAACACCACCAGGGATTTCCCAAGTCTAATTTCCAGCGCTGATGGCATGGTGTTCCATCTCCATTGGGCTAATTAGGGCCCGATGGAGACAGAATCTGACAGAGAGGCTCACCCTGGCCTTGGTCTAGATTTATGGGGAAGAGAAGTTGCCAGGAAGGTAAATTAGACATCAATGGGGCTTCCCCCAGGATGACAAGGTCTCAGGGGCATTAAGACTGTGAGATTGGAAGTGACTATAGATAGATGCTATGCAGAGAGACTGGGAGGTGTGGGGGTTAGCGTAAGGGCTTTCCCGTTTGCTAACCATGTGGTCACGGTCCACGTCACCATTCAAATCCTTAGTTCCTTCATCTGTAACATATAGCTGATGTTACCTAACTCAAAAGATTGTTGTGAAAAACAAAATATATGTAAAATGGTAGTATTGGGTCTGGCACAGAATGACTACCCAATCAATGGTGGTTATTTTTAGATTATGTTGTTGTTGATATGTTCTACTGCAGTGAAATATTCACACAATTGACCAGCCCTGAGAAGTGAAGATCTGTTTATCATTCAGACCTAAAGACTCAGCCTAGTCCTGAATGGGACATATGCTACTCTGGGGAAGACATATTTACATAAGATGTATCTGTCTACGATGGCCCCTTTTTTCATCAGCTTCCTGAAATAACCAGCCTCTTCAGCCAGAATTTAGGCCATTTATCTCTCCTCCAAGTATTCCATAATATCAGCTCTGGATGCTTCTCCCCATTTCTAACCATCCCTTTCCCACCAGTGGCATGAGTCACATTGGACCAACAGCTAGGAGAGCCAGGTCTTATGCTGCCTCCAAGTACAGAGGAGCCCATGCCTCTCTCCTCATCATCCTTATTGCCAACTTTTCCCAGAATCAGCGTATATACATAATACTCCTCTTTCTGATCCTCTGCTTTTATCCAGCTGCTGGAGGTTGCAGATATAATTTTCAGCTCAACAGAAGTAGAGCAAAGAACTTTCTACTGACTACAGCTGTCTACTGACTACAGCTGTCCAACATATACAGACATACATATACATACATACATACATACATATATGCATTGCAAGAGAGAAAGTCAAAGGGTCAAAGTCTGTAAGCTTGATGTAACTCAAGCTTACATCAAGTTCATACATTAGAAGACATTATTATTAAGATTTTAATTCCTCCCCAAAGTAATCTATAGGTTAATATCAATCAAAATCCCAAAGGACATTTTTGTGGAAACAGATGGGCTACTAATAAAATATATGCAGAAATGCAAGGACCTAGAGTACTTAAACCAACCTTGAAAAAGAAGAACAAAAGTTTGAACCCAGAAGACAGAGGTTGCAGTGAGCCAAGATTGCGCCACTGCCCTCCAGCCTGGGCAACACGAGACTCTGTCTCAAAAAAAAAAGAACAACGCTTTAGGACACACACTACCTGATTTCAAATTTTACTATAAAGCTACAGGAGTCAAGATGTGGTAGTCGTGCAATAACGGAAAAATAGGTTAATGGAAGAGAACAGAGTCCATAAATAGGCCCACAAATATAAAGACAATTGATTTTCAACCAAGGCACCAAGGTAATTCAATGGAGGCAAAGAAAGTCTTTCAATAAATGGAGCTGAAACAATGGGATAAATGTACAGAAAAACATATGAGCCTCGACCCCTACTGTATACCACACATAAAATTAAATTGAGATTGATTATAGCTCTAAATATAAAAGCTGAAGCTACCAAGCTTTTAGGGTTAAAAAAAATAGGTAAAGATTTCCTAGAAAGGACACAGAAAGCACTAAACATAAAAGGAAATTTTGATAAACTGGACAGCATTGAAATCAAACTAATCTGCTGATCGAAAGACACCATTGATCAAGACCAGCCTGGCCAACATGGCAAAACCCCTTCTCTACAAAAATACAAAAATTAGCTGGGCATGGTGGCGGGCTCTTGTAATCCCAGCTACTTGGGAGGCTGAGGTAGGAGCATTGCTTGAACTTAGGAGGCGGAAGTTGCAGTGAGCTGAGATTGCACTACTGTACTGCAGCCTGGGTGACAGAGTGAGACTCTGCTTCAAAAAAAGAAAAAAGAAAAGACACCATTGAGAAAATGAAATGAAAAGGAGAATATATGTATTGTAATGATTTTTCTCCACTGTACTGGAACTACTTTTCCGAGAAATGGTTATGATACATATATTTGACAAAAGACTTATATTCAGAATATATAAAGAAATCCTACAAATCTGTAGTGAAAAGGCAAACAACCCAATTAAAAACAGCAAAAGATAGAACAGACAGGCTGGGCACGGTGGCTCACACCTGTAATCCCAGCACTTTGGGAAGCCGAAATGGGCAGATCATGAGGTCAGGAGATCAAGACCACCCTGGTCAATGTGGTTAAACCCCGTCTCTACTAAAAAAAAAAATACAAAAATTAACTGGGCGTGGTGGTGCGTGCCTGTAGTCCCAGCTACTCAGGAGGCTGAGGCACGAGAATCGCTTGAACCCGGGAGGCAGAGGTTGCAGTGAGCCGAGATCACGCCACTGCACTCCAGCCTGGTGACAGAGCGAGACTCTATCTCAAAAAAAAAAAAAAAAAAAAGATTGAACAGACATTTCATAAAAGAAGATATGCAAATGACCACTAAGCATGTGAAAAGATGCTCAGCATCATTTGTCATCAGAGAAATGCAGTGACAGTCGTCATGAGATAACATCGCACATCCACCAGAATGGCTACAGTGAAAACGATTTACAGCTGCCGAATCTTGGCAAGAATGTGGAGCAACCGGAACTCTCATCCATTGTGGGTAGGAAGATACAAGGAAACAACTATTTTAAAACTGGTTTGGCAGTTTCTTATCATGTTAAACATACAACCATTCTATGACATGCTAGGTATTTACTCAAGAAAAACAAAAACATTTTTCCTTAAAGAATTTGTATGTGAATGTTTATAGCAACTTTATTTCAATAGCGAAAACGATGAAATGTCCATCAACAGGAGAATGGATAAGCCGAATTGTAATATATTCACATAATGGACTACGTCTTGGTAATAAAATTGAATGTAACAACTGATACATGTCACAACATGGCTGAATCTCAAAAATATTATTTTGCATAAACAAAGCCAGATGCAAAAGAGCACATACTATATTTTCCATTTATATGAAGTTCAAGAACAGGCATAAATAGGTGGGGTGCAGTGGCTCATGCCTGTAATCCCAGCACTTTGGTAAGCCAAGGTGGGAGGATTGCTGGAGGCCAGGAGTTCAAAACCAGCCTAGCCAACATAGCAAGATCCTGTCTCTACAAAAATTTTTAAAATTAGCTGAGCACGGTGGTGGGTTCCTATAGTCCCAGCTACTCGGGAGGCTGAGATGGGAGGATCACTTGGGCCCAGGAATTTGAGCTTACAGTACAGTCTCTATACAAAAATAGAAGAAACATAATTAATCTGTGGTGATAGAATTCAGAACAGTAATTACCCTTGGGGCACAGGAATTTACTAAAAGGAGGCATGAGGGAACTTTATGGGCTGATGGAAATATTTTATTTATGTCTTGATTGTATGATAGTTACATGGGTATAGACATTGATCAAATCTCATCAATTTTGCTGTATGTAAATTTTACCTAGAAAAGAAAAAGACCCTTAAACACATATTTAATTCTAATTAGCAGGTTGGCTTTTTCACAATGGGATATGTTAGCAATTCAGAAGCTACTTTCTGAATTCTAGGCTGGAGAAAATTAGTAAAAGTATTGAGGAAAATGGAAGCCAGATTTCTCACTGCTGAAGAGAGTTACAAATATGGAAAGGGAAATCCCAGAATAAATCTTGTAGTGTTGGATTGGAATAGAGGTATCGGTATGAATGATCTATACTATATGCCTTTTAATTTATAGATATAAATATAGAGCTAGAGATAGGTAGGTAGGTAGATAGGTAGATAGGAGAGGGGGAGAGAGAGAGAGAAATAACGGCTCCTTGGAGAAAGGGCTAATTTCAGGGGTGGGGCAGGGAAAGTGCAATATGGACCTGAAACATCTTGTTTCAACAGAAAAGACTGATGTGTTCTATATATGATGGGAACATGTCTAAAGGACACAGGAGCCTACCTGAAGAGGCTCCCACTGGCCAAATCTTAAACAACTTGGGAATCAAACTAAATAATTATGAGGAAACAGTTTGAGCATCAAATTGGATGAATTATTGCCCACTGAATACAATAAGAACCCACAAGTCCACTCTGATTTAAATATATATGCACAGACAGTGTTTCCTTACCCATAGAGGAAATAATAAACATGGAAGGAAAGACAGAGTTTTAAAATTATCAATGGATGCTGGAATTATTAGGTGGGAGTTTGGTAAGTAACAGGATATTTACATAATCTCAAAATATCTCCCCTAAATTACTTACTAATCACAAAAGGAAAATAATAGCTTCACAGGAAAAAAAAAACGTTGGTAGACACCTTCTTAACAAAGTGGTCAAAGTTAACATCACGAATACTGGGACAAACTGACATCGTGTTATGATACACAGACAGTAACACAGCATCATACTGTGGTGTGTCTGCCAAAAATGAAAAAACCTAGATCCAGTCACAAGGAAACAGCAAACAAACTTCAATGGAGGAATATTCTGCAAAATAATTGACCTCTACCTTTCAAAAATGTTGAAGTCACAAAAAGCACAAAAGACAGAAGAACTGTTATAGATTACAGAAACTAAAGATTCGTGACAACTAAGTACAAAGAATGATTCTGGATTAGATTCAGGACCGGAAAAGAATAGCTACAAAGGACATAGTTGGGACAACTGACAAAAGTGAAGGCGGACTGTGGATTGATAGATAATTTTATATCACTGTTAAACTTCCCTATTGTTATCACTATATTATGATCATGTAAGAAAACGTCCTGGTTCTTAGGAAGTGCTGAAGCATTTAGGAATAAAGAAGCCAGTGTGTCTGCTACTTACTCTCAAATGGTTAAAATAATAATAGTAATAAGCATATACATGATACATATATGAGACAGAGTGATTAAGCAAATGGGTGCAATATACAAACTGTTGGTGAATCTAAAGTATATATAGAAGTTCTTTGTACTACGTTTGCAACTTTTCTGAAAATTTGAAATTATATAAAAATAAAAAGTTTTTTAAATTAGTTCTTTTGACTCTGGATTCTGCATACATATAGCAAGAATGAATTTTTTTTTTTTTTTACTCCATTCCCATACCTCCAAACTCATGGGGGAAAAACTAAAGAAAAGAGGTGATCTTTGATGAGTCCAAGCTGTCCAAGTCTATCAATCTAGATAGAGACAAGAGATCCTGCAGAGAGCCACCATGTATCTCAACACATGAGAATCTCCAGCTGGGTCTCCCAGGAAGCAGAATCTGAGACAGCATTGAAAATACCGGACCTTGGTACGGTGCGGTGGCTCACGCCTGTAATCCCAGCACTTTGGGAGGCCAGGGCGGGCAGATCACGAGGTCAGGAGATCGAGACCATCTGGCTGACATGGTGAAACCCTGTCTCTAGTAAAAATACAAAAAAAATTAGCTGGGCCTGGTGGCGGGCGCCTCTAGTCCCAGCTACTCGGGAGGCTGAGGCAGGAGAATGGCGTGAAGCCGGGAGACAGAGCTTGCGGTGAGCGGAGATCGCGCCACTGCGCTCCAGCCTGGGAGAGAGAGCGAGACTCCGTCCCAAAAAAAAAAAAAAAAAAAAAAAAAGAAAGAAAAGAAAAGAAAATACAGGACCTTTATTGGGGAGTGTTTTATAGGAATCATCACCTGGGGAAGAGGAGAAAAGGGAGCAGGACAGGGCAGAGAAGGGAATTGAACTGTAATGCTGTCTTGACAAAGGCCTCATTTCTACCCACAGGGATCTCTGGAGTTGGGATGGCCCTTCAGAGATGTCCTGAGTTCAGGCGAGGGGGCTGGACTTTTTATTTGTTTGTTTATTTATTAAAGAGACTGAGTCTTGTTCTGTTGCCCAGGCTGGAGTGGAGTGGTGATCATAGCTCACTTGCAGCCTCAAATTCCTGGGCTACAGGGATCCTCCCACCTCAGCCTCCCCAGCAGCTGAGACTACAGGTGAGTGCCACCACACTTGACTAATTTGTTTTTTATGTTGTTGTTGTTGTTTGGGGGTTTTTTGTTTGTTTGTTTTGAGATGGAGTCTCCCACTGTCACCCAGGCTGGAGTGCAGTGGCGTGATCTCGGCTCACTGCAAGCTCTGCTTCCCAGGTTCACACCATTCTCCTGCCTCAGCCTCCCAAGTAGCTGGGACTACAGGCACCCGCCACCACGCCCAGCTAATTTTTTGTATTTTTAGTAGAGATGGGATTTCACCATGTTAGCCAGGGTGGTCTCGATCTCCTAACCTCGTGATCCGCCCGCCTCAGCCTCCCAAAGTGCTGGGATTACAGGCATGAGCCACCATGCCTGGCCGTTTATTATTATTATTATTTTTTTTTTTTGTAAAGCTGGGGGTTAGGGGGTGCCTACCATATTGCTGAAACTGATCTTGAACTCCTGGCCTCAAGTGATCCTCCTGTCACGGCCTCCCAGAGTGCTGGGATTACAGGTGTGAGCTATTGGGCCCAGCTGGGGCTGGACTTTTATATCCCTGCATCGACCACTCATTGGATACAAGCTTCCCTAGGAAGAAGGCATGACCCTGGGCATCACAACTCTCTCCAGACAAGGCAATTCCAAAGAAAGCTGACAGCTGAGGGCTGCTTGCCAGCAGCACTCCTAGCCACTGGACAAATAAGTCCTTTAGTCCTGAGCAGGGATCTGGATGTCCATTATAATGTGTTTTTTAGAACCTCTGAATGAGCAGAGTATATGTTCTCCCAAAAGTAAGTGTCATCATTGTGAAAAGGTCCTTTGGGATGGAGGTGGAGGTCCAGAGGGTTCTAGTTCAATGCCATGGGCCATTTCTATATCCTAAGTTGATGACGTGGCCAACAGGAAGAGGAAGGTAATAGAGGAAAGCAGGATGAAGGGAGATGGGGGACAGTGATGGTCAGATCACAACAGAGGGAGACTGGGACTTAAAGGACTGTCCATTAACAACCACGGACTCCTGAATGCTGATAGCTGGGGGGAGAATTGCCCCAAGGGCAAAAAAAAATTAAATGAGAGAAAATTGGAGACCCTAAAACTTTCTACTATATTTTGGTAGTTAGATAACCACATTCAAAGAAAAAGATGAAACATAAACAGGATCTTTGCATAAAAAATGCAAAGTAAATCACAACAGAAATTATCCAAAGACATAGGGGAAGAGTTTCTACAAACAGTCTTCCATTATCTCAATAAAATTATGGAACAACATGATTTCTCCGAAAAGAAAGAAACTGAAGAGAAGAGATGCAACAGACAGAAGCATTCAAGGTGGAAATGACAAGACAACAAAGAGAGATGAAAAATGAGCTGCAGACCTTGGGAAAGAAATGAAAAAAAAAAAATTACAGGGCCATGTAATTTTGGCTGAAATCTGGTAGAGTTCATGTGGATACATTTAAGGAAATCATCCAAAATGAAACAGAAAAAATAAAGATATTTAAAATTATTGCAGAAATATAGATATGGATAGCAAAGGAAATCAAACATGTAACTAATTTGGTGTTCCTAAAAAAGAGAACAGAACAAAATCAAGATATCAAAGAAACTTTTTACCTGCATTGAATACATAAATCTTGAGACGCAAAGACCCCCCCCAAGGGAAGAAAATGATACAGAATGACTAATACCAAGACATACGCTGGTGAAGAGCATAAACTTGAATTGTAAAGAAAGAATCTTGGCCGGGCGCGGTAGCTCACGCCTGTAATCCCAGCACTTTGAGAGGCCGAGGCGGGCGGATCACGAGGTCAGGAAATCGAGACCATCCTGGCTAACACGGTGAAATCGCATCTCTACTAAAAATACAAAAAAATTAGCCGGGCCTGGTGGCACACGCCTGTAGTCCCAGCTGCTTGGGAGGCTGAGGCAGGAGAATCACTTGAACCTGGGAGGCAGAGGTTGCAGTGAGCTGAGATTGTGCCACTGCACTCCAGCCTGGGTGACAGACAGAGACTCCATCTCAAGAAAAAAAAAAAAAAAGAATCTTATGGGCATCCAGATGGCAAAAGCCAATCATAAACACGGATGGATACAGGAAGTCAGGCTGTCCCAGTATTGATGATATTAACTTATGATCACTTTGTTAAGAAGGTGTCTACCAACTTTTTTTCCTGTAAAGTTATTATTTTCCCTAGAAACACTTTTTGAGAAATGTCTACAAAAGCGTAGAGAAAATAAAAGGTTAGTAACTAAGTTTATAACCAGCCAGAATGTCCTCTAAATAAAAAAGTAACAGAGCAACATTCTCAAGTATGCAAGCAAAAACTTAGGAATTATAATACCCAGGAGATGAGTCAAAAGAAGCAACCCAGGGATAGAAAAATATGTTGAGAGGATAGATGTTGAGCATAGAAATCATTTAAATAATAGTAACTAGTTAACATTGATTGACCACTTATGTGCTAAGCATTGTTTTGAGTTTTATAGGTACTAAATCATTTAATCTTTACATTAACTCCATAAGGTAGATACAATAACACCATCTTGCACAACTCCAGTGGATACCATTGCTCCAGACAGAGGGAGTTGTTTGTCATGTTTGGTTTTAGGGTTGGGGTTTTAGGTTTGTTGGTAAATAGAAAGGAACAAGCCAAGGCAGGAGAAGGAACAAGAGAAGTTACAGAAAACAGAATCATTAGAACAAATCCTCAAGAGAGACCCAATTCAGAAGGGGGTGTGAGAACAGACTTAGGAAGATGCAGATACATTTCCAAGCTAAGCAGGAAAGTGAAGATAAAGCACTTTTAAATAGCAGGCAAGGAAATCAGACAGTGGATTCATGGACATCTAAAAGCTTAAAAATATGTTTGAATTGAGACAAAATTCTCTGCCGTTCTAAATCCTAGTTCATTTTGTGACTTGTGAACATAGGTGAGTTTCTTTCACATGGTACAGAAGACACAGTAAGGAGCTAGACATGCCAGAGGTGGTGTGGGGTGAGGCCCTGACACTTGTTGGCGAAGAGAGGGCTTGTCACAAGTCCTGGCTGGGCTCCCAAACCCCATGCAGAGCGGTGAGCCTTTCCAACATCACAACCCAGCAAGCAACTTGTCTTGGAATCAGGACAATGTAGTAGCTCAGCTCTTGTCACTTTCCAGTCTGCCTTTGAACCTGAATCTGAGAGACTGGCAGCAGCCCATGTAGACTGACAACATTCTTCATGTTTTATCAATACATTTTTCTCTATTACTTTCTTGTATATTCAAGAATCTCAAAACTGATTGATTTTATCACAGCCAGCTAGCAACAAAAAGTGGCGCTGAGGGGAACAACATAATTCAGTCACAGTGACTGCCTGAGGTTCCAGGCTTTTCTTCACACTTGGTCCCAGCAAGTTTTACAGCAGGAACACAGCTTCCCTCCCTCTTCCTTAACAGGGCCCTCCTTCATGCTGTGGGGTACACATCCTATTTCAAGGGGTTGTGGATTTCAGTCCCTTTTAAAATCTTTCATACCGTTTTCTTCTTATGCCAGGGCTTCTTAACCCTGGCACTAATGACATCTTGGGCTGAATAATCTTTTTTTTTTTTTTTGAGACAGAGTCTCGCTCTGTCGCCCGGGCTGGAGTGCAGGCTGGAGTGCAGTGGCCCAATCTCAGCTCACTGCAAGCTCTGCCTCCCAGGTTCACGCCATTCTCCTGCCTCAGCCTCCCAAGTAGCTGGGACTACAGGGGCCCGACACCACGCCCGGCTAATTTTTTTGTATTTTTAGTAGAGACGGGGTTTCACCATGTTAGCCAGGATGGTTTCGATCTCCTGACCTGGTGATCCGCCATCTCAGCCTCCCAAAGTGCTGGGATTACAGGTGTGAGCCACCGCGCCTGGCCTGGGCTGGATAATCTTTCGTTGTGGCTGAGAGTGGAAGAGGTTCTGTCCATTATAGGATGTTTAGTACCATCCCTGGCTTCTACCCACTAGATACAAGAAGCACCTCAAATCCCACCAGTTATGACAACCAAAAATGTCTCCAGATAGTGCCAGATATCCCCTCGGGGCAAAGTTGCCTCTGGTTGAGAACCACCATCTTAAACTGAAATCTTACAAAACATTTTAAACATTTTGTAACTGTTACACACTCTATAGCCAGGCTATTTTCTACCAAGTCAAAGCTTTTGTAAAAACCTGGGGATGAGGTGTAATCCCAATGTTCAACTGTCTCCCTAGGCATCTGCCCATCTCTCTGTATTTGCAAATTACAATGCTCATTGATCCTTCCTCTCATAGATTCCATTATCCATTCATATTTTGACTCTAAGAGATGTTTGCTCGAATCGTGTCTGCTGTGTCTAATGGTCTCAGTAATTTAAAAGCTTCCTGCCAGCAGGCATTTCCCACTATTGACCGTGGTGTTCTGGAAAATGTATGTTGCTTTTGCGAGAGTATGGTTGGGTCCCCCACTCCATTCCAAAGCTTCAGATGTCATCTTTTCTACAAACAAAGTAATTGGGCATTGAGAGTTCGTATTCACTTTTTGGAATTTTAGTCTCATGGAGATGCTGAGCAGACAATTCCTCATGCGGCAGCTCCAGGATAGAAACAGCAGCAGCAAGGGGATTTCTGGATTGAAAGTAACAGAAAAAGATTATTACCCTTTCTCTGCCTTCTCCTTCCATTCCAAATGGGTTTTCTTTTCTTTTCTTTTTGGAGATGGAGTCTCACTCTGTCACCCAGGCTGGACTGCAGTGGTGCGATCTTGGCTCACTGCAATCTCCGCTCCTGGGTTCAAGAGATTCTCCTGCCTCAGCTTCCTGAGTAGCTGGGATTACAGGGTCGCACCACCACACCTGGCTAATTTTTGTATTTTTAGTAGATATGGGGTTTCACCATGTTGGTCAGACTGGTCTTGAACTCCTGACCTTGTGATCTGCCCACCTTGGCCTCCCAAAGTGCTGGGATTACAGGAGTGAGCCACCGCGCCCGGCCCAGTTTTCTCTTTTAAGTTGTTAGGATGTGTTTTAATTTCAAATAGATTTTGTAATTCTAGCAGTGTTTGGAAATCTACATTGCATTTTACTATATTAGCAAAAACCATTTTTTGTTTTCTTGAAATAACTTTTGTAATCTGTAAATTACAATCTTCCATATAGTAGAAGTGAGTCCCCTCGGTTTTTCTTAGAGAGGAAAGAAGAATATAATGCTTTGCAGCTGATTTGCCTGTTACATTAAGTGGATTTTGCAAAGGCTTCCCCTCTGAACCAACTACTTCTCTGTCCATTTTTTCTACCATAACTGGGTGACACGTACTGTGTGTTCCAGTCTTAACAACCAGGTCATAGCTGTGAGCATTATCCCTCTGTCTCTGGGAAATTTTTCAGTTCCTATGTCATTTTCTTTGTCATTCATTCAAGTAGATTAATCCAGTCTCCAACACAGAAGCAAAGTGTGCCTTTCAAAATACAAACCGACTTCCACCACACTGCCTACTTGAACATCCTTCGGGACTTCCGGTTGCTCCTTGGGGAAAGGTGAAGCTCTCTCCCATGACCTGTGAAGCCTGACAGTCTCCCCCTGTCCTCCTCTCCAGGCTCGCTTGCAGCAAGCAATCCCTCCTCTCCTGGCTCTCTCTGCCCCTCTCCTAGTCCCCCATGCCCAGTGTGCTCTTCACTGCCTGATGCTCCTAACCAGAATGGGCACCCCTTCCCACCTAAGCTAACTGCTTAATGAACTGCTACTCATTCTTAGGTTTCAGCTCAAGCACAACCTGACATTCTCTGAGAGTCTTCACTAGGATCTCTCTTCCAGTTGAAGGCCCTGATTGGACCAGATTCCAGGTACCATGGCAAGACCCACATAACACTTGTTCCTGTTGTAATTTTACCTTTATTTGTGTGATCATTTTGTTAATCTCTGTCCCCCCAACAGGATGATAACATCTGTAACAGCAGAGACTGTGTCAGTTTTTACTCATCTCTATATCCCAAGTGCCTCACTCAGTATGGGAAGAGTCTATCTTCTTAGCACTCAAATAGATCCACTTTTCCTGACACCACTCTCACCGCTTTAGCTCAGACCAGAATCTTCTCTCACTTGTGCCAAAGAAGCCAAGCTTTGGCTTGTTTGGATTATAATCAACTAGAGGAAGAAGGCAGTGGCTATGGAGAAGTTGGAGGATCTGGGATGGTATTTTGGAAATGGAACAACAGGACTTGAAAAGGAAGTGAATGAGGCAGGACGGAGAAGGGGAGGAATCAAGACCTTTCATTTCCCCCTCCAGATCCTTCAGTCCAAACTCCTTATGTGAAACCTTGCATGGGCCTTCAACCTCTGGCTCCTGATTGCCTAGAAAACCTCATTTCTCACCTCTTCCCTTGCTCCCTTTCCACATGCACTCCCCTAATGCAAGCTGTAGCCACAATGAACACTGTGCTGGTCCCTGGACTCTGCATGCTCTCTCTGTTTGCTGCACCTCACCCTTCATCCACTTAATGCTTACTGGTCCTTCATCCTCACCAGAAGCTGCCTCCTCAGGGAAGATGAGGCTGGACAGGTGCCCCTCCTTTGTGCTGTCTTCTGTCCTATATTGACTCTGTTGTCACCTACACCCTGCATTGGTATTTTCTGTTTATTTACATCTCCCCCACTAGATTATAAGTTCCTTGGGGGCAGGGATGACATCTTATTCATTGTCACATCCTTCAAACCAGCACAGTGCTTGACATGCAGTGAAAGTTCAATACACATTGCATAGATGCTTAAAGAATGGGGCTAACTAAGAGGCTCGGAGAAACTGCCTGACCTGCTCCAAGTCACTGGACAGAAAGTGGCAGAGCTAGAATTGAAATCTATATAAACAAAGATAGTCTATTTTCTTTCCTTTTTGTTTTTTTGTTTGTTTGTTTGTTTTGAGATGGAGTCTCGCTCTGTTCCCCAGGCTGGAGTGCAATCTCGGCTCACTGCAACCTCCACCTTCCGAGTTCAAGTGATTATCCTGCCTCAGCCTCCCGAGTAGCTGGGATTACAGGCACGCGCCACCACACCCGGCTAATTTTTTATATCTTTAGTAGAGATGGGGTTTCACCATGTTGGCCAGTCTGGTCTCAAACTCCTGACCTCATGATCTGCCCGCCTCGGCCTCCAAAAGTGCTGGGACTACAGGCATGAGCCACCGCGCCTGGCCTAGTCTTTCTATTTTCTTACCCCATCTCCTAGCGGTGAAAATAATGGAAATAAGGCGCCTATTTGTGGATAAAGGAGAGAAATTCTGGGAGAGCAGTTTAATCAGTCTCTTCATTCCCAGAATTGGTACTGACAGCCAAAAGGGAAGAACTGGGAGGAAGCAGATGTTGTTTTCCAGGAATGGTGGTCTGGGTGAAGAGCCAGTACAGGACAGGATGGGGGTCTACTGGCACAGTCTTGGCAGGCAGCACCTGGGGTCCAGAGCAGACAGGTTGTGCGGGAGGGCAGTGGACCCAGGGAACCACATCCAGTATGGCCCTTCCTCAGCCACATGCAGCACCTTGAGGTGGAGTGGAGGAGACAGGTGGATGTGTCAGACGCAGACTCTCAGACATCTCAGGCTTACAAGGTCTGTCCTAAATAGTTAGTCCAACCTCTGGCTCAACACCTGCATCTTATTCCAGCACTTATTGAGCATGTCCATCATTACAGGCCCTTTGCCGAGCACGTTTTCTCCCTTGGAAAGAAAACAGCCCTGCCGAATTGTGAAAAATAAAACACACACAGAAAAGACTTATTTTTATTCTGCTGCGAATGTACACCCAGCAATATGATTTTTAAAAATGATTGTGTATAGACAAGTAGTATACTGCCTTTATTCAAAGGCTGCTTTAAAACCCAGAGATCGGTGCGGTCACTCACGCCTGTAATCCCTGGACTTTGGGAGACCAAGGCGGGCAGATCAGGAGGTCAGGAGTTTGAGACCAGCCTGGCCAATATGGTGAAACCCTGACTCTACTAAAGATACAAAAATTAGCTGGGCGTGGTGGCACACGCCTGTAATCCCAGCTGCTCGGGTGACTGAGGCAGAAGAATCACTTGAACCCGGGAGGTGAAGGTTGCAGTGAGCTGAGATCGGGCCACTGTACTCTAGCCTGGGTGACAGAGCGAGACTCCATCTCAAAAAAAAAACAAAACCAAAAAAAAAACAGAGATCTATATCCCCTTTGGTTTTTGAATGTGGAAGTGTTTTCTTTCTTCTGTAGACATCTAAAAAGGTAAGACTCTCTGGCCCAAAAATTTCCACACATAATGCTATACTTCTAAATGGATTTATGAAAAGCCTCAGAACGTTTGCTTTCTTGCTGCTGCTAAAAGCTGCTGGCTATGATGTCTCTGCCCCGCAAAAAATGTGGGGTTTTATTTTAAAATTAGATCCTCTGGTTAATTTAAAGATTATGCCAAGTGTATGTTCCAAATCCCCTCATTCCATCTGACCTGCAGGAACACATCTGCTCTGTGTTCGCCCCACCCTGACTTCTGACGGTGGCATATGTCTGATTCCTTTGATTAAAGAGAAGGGTTTGTTAGGATGTCATGTACAGTATATCAAAGGAGATCAGGCACCCGTCTGCAAGTCAGATGACAAAAGGAGTGATCAGGCCGGGTATTCTAAGCAGACGCTGTGAAGAGCCAGCTCAGGGGAATGAGTCATAATTTGGAAAAGTGTTTGTTAGCGATGGTTTTGGTAATAATCACGCACAAGTCCCACGGTCTGCTATGTTCAGTAGAGTAAAGTAATTTCCCAAACATCCATCTGTCCCAGGTACAGAACTCCAACCAAATTGTAGAACAAGCATGGCAAGGGAGATTCCACAACATTTGGCAATAATTTTCCAAACTGAGGTTTGTCCAGCTGTTCGGTGGATGGATCTAGATTAAGAAAGTACCTTACCTTTAATCAAAGCATGATGAAAAGCTTTGTTTCTGAACAGCAAGGCTGCCTGAGAACATCATTTCCTTTGTATTCTAAAGAAAATATACATTTTCTATATTTTTTTAAATTTCTGTAGTAATTGGCTTCCACACTGGCCTATCACTCCGACTTTCTGTATCTCACGGGATGTGTGCTGTCCACCTTGGTGCTGAGAGATGAGAACAGAAATAATGCTTCCTGGCCAGGCATGGTGGCTCACACCTGTAATCCCATCAATTTGGGAGGCCCAGGTGGGCGGATCACCTGAGGTCAGGAGTTCGAGACCATCCTGGCTAACATGGTGAAACCTCGTCTCCACTAAAACTACAAAAAATTAGCCAGGTGTGGTGGTGGGCGCCTATAATCCCAGCTACTCGGGAGGCTGAGGCAGGAGAATCTCTTGAACCCGGGAGGCGGAGGTTGCAGTGAGCCGAGATCACACCATTGCACTCCAGCCTGGGCAACAAGAGCAAAACTCCATCTAAAAAAAAGAAATAATGCTTCCTGCACAGAGCTACATTTGAGACTGCTAAATCCTCTCTACTCAAAGTGTGAGGTTCTAAGTTTCCTGTGGAAACTTGTTAAAAATGCAGAACCTTGGGCCTCACCCCAGATCAACTGAATAAAAACCCACATTTTTTTTTTTTTTTGAGACGGAGTCTCGCTCTGTTGCCCAGGCTGGAGTGCAGTGGCATGATCTCGGCTCACTGCTCTGCCTTCCGGGTTCACGCCATTCTCCTGCCTCAGCCTCCCGAGTAGCTGGGACTACAGGCGCCTGCCACCACGCCCAGCTAATTTTTTGTAGTTTTAGTAGAGATGGTGTTTCACCGTGTTAGCCAGGATGGTCTCGATCTCCTGACCTCGTGACCTGCCCGCCTCGGCCTCCCAAAGTGCTGGAATTACAGGCGTGAGCCACCGGCGCCAGCCGAAAACCCACGTTTTAACAAAAGGTCAGCTTGGTAGGTCCCAAGATTGGACCTTTTCAGACATTCTTTACTTTTCGTGGCCTGATCTTTTTTATTAGAGGAAATGATTTTCTGCAATTTATTAAAAATACAAATCAAGTACTTTGTGAACTGTTTTTGTGTGCCACTCTTTTTTCAAAACATGTTTAGTAAGTGACTAATGACCAGGTGCAGTGACTCCCATCTGTAATCCCAGCACTTTGGGAGGTGGAGGCAGAAGGATCACTTGAGGCCAGGAGTTTAAGACCAGCCTGGGCAACATATCAAGACCACATCTCAAAAAAAATAAATAGCTGGTGTGGTGGCATGCACCTGTAATTCTAGCTACTCAGGAGGCCAAAATGGGAGGATCTTTTGAGCCCAGGAGGTCAAGGCTGCAGTAAGCCATGATCACACTATTGCACCCAAACCTGGGTAATAGAGTGAGACCTTTTCTCCAAAAAACACAAAATAAATATTAAACAGGTATTTCGTGAACTGTTTTTGTGTGGCACTCTTTTTTCAAAACATATTTAGAAAATTACTAGTATGTGTCAAACCCAATACTAGAGGTTGGGGTGAAACAATGACAGTAAAAGAATCTGCCCCCGGGAACTTCAATTCTACTACAATTGATGTATTTTAGAGAAAGCCTTTTTTTTTCTCTCTGCGACTTTAGGGTCACATATCTCTTCTAATGCTTCTGTGTCCTCTCTGTTTCCTGGTGGGCCATTTTTTTAACAAACAGAGTCGCAGAGTGGAGAGTG
Source organism: Homo sapiens (assembly GCF_000001405.40). Taxonomy (NCBI): domain Eukaryota; kingdom Metazoa; phylum Chordata; class Mammalia; order Primates; family Hominidae; genus Homo; species Homo sapiens. The sequence continues at coordinate 83,396,742 of NC_000015.10, read as the reverse complement.
GCTGGGGTTCATGGCTGTCTGTCCTTGGCCCCTTGGGAGAGCTCCTTCGTGCCCCATGGGTGCTGGCTGCAGCTGCTGCCTTTCACATCTGAGGCTGGGGGCAAGTTTCCTGTTCTTCGTTCTCTGCAGGCCCCCATCCCAATTCTCTAGGCAACTCGAAGATCCTCAACCCAGCACGGCTAGGGAGAAATGCTCCCTCGCAAGTATGAATATTGTTTTCAGAATATCAGGGAGAAAAAGCAGAATGCTCTTCTGGGGCTTAAGTCCTGCCTGTGTGTAAAGCAGCAAGGAAGCTCTAAGGGTAGATTTTAGGTGTCTCCTTTATCTTAGCCCTGGCATCCTCTACTGAAGAGAACAGTCTGACCCTCCCACCTCCCCCTTCTTTGGCAGGGGCAGCCATTTACATGCTGCGGGAAAGCCAGAGGCAAGGCGCCGCTAGGAGGGAAATGGTTAGTCCTGCTGGCAAAGCAGTGAGCTACGGGCCGTTGGTGGGGGACCAGCCAAGGCTGTTTCTCACTTAGGGTTTTCTTACACTTAAAGGCACAGAGGAATTTGCTGTTAATCCAGCCCCATTGGAGTTGTATTCAGTACCAACTCCTCCCAGGTTCTGACACATGCTTAATTCTTATCCCGAGTTCCTGAAGCTGATGGAGATTTTGTTCTATTTATAAATCTTCATGGATATTTAATAGAAATATGGGAGAGAGCGCCCAGGTATTTTTACTTTACTCCATCCGTTTTTACAAAATCAAGGGACTGCCTTTAAAGAAAATAAACAAATAAATATTGATAAAAAGCACTTATTTAACACTTTAAAGAGTGTCTGCTTTAAAACAAAAGCCAAAATTACGTTAAATGGCAAAAAGCTAGAAGTAGTCCCTCTAGGCAAAGGAACAAAACAGAGATTCTCTATTTCCTTCCTTCATTCTTTTCTTCCTCTTCAACAGTTATTGAGCATCTACTGGCTCCCAGATGCTAAGTGCTGGGATACAAAGTCATATAAAAATCACGCCTGCTCCCAAGGAGTTTACTATCTACCAGTTACCATTGTCATCCATTTAGGAAATTTCTTCTGATGCAATAAGCATTAAACCTGGGAGACCAGATTTAAGACAAAGCTTTCAGAGAGCGTGGAGTCAGAGTGTAAGGATAGCAAGGAACACCATTCTTCGTTTCTTTACCAAGCCACTGGATCAAACCAGCCCTGAAGCCCACCATACTACTGCTGGTCTTCAAAAGTCAAATAATCCCTTTACTGTTTGGGCCACTTTCATTTGGGTTGTTTCCTGACCTTGAACAAAACTTATACACAGGGGATTCCTTCCCTGGAAAAGAGACAGGGCTAACTGACCTCTGAGGACACCTCCTACCTCCAAACATTTCACAGGCAAGTTAAACATACCCATCAAAGATCACACCTGAGCAAGCAAATTACATATTTTACTCTAAATTTAAGAAGCTAAAATGGATACTCAGACCCTGTGGGCTTTCGGAGTGCTTTCTCCTCAAATAAATATGTGTTGCTTAAAGGACTAAATACAGTCTGGGGAGCAGATAGAAGGAAGGAGAGGCTTGGCTAAGGCCTCTGAGATTCGATAGTTAACAATACACTTAATTTGCCCAGTGTTTGACACTGTCATAGCAATGCCCCATTTGCTTATAAATTTCGTCTTGTTTGGCAGCAGCAGCCCTGCTGTTTCTCAGACACGTCAGTATCCTGGCCATAAATGATTAAGGTCTCAGAAAACCTAGGGTCTACCTTTCCCTTAAATCCCTTAAGGTGACTTCCCAGTGTTGTAGGCAGCCTCCCCATCATGTGCATTTTGCACACAGGGTTCATGCCAGAGCCCTACAGCGGACTAAAAGAATGTTAAGTTCTGGGCCCCAAGATAACAGTTTTTGTTTGTTTGTTTTTGAGATGGAGTCTCACTCTGTCGCCCAGATTGGACTGCATTGGCGCCATCTCAGCTCACTGCAATCTCCACCTCCCGGGTTGAAGTGATTCTCCTGCCTCAATCTCCCAAGTGGCTGGGACTACGAGCGCCCGCCACCACACCCAGCTAATTTTTTGCATTTTAGTAGAGACAGGGTTTCACCACGTTGGCCAGGAGATGGTCTCAATCTCCTGACCTCGTGATCTACTCACCTCGGCCTCCCAAAGTGCTGGGATTACAGGTGTGAGCCACAGTGCCCGGCCTATTTTTAAAATAAATAAAAATAAGTGAAAACGTGATTGCCCACATGAATATTTTCCCTCCATCTTGGTTCTTTTATCTTCTCTGGCTGAGTGAACTGAATTCTGAACCTTAATTTCAACCTAAGTATGCTCGCTACGGTTCCCAAAACGCCGATGCCAGGTCCTATTTCTTCCACAGCATGGAGGTGGAGGGGAATTTTTCTCCCCCCACCCCGCTTCCTTCCTTCCTTCCTGCCTTCCTTCCTTCCATCCTTCCTCCCTCCCTCCCTCCCTCCCTTCCTTCCTCCCTCCCTCCCTTCCTTCTCTCTCTCCTTCCTTCCTTCCTTCCTTTCTCTCTCTCTCTCTCTTTCTTTCCTTCTTTCCTTTTTCTTTTTGAGACAGGGTCTTGCTCTGTTTCCCAGGCTAGAGTACAGTGGTGCAATCATGGCTCACTGTAGGCTTCACCTCCTGGGCTCAAGCAATCCTCCCTCCTCAGGCTCCCGAGTAGCTAGGACTACAGCCGCGCGCCACCACGCCTGGCTTTTTTTGTTTGTTTTCTTTTGTTTTGAGAGAGAGAGAGAGAGATGAGGTCTCACTATATTATCCAGGCTGTCATGAACTCCTGGCATCAAGTGATCCTCCTGCCTCTGCCTCCCAAAATGCTAGGATTATAGGCATGAGCCACCAGACCTGGCCGAATTTTTTCTCACCAGAAAGAATTCAGGGGGGTCCTGTGGGGATCCTGGGATTAACAGAAGACTTCAACAGAAACAGTAGGGAAGGTGTCAACACAACTTCAGCAAACTCCATACTTCCTAAATCCATACTTGTGCACTGGGACCTGAGGAGGGGTCCTTGGAGCCTCCAGGAGGTTCCTCTGAGATGGGAGTGCTCCTGTAGCAAGCTAAAAAAAGAGCTAACAAGCCGGTATTAGACCACAGCCTGTAGGCCCCTTGGTTCTTTCTGGGAAGATGAAAGATGGAGGAGAAGCTCAGATCATCAAGAATGGTGGAGCAGGCCAGGCGCGGTGGCTCACGCCTGTAATCCCAGCACTTTAGGAGGCCAAAGTAGGCAGATCATGAGGTCAGGAGTTCGAGACCAGCCTGACCAACATGGTGAAACCCTGTCTCTACTGAAAATACAAAAATTAGGCGGGCATGGTGTTGTGAGCCTGTAATCCTAGGTACTCAGGAAGCTGAGGCAGGAGAATCGCTTGAACCCAGGAGGCAGAGGTTGCAGTGAGCCAAGATTGCACCATTGCACTCCAGCCTGGGCAACAGAGCGAGATTCCATCTCAAAAAAAAAAAAGAATGGTGGAGCACAGGGCTGGCAGGCTTCAAGAGAAGCCATTTACTGTCCCCTATGTGGCTCCAATCACACATCCCTGCCTGAGAACCCCAAGACCCCTTTTCTTCATACAGCCTCAAACTGGTGGGCATCTGACTATAGTTACAGAGTAGTGACAGGCTGCTCCTAGGCAAAGGCTGGGATCATTCCTCCTGAAAGCGTGTTTCAGCCAAGCCTCAGCCTCATCCCCATCTTCCTCCCCTGTTCTACAACCAAAGCTATCTGGAATCTAATGGCTTCACATGATGCTTAGCACACTTTGAAGAGCTCAGAAATGCCAGCCACTGTTGCTGTTGTGTATATGTCCTTGCCAGCTGTACCAACACAAAGTGCTGAAGGTCACCAAGGATCTACTTGCACATGGATGGTTTTTCCCAAGCATGCTGCCTTGACATCTGTCAGTCATCTTCAACTCCCTTCACACTCCCATAGACAACAAATCACCAAAATGCAGATTTGCAAAAGGACCCAAAGATAACAATGTGAGCAAGCCCTTTCCAAGGTCCCTGTGCTATTCCCACCCCTGGTCAGCAGGTACCCCTGCCTTGACCTGGTGACTCTGATGGAAGGGAACTGCAGTTTGTCCCTGCAGAGCCCAGGGTCTCCTGTCTATTCCCTTCTCAGAAGACTCTATTCAGAGACCATATCTTGTTCCCCTCCCTGGCAGCTGCTGCGCCAGGGGAGTGGCTGCCTCTAGTGCCAGCCGTCACTCTGCTGCTGTAGGAAGTTGGGCTCTGCTGCCAAATGCTAAGGCGGGACGGGGTGGGAATCTGCCTGTGGCCAGGGAAGAACTATTCTACACCTTCATTCCCTCCAGAGAGCCACCATCTAATGCCTGTGGTCCACTGGGCAGGGAGGACACACTGTAGAGCAGAGGCTGCATCCTCAGCCAAAACAAGTTTGGGCCCTAGGAGACCGATATGAATACTGGAACATCTGCCTCAGGTATCGACTCCCTTGTACCTGCACTGAGGGAGGGCTGCAGAGGCACAGGTGATCCAAAATCGTGGCTAAAGGATAGAACTTCTGTGTGGTAATAATGTATGTTTGCCCTATGCTGAAATTGTATGTGCCCTGGAAATTCGCTTCAGATATAATTTTGGAGCAGGGAACCAAGGTCTCCACGTTTTCTATCCAGCCTCCCCATTGCGTTCCAAGCAAAGGGATAGAGAAAGAGGATGCACATTGATCCTTGTGTTCTAAGGTGTCTCCACCTGCACTTGAGTTAGAGAAGTTGATTTAGCACCCAAAACTTTAAGTGCATGTCCTACAGGTTTTAGGGGGATCCATAAATGATAGTCTCTTTTTCTCTCACAAGTACAGAACCAGCTGATAAATATAAGACAGGTGAAACAGGTGGATAGAGATTTAACCCATCAGCTTTATGATTGAAAAACGAATTGGAGAATGTGTCTTTAGATGAATGGCTGGAAGGGCATAACAGCACTCCCCATCTATACCCATCCATGTGGCCCCTGGCCAGACTTTGGGATCACCCATGCAGGGAACATTCAGGTCAGGAACAGACACCTCATCCAGGATGGCAACTTAGTACCTGTCTTAGGTGAGAAGGAAGGAGACAGGCAGAGCTTTTGATAGATTAGTTTCTTCCCATTGAGAAATGTGGACCAATGTATGTCAGCCTCCAATCAGATAACTCACTGCACCCTCAAGGACAGAGTAGGCGGTGGGCCTAGAGGCTGAGAGTGTCCCTCTAAGGCAAGTCCCTGAAAACATGAGGCAGGGGAAAGGAGGGCGCTCACCAAACACACGTGAAAGCCAGGTTTGCCTTATAAGCTGACAGAGAATTATAATGATTCTTCCAATAAGAGCTGTTAACATTTAGAAAGTCAGAGGAGTCTGTGGTCAAATGCTGTTATTCTGCTGTCAGATATGGGCAGAGCAGGTCATGGGGCAGAAGAGCTGAGTTACCCCTGGCACTACCGGACAGAGAGTTCATCTTTTTCCTTTGCACACCATTCAGCTCCAAGGTCATTACTCACAGCCAGGGCAGCTATGGCTGAGCCTAGGTGGGAAGCACAGAAAGATCTTATCTCTATGAGCACCTGCCTAGCCACCCTCCCAACTCTTCACTAAGTATGCATGGAGCCCTTTGGCAAGCACTGCCTTTGCCTGATAAACTCATCCTAATCCTTCAGTCTCAGCTCATTAGCTCATTGGTTACTTTCTCAGGGAGGCTGTCTCCTGACACCCTTACCCGGCCTCCTCAAGCCTTTGCTATCCACTGCCATAGAACTATGTTCCTCTCCTTTAGAACATTTATTTGGGATGTGGTTTTGTGTTTGCTGGTGTGATTCTTTGGTCAGTTTCTCTCAGCCCCAGTAGGCTATCAGCTTTGGGAGGATAGGGACCATGCTTGGTTTTGCGTTCTGTTTTAGCCCTATCAGAGTTCTTGGCACATATCATAGGCTCAAATAGTTGTGGAACAGTTGAATAAGTGAAGAAGTGAATGATTTTACTACCATGCCAGAGAATGGAGATTAAAACCAGTCTGTTAAAACACAGCAAGACTGGAAAGAATGACACAGAGGAATGGTCAAGAGCATGGGCTCTCAAGGCACTACCGGGATTCAAATCTCAGTTTTCACCCAAGATTAGTAGTGGAAGCTTAGGCAAATTCCAAAACATGGCCTCAGTTTCCTTTCCTGGTATCTGAGGAAAATCACAGGGCCCGCTTTATAGGGTTGTGGTGAGGGTGAACCACACATAAAGTGGTTAAAACAGTGCCCAGCACAGAGTAAACATTAAACACTGGTGATTATTGTTCTTCAAGGAGGGAAGCGTGATAGTGGGCAGGTGGAAGTTGAGAAATTTCCAATAGAACTTCTTTTTTTTTTTCTTCAAGAAGAAGGTGAGGTTATCTGTGGGTGATGGGGGAGATGAAAGAGATGGAGAAGGAGAATTGAAATGACTATAAGGAGATTGGGAGACGGAGCTTCAGGGCCAAGTTGAAGGCCCAAGGGAGGCTGAAGACCACGAATGTGGAGCAGGACTAACCAGTGGAAATGAATTTCCCCAGCAGCTCTCAGAACCAGAGAAGAGAGGCAGGAAAAGGGAGGGCTGAATTGGTCCAGGACTGGGGTTTCATAGGGTAGAAATCTCAGAATTAAAAACAGGGCAGAGACAGGATATTGGCAAGAAGCAGAATCTGGTACACGTAAGAATTTAGTGTATGATAAAGGTGACATTTCAAATAAGAAAGTAAAAGATTATTCAATAAATAATAGTGAAGCCATTGGGTAACTCTTTTAAGAAAAGGTAAAAGTAGATTTTTGCCTAATATAGCATACCAAAATAAATTATGTAGAAATTAGAGTTGAAAATGGAAGGAAAGAAGGAAGAAAACAAAACAAACTGTCGATGACAATTTATATGACCTTGGAATAGGGAAGGCCTTCCCAAGCACCACAGCCAATTCAGAAACCATAAATTAATACATTAATATGACTAAAGAAAATCAAAAGCCTCTGTATGCCAAAAAGCTATGAAAATTAATTCTTAGAGGACAAACTGGGAAAAACATTTGAACGTGAACAAGCAAAACTGGATTTGTAGCTTCAATATATAAAGTTTCCTTTCTTTTCTTTTTTTTTTAATTATACTTTAAGTTTTAGGGTACATGTGCACATTGTGCAGGTTAGTTACATATGTATACATGTGCCATGCTGGTGCACTACACCCATTAACTTGTCATATAGCATTAGGTATATCTCCCAATGCTATCCCTCCTCCCTCCCCCCACCCCACCACAGTCCCCAGAGTGCGATATTCCCCTTCCTGTGTCCATGTGATCTCATTGTTCAATTCCCACCTATGAGTGAGAATATGTGGTGTTTGGTGTTTTGTTCTTGTGATAGTTTACTGAGAATGATGATTTCCAATTTCATCCATGTCCCTACAAAGGACATGAACTCATCATTTTTTATGGCTGCATAGTATTCCATGGTGTATATGTGCCACATTTTCTTAATCCAGTCTATCATTGTTGGACATTTGGGTTGGTTCCAAGTCTTTGCTATTGTGAATAATGCTGCAATAAACATACGTGTGCATGTGTCTTTATAGCAGCATGATTTATAGTCCTTTGGGTATATACCCAGTAATGGGATGGCTGGGTCAAATGGTATTTCCAGTTCTAGATCCCTGAGGAATCGCCACACTGACTTCCACAATGGTTAAACTAGTTTACAGTCCCACCAACAGTGTAAAAGTGTTCCTATTTCTCCACATCCTCTCCAGCACCTGTTGTTTCCTGACTTTTTAATGATATTCATTCTAACTGGTGTGAGATGGTATCTCATTGTGGTTTTGATTTGCATTTCTCTGATGGCCAGTGATGATGAGCATGTTTTCATGTGTTTTTTGGCTGCATAAATGTCTTCTTTTGAGAAGTGTCTGTTCATGTCCTTTGCCCACTTTTTGATGGGGTTGTTTGTTTTTTTCTTGTAAATTTGTTTGAGTTCATTGTAGATTCTGGATATTAGCCCTTTGTCAGATGAGTAGGTTGCGAAAATTTTCTCCCATTCTTTAGGTTGCCTGTTCACTCTGATGGTAGTTTCTTTTGCTGTGCAGAAGCTCTTGAGTTTAATTAGATCCCATTTGTCAATTTTGGCTTTTGTTGCCATTGCTTTTGGTGTTTTGGACATGAAGTCCTTGCCCATGCCTATGTCCTGAATGGTAATGCCTAGGTTTTCTTCTAGGGTTTTTATGGTTTTAGGTCTAACGTTTAAGTCTTTAATCCATCTTGAATTGATTTTTGTATAAGGTGTAAGGAAGGGATCCAGTTTCAGCTTTCTACATATGGCTAGCCAGTTTTCACAGCACCATTTATTAAATAGGGAATCCTTTCCCCATTGCTTGTTTTTCTCAGGTTTGTCAAAGATCAGATAGTTGTAGATATGCGGCGTTATTTCTGAGGGCTCTGTTCTGTTCCATTGATCTATATCTCTGTTTTGGTACCAGTACCATGCTGTTTTGGTTACTGTAGCCTTGTAGTATAGTTTGAAGTCAGGTAGTGTGATGCCTCCAGCTTTGTTCTTTTGGCTTAGGATTGCCTTGGTGATGCGGGCTCTTTTTTGGTTCCATATGAACTTTAAAGTAGTTTTTTCCAATTCTGTGAAGAAAGGCATTGGTAGCTTGATGGGGATGGCATTGAATCTGTAAATTACCTTGGGCAGTATGGCCATTTTCATGATATTGATTCTTCCTATCCATGAGCATGGAATGTTCTTCCATTTGTTTGTATCCTCTTTTATTTCCTTGAGCAGTGGTTTGTAGTTCTCCTTGAAGAGGTCCTTCACATCCCTTGTAAGTTGGATTCCTAGGTATTTTATTCTCTTTGAAGCAATTGTGAACGGGAGTTCACTCATGATTTGGCTCTCTGTTTGTCTGTTGCTGGTGTATAGGAATGCTTGTGATTTTTGCACATTGATTTTGTATCCTGAGACTTTGCTGAAGTTGCTTATCAGCTTAAGGAGATTTTGGGCTGAGACAATGGGGTTTTCCAGATATACAATCATATCATCTGCAAACAGGGACAATTTGACTTCCTCTTTTCCTAATTGAATACCCTTTATTTCCTTCTCCTGCCTAATTGCCCTGGCTAGAACTTCCAACACTATGTTGAATAGGAGTGGTGAGAGAGGGCATCCCTGTCTTGTGCCAGTTTTCAAAGGGAATGCTTCCAGTTTTTGCCCATTCAGTATGATATTGGCTGTGGGTTTGTCATAGATAGCTCTTATTATTTTGAAATACGTCCCATCAATACCTAATTTATTGAGAGTTTTTAGCATGAAGGGTTGTTGAATTTTGTCAAAGGCCTTTTCTGCATCTATTGAGATAATCATGTGGTTTTTGTCTTTGGCTCTGTTTATATGCTGGATTACATTTATTGATTTGCATATACTGAACCAGCCTTGCATCCCAGGGATGAAGCCCACTTGATCATGGTGGATAAGCTTTTTGATGTGCTGCTGGATTCGTTTTGCCAGAATTTTATTGAGGATTTTTGCATCAATGTTCATCAAGGATATTGGTCTAAAATTCTCTTTTTTGGTTGTGTCTCTGCCAGGCTTTGGTATCAGAATGATGCTGGCCTCATAAAATGAGTTAGGGAGGATTCCCTCTTTTTCTATTGATTGGAATAGTTTCAGAAGGAATGGTACCAGTTCCTCCTTGTACCTCTGGTAGAATTCAGCTGTGAATCCATCTGGTCCTGGACTCTTTTTGGTTGGTAAACTATTGATTATTGCCACAATTTCAGGTCCTGTTATTGGTCTATTCAGAGATTCAACTTCTTCCTGGTTTAGTCTTGGGAGGGTGTATGTGTCGAGGAATTTATCCATTTCTTCTAGATTTTCTAGTTTATTTGCGTAGAGGTGTCTATTATTGTGTCTATTTGATTCTTCTCTCTTTTTTTCTTTATTAGTCTTGCTAGCAGTCTATCAATTTTGTTGATCCTTTCAAAAAACCAGCTCCTGGATTCATTAATTTTTTGAAGGGTTTTTTGTGTCTCTATTTCCTTCAGTTCTGCTCTGATTTTAGTTATTTCTTGCCTTCTGCTAGCTTTTGAATGTGTTTGCTCTTGCTTTTCTAGTTCTTTTAATTGTGATGTTAGGGTGTCAATTTTGGATCTTTCCTGCTTTCTCTTGTGGGCATTTAGTGCTATAAATTTCCCTCTACACACTGCTTTGAATGCGTCCCAGAGATTCTGGTATGTTGTGTCTTTGTTCTCGTTGGTTTCAAAGAACATCTTTATTTCTGCCTTCATTTCGTTATGTATCCAGTAGTCATTCAGGAGCAGGTTGTTCAGTTTCCATGTAGTTGAGCGGTTTTGAGTGAGATTCTTAATCCTGAGTTCTAGTTTGATTGCACTGTGGTCTGAGAGATAGTTTGTTATAATCTCTGTTCTTTTACATTTGCTGAGGAGAGCTTTACTTCCAACTATGTGGTCAATTTTGGAATAGGTGTGGTGTGGTGCTGAAAAAAATGTATATTCTGTTGATTTGGGGTGGAGAGTTCTGTAGATGTCTATTAGGTCTGCTTGGTGCAGAGCTGAGTTCAAGTCCTGTATATCCTTGTTGACTTTCTGTCTCGTTGATCTGTCTAATGTTGACAGTGGGGTGTTAAAGTCTCCCATTATTAATGTGTGGGAGTCTAAGTCTCTTTGTAGGTCACTCAGGACTTGCTTTATGAATCTGGGTGCTCCTGTATTGGGTGCATGTATATTTAGGATAGTTAGCGCTTCTTGTTGAATTGATCCCTTTACCATTATGTAATGGCCTTCTTTGTCTCTTTTGATCTTTGTTGGTTTAAAGTCTGTTTTATCAGAGACTAGGATTGCAACCCCTGCCTTTTTTTGTTTTCCATTTGCTTGGTAGATCTTCCTCCATCCCTTTATTTTGAGCCTATGTGTGTCTCTGCACGTGAGATGGGTTTCCTGAATACAGCACACTGATAGGTCTTGACTCTTTTTCCAATTTGCCAGTCTATGTCTTTTAATTGGAGCATTTAGTCCATTTACATTTAAAGTTAATATTGTTATGTGTGAATTTGATCCTGTCATTATGATGTTAGCTGGTGATTTTGCTCGTTAGTTGATGCAGTTTCTTCCTAGTCTCGATGGTCTTTATATTTTGGCATGATTTTGCAGCGGCTGGTACCGGTTGTTCCTTTCCATGTTTAGCGCTTCCTTCAGGAACTCTTTTAGGGCAGGCCTGGTGGTGAGAAAATCTCTCAACATTTGCTTGTCTGTAAAGTATTTTATTTCTCCTTCACTTATGAAGCTTAGTTTGGCTGGATATGAAATTCTGGGTTGAAAATTCTTTTCTTTAAGAATGTTGAATATTGGCCCCCACTCTCTTCTGGCTTGTAGGGTTTCTGCCGAGAGATCTGCTGTTAGTCTGATGGGCTTCCCTTTGAGGGTAACCCGACCTTTCTCTCTGGCTGCCCTTAACATTTTTTCCTTTATTTCAACTTTGGTGAATCTGACAATTATGTGTCTTGGAGTTGCTCTTCTCGAGGAGTATCTCTGTGGTGTTCTCTGTATTTCCTGAATCTGAACGTTGGCCTGCCTTGCTAGATTGGGGAAGTTCTCCTGGATAATATCCTGCAGAGTGTTTTCCAACTTGGTTCCATTCTCCCCTTCACTTTCAGGTACACCAATCAGACGTAGATTTGGTCTTTTCACATAGTCCCATATTTCTTGGAGGCTTTGCTCATTTCTTTTTATTCTTTTTTCTCTAAACTTCCCTTCTCGCTTCATTTCATTCATTTCATCTTCCATTGCTGATACCCTTTCTTCCAGTTGATCGCATCGGCTCCTGAGGCTTCTGCATTCTTCATGTAGTTCTCGAGCCTTGGTTTTCAGTTCCATCAGCTCCTTTAAGCACTTCTCTGTATTGGTTATTCTAGTTATACATTCTTCTAAATTTTTTTCAAAGTTTTCAACTTCTTTGCCTTTGGTTTGAATGTCCTCCTGTAGCTCAGAGTAATTTGATCGTCTGAAGCCTTCTTCTCTCAGCTCGTCAAAGTCATTCTCCATCCAGCTTTGTTCCGTTGCTGGTGAGGAACTGCATTCCTTTGGAGGAGGAGAGGCGCTCTGCATTTTAGAGTTTCCAGTTTTTCTGTTCTGTTTTTTCCCCATCTTTGTGGTTTTATCTACTTTTGGTCTTTGATGATGGTGATGTACAGATGGGTTTTTGGTGTCGATGTCCTTTCTGTTTGTTAGTTTTCCTTCTAACAGACAGGACCCTCAGCTGCAGGTCTGTTGGAATACCCTGCCGTGTGAGGTGTCAGTGTGCCCCTGATGGGGGGTGCCTCCCAGTTAGGCTGCTCGGGGGTCAGGGGTCAGGGACCCACTTGAGGAGGCAGTCTGCCCGTTCTCAGATCTCCAGCTGCGTGCTGGGAGAACCACTGCTCTCTTCAAAGCTGTCAGACAGGGACATTTAAGTCTGCAGAGGTTACTGCTGTCTTTTTGTTTGTCTGTGCCCTGCCCCCAGAGGTGGAGCCTACAGAGGCAGGCAGGCCTCCTTGAGCTGTGGTGGGCTCCACCCAGTTCGAGCTTCCCGGCTGCTTTGTTTACCTAATCAAGCCTGGGCAATGGCGGGCGCCCCTCCCCCAGCCTCGCTGCCGCCTTGCAGTTTGATCTCAGACTGCTGTGCTAGCAATCAGCGAGACTCCGTGGGCGTAGGACCCTCCGAGCCAGGTGCGGGATATAATCTCGTCGTGCGCCGTTTTTTAAGCCCGTCGGAAAAGCGCAGTATTCGGGTGGGAGTGACCCGATTTTCCAGGTGCGTCCGTCACCCCTTTCTTTGACTCGGAAAGGGAACTCCCTGACCCCTGGCGCTTCCCGAGTGAGGCAGTGCCTCGCCCTGCTTCGGCTCGCGCACAGTGCGCGCACCCACTGGCCTGCACCCACTGTCTGGCACTCCCTAGTGAGATGAACCCGGTACCTCAGATGGAAATGCAGAAATCACCCGTCTTCTGCATCGCTCACGCTGGGAGCTGTAGACCGGAGCTGTTCCTATTCGGCCATCTTGGCTCCTCCATAAAGTTTCCTTTCTAATCAGTAAGAGATGAAAGCACAAATGGAAAAATAGACAAAGGACATGCATAGGCATAAATTAAGGAGGAAATGAAAATGGTTAATAAACATAAAAAATCAAGGAAATATTAATCAAAACAATCATATCTTAAATCTTTGGAAAAGGGATTGAGTGCTCAACAAATAATGTTGAAAAACTCGGCCAAACTTTTAAAAAGCATTAAATTAAGTCCTTATCTATGTCAGACATCAAAATAAATATGAGAAAAATTAAAAGTTTAGGCCAGGCACAGTGGCTCATGCCTGTAATCCCAGCAATTTGGGAGGCCGAGGCAGGCGGATTACTTGAGCCCAGGAGTTCAAGATCAGCCTGGCCAATGCAGCGAAACCCCTCTCTACCAAAAATACAAAAAACTACTGGGGCATGGTGGTGCATACCTGTAATCCCAGCTACTCAGTAGGCTGAGGAATGAGAATCACTTGAACCTGGGAGGCGAAGGTTGCAGTGAGCTGAGATTGCACCACTGCACTCCAGCCTGGGCGACAGAGCAAGACTCAGGCTCAAAAAAAAAATAAAATAAAATAAAAAAATAAAAAAAATAAAAGTTTAAATGTAAATGAAAAAATTATAAAAATGAAAGGGGAATTGAACCTTGAGGACATTATGCTAAGTGAAATAAGCCAGTCACAAAATATAGGATTCCACTTCTATGAGGTACATAGAGTAGTCAAAATCATAGAGACAAAAAGTAGAACAATAGTTGCCAATAGCTAGAGTCAGAGAGGAATGGAGAATTACTATTTAATGTGTGTAGAGTTTTGGTTCTACAAGATGAAAAGGGTTATAAAGATGGTTGCACACATTATGAGTGAACCTAATATCACAGACTGTACACTTAAAAATAGTTAAGATGGGCTGGGAGCTGTGGCTGACATCTGTAATCCTAGCACTTTGGAAGGCCGAGGCGGGTGATCACAAGGTCAGGAGTTCGAGACCAGCCTAACCAATGTGGTGAAACCCTGTCTCTACTAAAAATACAAAAATTAGCTGGACGTGGTGGTGCACGCCTATAGTCCCAGCTACTCAGGAGGCTGAGGCAGGAGTATCGCTTAAATCTGGGAGGCAGAGGTTGCAGTGAGCTGAGATCGTGCCACTGCACTCCAGCCTGGGCAACAGAGAGAGACTCCGTCTCAAAAAAAAAAAAAAAAAAAGGTTAAGATGGTAGACTTTATATTGCATGCATTTTACCACAATAAAAAACATTTGGGAAAATAAATGGAGGTGGAATGGAAAATTATGTTCTTATATTCTTGATATAGAGGAAACCTTTCTTGAAGTAAGTTGATGTAAGGTTGATAATCTTGACTACATAAAAATGTAAAGCTTCTATAAGGCAAAAGAGTGTTTAAAGTTAAAAGACAAACAGGGATAAAGTCTTCATGACGTGACAAGCAAGGGGATAATATTATTATATAAAGAGCTCCTAAAAATTAATAAGAAAAAAACTGAACACACCTAGTAGTAAATGCCCAATGTCTGGTCAGCATAATAAATAATGATAGCAACAGTTAATTTACAGACTAAGAAATGAAAATAGTGAAAAGGTGTTTTACTTACCCTTACTAATAATCAAATAAATGGGAATTTAAACAATTAAAGATTATCATTTTCTACTTTCAAATTGACAGAAAGTTAAAAAGATGGAGAATACCAAATTTGGGTGAGGGTGTGGAGAAATAGGCATTCTCATGCTTTGTAGGTGAGGGTAGAGATTAAAACAATCTTCCTGGAGGGCAATTTGCCAACATATTTTAAAAACCTTAAAAATGAGCATACCATTTGACCTGTGACCAGCAATTATCTTCCTAGGAACTTATCCTAAGAAATTCATCATGTATGCGTGCGTACATTTGTTTATGGTTAACAGTTGTAAGCAAGCTTAATGTCCAATAGCAGGATTGGTTAAATGATTTTTGGCAGACTTACAGGAAGGAATACTAAACTACCATTAAAAAATAATGTAAAAGAAAATTTACTGCCATGTGAAAAGATTCATGATATATTCTTACATGGATAAAGTAAATTACAAAACAATATGTGTAACATTTAATGTAAAAGAGTGGTTACCTCTGGGGAGCCAGTTGTTTTTACTTTCTTTTTGCATTTTCTTTACATTGTCCATTTTTTAAATAAACAAATACTGATTTGTAATCAAAAGATACATAGTAAATGGTTTTTGTTTGTTTGTTTGTTGTTTGTTTTTTGAGATGGAGTCTCGCTCTGTCGCCCAGGCTAGAGTGCAGTGGCGCCATCTTGGCTCACTGCAACCTCCTCCTTCCCGGGTTCAAGCGATTCTCCTGCCTCAGCCTCCTGAGTAGCTGGGATTACAGGTGCCACCACCACACTTAGCTAATTTTTGTGTTTTTAGTAGAGACAGGGTTTCACCATATTGGTCAGGCTGGTCTTGAACTCCTGACCTCAGGTGATCTGCCTGCCTCGGCCTCCCAAAGTGCTGGGATTACAGGCGTGAGCCATTGTGCCTGGCCGCTATTTTAAAAATTACTATTGTTTGGAGATATCAAACATTTGAGAAATATAATGTCATATTCTTAAATATTCCAGTTCTGTAAGATCTCTTCAACCTGTGGTTATAAATGGAGACACATTATGAGTCATCATTCCTGTTTCAATGTCTCTGAAACCGTTTGCTGAGCTATTCTTCCTGGTTCCCTCAAAACCTCCTCATCGAGTTACTTCTGGGAGGAGAGTTGGGGTATCACAGAGACTTGCCTTCTTGCGCTCCATCCCCATCCAGGTCTGCTGCTGTGAAGCCACTTGAGGGCGCCTCCCCACTGTGACTGTGACACTGTGACCAAAGGGACCTGCCCAGACAGGATGCATGCCTGGGGACACTCTCTCTCTGAGCTCCAAATAGCAAGCCAAGGCACCTGGTGTCCTCACCTGCTGAGCCCCTGCCAGAAGTGAGGAGATGTCCCCCTGTCCCACTCTGGTCACACTTTGACACTTGGACCCCATTATCCCCCAGAATCCTACCACCTCCCCAAACATTCCTCCCACTCTTGTCTTCAGCCCTTCTCTTGATCAACCTCACACAAGGGTGCTGAAGTCCAGCCCCATCAGAGCCTCCTGTTTTTGAGACCTTCTTATCCTCCCTCTTGCCCCAACCCCTACCTCCCATACTGGCTTAAGACCCCTCTGTCCTGTAGCCAGAAAATACAGGTCACAAGCACTAGGAAAAATCATATGACTAGTCTCTCCCCAGTTTAACAGTGGACAAAGGTTTATTGCACTCCTACTGTGTGCAAAGGACGTTGGACATGGGGATGAGCACGCCCCCAGGAACTTCCACCCAGCTCACAACCCAGCAGGGAGGGGTTTGTGTCACATTCACCATCTGACTAGGGAGAGACAGAGTTTGTGGTGAATACCCACATTCTTAGCCTAAGATTCACCTGCTAATTGCATCTTCTAATGTTGTCCAAGTTTTGCTAGGTGACACTCCTCACTCCAAGGAAGCTGTGCCTTTCTTAGGGTAGCCCCCAGGGCATCTTGTTGCCAAAAGGCCTCAGTTTCCCTAGAGATCTCGGTTCCTACACTAACTGCCAAGCGCTGGAAGGGTGGAACCAAGATGAGGCACAGTGGGGCCGGTGCTCAGGAAAGCAGGCTCCTCTGGGGCAGAGAATGCCCGCCAGAGAACATGCCCCCCGACCTGGGCTCCCTTTCGGCCATTGATGAGGAAACCTGTCCCACGTCTGCGGCAGCGATGAGGCCTGGAGGGCAGGGCCTGGCGCTGCCTGGCAATGAGCGTCCCAGGTATTTGGTGAGTCCAGGAGCCCGAGGACTGGGCATAGGGTGGGGCCCGTCTCCAGTCAGTGTTGAAGGGACAGGAAATTCCTATTGGCAGGATGACCTCATGCTGACAGTGCTAGGGCGCGCCCGACAGGGGTTAATCTCAGAGACGCAGTGCCTTGTCCCGGGACAGGGCCCAGGCCACCGCCCGCGGATTCCTCAGAGGAGGGTGCGGGGAGCATCTTTAGAGGCTTGGAAGCTTAAATTACTTGCAGACTCCAGAGCACGGATGCCTTTCATTCGGGCCACCGCTCATCCAACTCCTTCTTCCATGCCCTCGTGTTAGATTTTGGGGCTCTCCTGCAGGTGCCTAGGGAAACTCGGATCCCGCACCCCACAGGGCTGTAAAACCAGCTCCTTCCCGTGCAGCCCAAGTTCCGCAGGGCTTGGAGGCAGGGTGGGTTCCCTCTGCTGGTGCACTCCCTGTCCTCGCCTTGGACCAGGCGGTTCCCCGTAACTCAGGAGTCCGCGATCAGGACTTGCTCAGCGCGGGAACGTCCCCTGCAAGACTGGGGACTGTGGCCGGGACACCTGGGCCAGGGCCAAGGGCGGGGTTGCGCGGTCTCCACGCTTGGCTTGGCCTGGGCCGCGCAGTCTGTGGTGTTGCCAGGTACTCCTGGAATCGCCCCGCGAGTGGTAGGCAAGGGGGTGCGGGTGGGGACGAGACGTGGTAGGGGAGCCTTCTGGAAAAGGCGCTCGTGTCTCAAGCCCCGCCCCCTCCCCCCACCACTCCCAGGTGCAGGTGGTGTGTGTGCCTCAGTGCAGACCGGCCCAGGCCTGTCAGGGCAAGCATCTCCCTCCTCCTCACCCCCACCCCGTTCCCCAGTCCTCCTTGGTCCCTCCCCTTCCCAGTGAGATGAGAGAAGCCACTGGGCACTAAGCATCGGGGCTGAATTGGGGGGCAGGGCGCAAAACAAGAGCCTTCCTTTCTCAAGTTGGGCTTAGAGAGCGCTACAGTTGGTGTGGGCTTCCATTCCATGTTTGTGATCTTTACTGGTATGCGGCATGAATGCAACAATAGACAGATGGGCCAAAGGATGGACGGATAGACTGATGCCCTGACTGTCCTCCCTGCCTCCAGTCCAGGTCTGGAGAGGTTGCGAAGCAGCCTCCCCATCTCTTCCAGTCCTGGAAGGGAAGAGGAGCCAGGAGCAAATTCCCTGACTCCCCCCAGAGCATGTAGGTGGGGCGGAAGTGGAGTCAAAGGTGACCTGACCTGGCAGAGGGAGGTAGTAAAAGCACTCTTGCTCTCCCAGGAAGGCAGCTCAGAACTTCCAGTCACAGAAAAATGGGAAATGGAGCATGGAGTGTCTCAGACTAGAGAAGGAACCCTGAGGAGGTTGATGCTTGGGCAGAGGTGTTAGGGGGAGGTGACTTTTAAGCCTTCAGACTTTGTCCGTTTAGTACTTGCTTTTGTTTATGGTTCCTTAGATGCTTAACCTGAGTGATGTACGTAAAAAATGTAACTCTTCTAAGCAATGAGGAAAAATAGGGAAGGAAACAGTGACTGAGATCTGAGCAAAGCGCCTGGAGAAAGCAAATAGGCCCAGCACTTGCCTGCAGTTTCCTGAGGCTTTGTTCACCTCTGTGTCTTCAGCAACTAGAATAGTGCCTGGCACATAAAAGACCCCCAGTAGCTATTTGTTGAATGAATGAATGAGAAGGGAGGAGAACCTCCAGACCCACCTGTTTCCATCTCTCAGCAGAGTCACCATCTTGCTGTGAGCCAGTCCCTGACTCAGCCCGGCTCTCTGCCAGGTGTCATTCCTTCTCATCCCCTCGGCCACTAATAGGAGGTTGCAGTGAAGGCCACTGCACTCCAGCCTGGGCGACAGAGTGAGACTCCGTCTCAAAAATAAATAAATAAATAAATGAATAAATAAATAAAACTCCACTGATGGCTGCCATGCAGCAGGAATGGCAGGTGGTGGGGCAGATACTGTGAGTCAGACAGAATCTCTGCCCTCTGGGCATTCCCAGTCCAGTGGGGAAAATGGACAAGAGGCAGATGTCATCAGTGGGGTGAATTGTGTGGGGAGAGGATGTGCATGCCTGCACAGGGGGACATAAGTGACAGGGGCTGTGTGAGCCCAAGGAGACCTCACCCATTGCTTAGGAGCAGGACTTTGTGAGTTCCGGGCAGATCCAGGCTTGAATGCCAGCTCCACCCTGGTATAACATCGGGCAAGTTACTTAAGCTACACTTCATTTCTTGCCTACCAAATGGACATGATGCCCTCTTCATAATCTGGTGTGAGATGAAATTGATATAATACATGCTAAATGCTCAGCCAGGGCCAGATACTGAATGTTAGTGATTCTTGTTAAGGGAGCATTCTTGTTAAGGTATTAAAGAGAAGGTGACATGGCTTAAAGGAGGACAAGGAGCAAAAAAGAGAGTAACTTGGTGATTCTAAGTGAAGTTATGGTAACTAAGCATGCCTGTAGAAGGAGAAAAGCTAAGAGAAAGGAGGGAAAGAGAAAATTCCCTCCGAGGGAAAGAGAAAAAGAAAGAGAAAGAGAAAATGTCTGATGAGAAGAGCAGGCTTGGGTTTCATGGGATGAGATGGAGAGGAACCTACCAGGAAAAGAATAAGAATTAATGGGATCTGTCCAGAGCCCAGTTATTAGGCTGAAAATCTAATATTTTAATGAGCCACTCAACAGTGTTCTAGTTAGGAGTGAGAGCTAAGAAGGCAAATAATGGGGCTAGTCTGAAAGTGGAGCTGATCGGGAGGTGCTGGAGGAGGAGACAGGCCTAAGAGAGAATCCTCAGTGTTTTGTTAAAGAGATTGACCACCAATTCAAGGACTTGGCACAGAGCCTGGCATGTAGTAGTGATCCCATAAATATTTATTGATGCCTGCTTAAAGAAATACAGGAGATAAACCTATTCTCTAGAAAACCATTGGAGACAGATGTAGGGGACTCTGATCATTGTCTACTAAACCTGTTTGCTAACAGAAGGACCCCAGTGCCTCGACCTCAGGACAAGCATCATGGTTGGCATAAAACATTTAGAGTAATGCTGTTCTCCTTTGTTTTGGTCAATGAGACATAAAGGAATTCTGGAGCCCAGACCTCAGTCAAAAGACATGGGTTTTTTTGTGTCTACTCTCTCCTTACACGTTGGGCCATTAGTGTCAAAATATGATACCTGAAGCTGCAGCAGCCTTGTTGCAACCGCAGGGAGACAAGCAATCGACAAAAATCCAATGTGCTGGGAATGGGACAGTATAGAAACAGAAAGACCAAGGGTCCTCGACGGCATGGATGAGCTGCACCAGTCCTGGCACCACCTAGCTTTAGACTTCTTGTTAAGTAAATGATAAATGTCATTTTTGATTAAGCCATTGGTGAGTTAACCGTTACTTCCAGCTGAACACATCCTAACTGATACAATGGGCAGGGCCACCGTGTTATATAATTCCTGTGGTAGTCTATGTGGAAGTACCCCAAGAGTTGTGTAGAATGGCCTCTTGTCAGCTGGTGATGGCTGACAGCCTGGGAATAGGACCTTAAGGTTTTGAGGACTTCGAAAAGTGGGTTTATAAGAACGCAGAAGACAACACTTCAAGCTCCGAGGTTCCCAGGATTTTCTCTCCTGGGGATTTTCACCACCTCTATTCCCAGGCCCTCCCTCGCCCACTCGCCGCCTACAGTTTCTACAGTTCAGCCAAAGAATTAAGAAGTCAATCATCTTCCTTTGCCTTGAACCTGCAGTCTTCACTAATGACTCTCTAGAGTCTCCATAACTTACTTTGGGGAGGTGCCCCTCCCCTTCCACATGGAGAAAGGCAGGCACAGCCCATGCAGACCATACTCCCCTTATGGCCAGCAACCTTCTCATGGCTCCTTCTGCTGAGGGGTGGAGGAGGAGGTAGTCTCCGGGAGCAGGATTGGTCCTTGCATTTCCCAAGATTAGTGGCCACCCTTGCTGGCAGCCCCCTGGATTCACTCAAGATTGAGCTGCTTATTAACTGCAATTCCAAGACAACAGGAAAATCCCTGTCTCTCATCTTCTTATTGCCTTGATTAGTTATCTTTTATACCTGTGGGTACATATTCAGAGTCACACTGGCTGCATGTTCAGCTTTCTCTCCCTACCAGATTAGAAAACTTGCAAGTTGGAGGTGCAACTATACAATATTTAATGACTATTTTAGTACTTGGGGTCAGATTTCTCTTCTGTATATATGTACCATGGGTCTCCTAACCCCACTTTAGAAAATTACTGTCCTACTGATCATTTTAGTCTAACTTTGGAATGGCTGTGGACTCTATGTGTATGTGTGTGCAGTGGGAAAGTACTTTTGGATTGTCTTAATTTTGTGAAGGACTAAAGTCTCCAGGGACCCTAGACCAGCCCAGATGAATAACGTAGTTCCAGTAGGAGGAACTGAAATCCTAACCACAAAGTAATTCTCCTGGACCTCCTGTACCTCCTGGTCCTCACTTGTTCCTTTCCTGTAGCATGTAGAAAGCTACCTTGTGGGCCTGGCGCAGTGGTTCATGCCTGTAATCCCAGCACTTTGGGAGGCTGTGGCAGGAAGATCACTTGAAGTCAGGAGTTCAAGACCAGCCTGGCCAACATGGTGAAACCCCATCTCTACTAAAAATACAAAAAAATTAGCCAGGTGTGGTGGTGCATGCATATAGTCCCAGCTACTCGGGAGGCTGAGGCAGGGGGATCACTTGAACTCGGGAGGTGGAGGTTGCAGTAAGCTGAGATCGCACCACTGCACTCCAGCCTGGGCAACAGAGTAAGAGACTCTGTCTAAAAAAAAAAAAAAAAACCCAGAAAGCTACCTCGTTGGCACAGGCCAAACCACCATTGCATCATCAGGACCCAGCACAGTGATAAGCACCCAGTAGGTCCTCAATAAATATTTAAGGAATATATCAATGTTGACATCAAGCTCATTCAGCAGTGTCAGAATCTGTGGTTAAAATCCGTTACTTTTCCTAGAGAGTATATTAATGATAGCTAATAATGTCATAGATAGAACATCCTTTGCCTAAGATACATAGAGATTAATTATTTAAGTCCATATAAAGAACTACAATCAAGTAGGGCAGGAGTTGAAAGGCATCATTAGGATATTTCAGCTGGAAGTCACTGTTGATCTGGGAGAGGGGCAGTTTCAGGAGGACTATTGAGAGAGGAGCTCAGATCTCTGTGGGTTGGGAGACAAATGGGGAACCAGAAGCTTAGAGAATCCAGGATAGAAAAGCCTTTGAAGATGCTTCATTGTGAAGGGAGAAAGGGAGCAGGATTTCTCAGGGCACCTGGCATTTTTCTAATGCCCTTCTCTTCCATTCCTTCCCCTACCTGGCATCCAAAACAATAGAAGTCAAGTCAGCTTAACAAAATGCACCCAGAAATATCACCCTGGTCCGACCTCCTCACCCCACCTGACCCCCAATAGAAGGAAGACAGCGTAGCAAAACATCATGCTTTGTATGAAGATACAAGTCTTCTGAAAGTTTCCTCTTTCCTCCCTTCAGAAAGTCCTACCTGGTCATTGCCTCAGAAACACAAGGGCAAGTAGTATTTGACCTTTTGGTCCAAGAACCCCTTGAGAACCTGACAGTAGCTATGGAAGGGGAACTGCCTATAATATGCAGATGCACAGAATATTACATCTATCAAACGGGGCTCAGACAAATCCCTGACCTCAGGGCTAGGAATCACGACTCTCGAACTACTGCAAGAAAGAGGGTGCCTTAAATACATATTGTCTGGAAGATTCCTAAGAAACCTCCTTCATTGCTCAAAGAAAGCCCATGGAAGGAAGCTTTATCAAATTCACAAATTTACTCTGCTTCCCTTGTTAAATCCATAAGGACTCCCTAGGGGAGGGAAAAGTTTAGGAACTGGTTCTCAGTCAGGCACAGGTGCGACTAGGCTCAGCTCCACGCCATCTCCTGAAACGTGGGTGGAGATGATGGAGGATTTCGTCTGGGCCCCCAGCTCTGAACACTATCTGCTCCACTGACTGAAAGGAGGCTCCCAGTCTGGCAGGGAAGCCAGGAACGGGGGCTCTGGCTCTGGGGCAGCTGCATGCCTGCCAGGTGGAGAGTTAGCATTACGCAGGGGTCCTGGGACCAAGTATACTGGCACCCCCCAGGAGAAGGGGATATGAGCACACCTTCATCCCTCTAAGCTACACCTTCACTGAGTCTTTGTACCTGCAAAGGCTGTGAGCCATGCAGTTCTGCTCTAATTCTAGCATGAGCCAGGCTGAGGGTAGCCCAGGAACTCAGCTTTGTTGACCTGAAGATTATTTTTTCCCCTCCAGTAGTTTTACTTCTGTCTCCTCTTCAAGCTAAAGTTTTCGGGTCCTTGGGTAGCTTTTTGGAGGCTTCTGTACAAATGTTTTTGGCAGTGAAAGCTACCCGTAACATCTCGAATTAGAAATGTATATTTTTAAATCCCTAATTGGTTCAATAACAATATGGAGAGACACACAGAGACACTCTGCTAAGTGGGACCTTTACTACTGGAATGTGGAATTTAATACGTTCATCATTTAAATCATTAAATTCTCACCAAAACATGTAAAGCAGCAATAGATTCTGTTAACCAGTCACTTTTCCTGATCTTGGAACAGCCCGGCTCTGAGCCTGAAAAGGTCCGCTGCTGTGACTTCACCCTTGTTCAGGGAGATGGTGTCATAAGGTGGTCTTAAAGTGCAGGTTGACCTTTGCTGAGTCCAAGCTCCAACACCCCCAGGTAGGAGTTCCTGGAAGTAACCTCCCCTCTCTGAGGCACAGTGTGATGGAAAGGACAGCATCCAGCTTGCAATACTGGATGAATTAAATCAGACGCAATCTACCACACACCCACCACAGTGCCTAGCATTTCAATAAGGGTGCTAAGTAGATGTGATTTCTCTCTAAGCTAGAAGGGGTTCTGTAGGAGTGCTGGACCACACACGAGGCTGGCTCAGGCATGCTTTTGCATTTGTGAGGCAGAGACAGCAGATGGCACAGCGCAGGGCAAGGCAGGGCAGACACGTGGTTCTAGTGGCTTAGCAGCAGGCAGCTCCCCTTGCCGAATCTCGGATCTCTATGTGGTTTGTGAAGGGACTGAGGCAGGAGGGGGAGGCTAGGGCAGAATTGTAAGAGCTTTGCCTTCAGCAACTAAAGAAACGACACC
The DNA here is from genome assembly GCF_000001405.40 of Homo sapiens. Taxonomy (NCBI): domain Eukaryota; kingdom Metazoa; phylum Chordata; class Mammalia; order Primates; family Hominidae; genus Homo; species Homo sapiens. The sequence goes on along the minus strand of NC_000015.10, from coordinate 83,372,621 downwards.
TCAATTAGAAAGAACTGTCTGGAATGTAGAAAGGTCAGGAACTTTGGGCGAAAGTAGTCGAGTCATTTTGGAATTTATAGTTGAAGCAAGTGCAGCCTGGGTTGGGTAGGGGAGGTTTCTGAGTGAAGCATAACTAGGCTTGAATCCCAGCTTGACCAGTTAGCTGAGGGAGGGTGAGTGTCGGTTGCCTTATTGGAGGAGAGAGAATAATAACACCTACCCTGGGGACTGTGATGAGATTGTGCAGACAAGGCACCTTGCTCAGTAGCATCTATCACTCTCAGGCAACAGTAGGTCAGGAATCCCTCGGGTCAGGAAAGCAGAATGCCAAACACTTTGGAGAAAACACAGGCTTAACCATGGCTTTACCTAAGGGAAAATATTTCTTGAAAAAGGAAATCCTGGAGGTAACATTTTGAATAATGCAAGTTAGTACCAAGTTAGGAAAGCCATATGGGAAGTTCTCTCATTAGCTCAGGTATTAAAAGCCCATGTCCCACAGATGGAAGGAGGTCACATTTCTTCTTCTTTACCACTCTACCATCTTCCAACTTGCCCTCTACCCTTCTTCCCCATTCAACTACCATCCCACCTCTCCCCTTACCTTGTTCAGTGACGTTTATTCAGTGTCTACACTGTCTACACTCACCTGCCACTTAATCCCGCCTCAACCAATCCGCCCACTCCCCCACCCCTCTAAGGCTGCCCTTGCCAAGGTCACACAGGGACCCACAGCCTCTCCATACATACTTCTTACCTTCTCTGGCCTGGGCAGCATTTCTGTTCAGTTCAGAAAACATTTATTATATACCTGCCCTGTTCAGGGCACAGGGAATCCTCAGGTGACTGTCTTCCTCTTTCTTTTGTTTTGTTTTTTGTCTTTCTTTGAGACGGAGTCTCGCTCTGTTGCCCAGGCTGGAGTGCAGTGGCGCGATCTCGGCTCATTGCAACCTCCGCCTCCTGGGGTCCAAGCAATTCTCCTGCCTCAGCCTCCTGAGTAGCTAGGATTACAAGCACCCGCCATCATGCGCGGCTAATTTTTGTATTTTTTTGTAGAGATGGGGTTTCACCATGTCAGCTAGGCTGGTCTTGAACTCCTGACCTCAGGTGATCCGCCCGCCTCAGCCTCCCAAAGTGCTGGGATTATAGGCATGAGCCACTGCGCCCGGCCCACTTCTTTTTTCTTAAAATTCCCTTGGCTCTTGACTTTTACAGCACTTTCCTTTCTTTCTCCCCTCTCTTCTGCGGGTTCATCTTGCCCAGTCACTCTTTAGGTGGACTTCCATCCTGACTCCCTTCTAATCCCAATTAACAGACTCTTTCCAAGAAAGTTCACCATCAAATCCAGCCCAGATCTCTCTCCTCAGCTGTTGACCCTCATTTCCTGCTTCCAAGGGACATTTTCAACTGAGATCAAGGGCACCTCAGATTCCACTTGTCCGATTTCACAGGCCCGCTGGTCTCACCACACTCTCTCATAGGTTTGGTGGGTTTTAGAGCTGTTTTCCTAAGGCCTGGGAGACCTAGGGCAATCTCCTGCTCTCTGCTCCCCGCTCCCCAGCCTCCCAGCCCCCTTGCCTGCTGCCCTTGTTGTCTAGAACAGGCTTCCTCCCTCTTAAACTGGCTCCTATTTGCCATCCTCTTGGGCCTCCTCGTGGAAGGCCCCTCAAAATTAGCTGGTTGGCTTGTTAGAAATGAAGGTTTCTTAGTACCCACCTTGAACATCTTTTCAAATTTTGAGAGGGAAGGCCCTGTTTGTACATTTTTACGAAGCTCCCCAGGTAATGACAATGCCCTCTCAAGTTGAGAACAAGAGAAAAAAGAGAGGATACATTCTAGATGAATTACAAGCACCAGTGGGTAGGATTTAACAATTGTCTGGATACAGAATGTGAGGGAGAGGGAAGAAAGAGAAGCCCTCCAGAATTTGAGACTGGGAGGATGACATACCAGTGAGTGAACTATAGGAGCCCTAAAATGATTTTTTGTGGGTGAAGACATTAAATTCGGTTGTTTTACCTTCAGTTTGCCACGCTAAGGAGACCTGAGTAGAAAATGAATGAAAAACATTGCCAAGGTCCTTTCTGAAATTACTTGTGTAAATTCAAAACTATCTTTTATTGTTTTCCTTCGCCTAATGTTAAAACCCAAGTTGTAAACCCAAATGAAGGGATAATACAAATGATCTTAAAGTAGACAGATCTGTGTCAGTGTTGACTAGCAAAAGGGGAGAATACCTGGAATTGAATTAAAGCATGAGCTGTAAAAGAAGCTGCTTAATTAGAGCTCAAACTTATCAGCACATCTCTTTCTCCAAGTATTTTCTAAAACAATTATCCTAATTTATGTTTTTGAATTGCAAAAGGAATAGGTACCCCTGAACTCTCACCTGCCACTTTCCAAAAAAAAATTAAGTCTTCTTGGAGAGTCTCTTGAAAATGCTGTCTTGTATTGGCACAGATGTTTATTTGTATTTTAAAATAAGACAACACAATGTATTGATAAAATCTACCTCTACAGAATCAATGCCATGGTCACTGAAATGCAAGATTAAAGAAAAAGTGTGTTTCCTAATTGTTTATACTATAAAGTTAATCCATTGAAATCTGAACCCTAAAATTATAGTTCAGTCTTAACACGATCTAGCAATATAGAAAATTATAACTGAATACAAGGTTTAAAGTTACGAAAGAGAATTAGAAATATAGCAACTGAACCACTGATGATTAAAGAAAACTCTATTGTAAAGACCCAACACTAAGTGTTTCATGTTAACATTTGCTATTTCAAGACTTGTGCTTTTATAGATACGAAAGTATTTAAATTTGCTGTTATATTCTTTATGGCCTTAAATCAGCAAAGCCCAAGCTTCTCCATGACCAGAACCAAATGTTATTTTCTAAAGAAAAGAGCTGCAGGATCAGGGAGGTGTCAAGCAATTCATCAGAAGGAGGAGGACAAGAAGCCAAGACAAACCTTGACTCTTTAGGGCATAGTGCATACTTAACCCTTTATCATAAAATATAAACACTTTTTTTAATGGAAAGAACATTTCTGAATTCATGTTTTCTTCTCAGTTTAAAGATAATTTGAAGTCCTAAATTCAAGTTTAATAACCAGAGATAGAACAGATCATTAGAGCTAGCAATCAATTGCAGGGTCCTCCTTTACAGATGAAGAGTGTGGGATGGGGCAACAGTGAGCCCAGGTCAGTGGCAGAGCTAGGAGCACCTCCCGGGGTCCCAGCGCCCTCCCGCATGTGAGCTCCCACATGTGAGGCCATCATCTGGAGCCTTCTACTTCCACGCATACTTTTTTTTTTTTTTTTTTTGAGACAGAGTCTCTCTCCTTTGCCCAAGCTGGAGTGCAGTGGCACGATCTCAGCTCACTGCAACCTTCGCCTCCCGGATTCAAGTGATTCTTCTACCTCAGCCTCCCGAGTAGCTGGGATTACAGGCGTGTACCACCACACCCAGCTAATTTTTGTATTTTTAGTAGAGATGGGGTTTCACCATGTTGGTCAGGCTGGTCTCGAACTCCTGAGCTCAGGCAATCTGCCTACCTTGGCTTCCCAAAGTGCTAGGATTACAGGAATGAGCCACCATGCCCGGCCTCCACGCATACTTTTAAACTGAATAAAAGCAGTGCTTCTCATTCTTAAGGTCTCCAATGGACACCATCAGAATTAACTTTAACACGTGTCCAAATCCTGGAAATAAAATATAGATGGTAAATTTTGCTCAATCAAAAATTTTGCTCAATCAAAATTTTAATTTTTTAAAGCTAAAACATTCTTCTCATGACTGAACAATTTTCATTTTGAAAAGTTCAGTTGTGTATGTGTGAGTTCATGATGTCATAATGGAGATTGGGTTCAATTCAATAAAGAGATATGAAAGACCTATGTATTGGCCCCATTCTAGAGACGGTGGAGGGCAGAGAGAAATGACATGGAACTAACCTTAAGGAATGCACTATCTAGCCAGGAGACAGACATACAGCCAAATATGTAAGACGGTGGGATAACTCTAGCGGAACAGTTGTGTGCTGGAACCAGCTAGCCAGAGCCCATCTCTGTAGTGAGTGTGCATCTCTTCCCAAGTCTGCTTTTAGCGTCTTCACATTCATGGCTTGAAGGTGGCCATGGTGGGAGTATTTACACCACAGAAATCAGCAAATGCTATGCATCAGGGCCCTAGGAAGGCCAATTATGAAACACCAGCATATGACAGGATAGAAGATGTCAGAGAAAAGGTGCGTTTTGCAGAATGGAAATCTCAGTTTGGCGAGAGCTTTGGATGGAGGAGTAGGCAGTAAGACGAAGGGATGCCAGCTAGAAGGAATACATATATAGAGGCATAGCATGCTTAGGAAAAAAAAGTAGATCAGTGGCTCTCAAACTTAAATGTCCATCAACATCACCTGCAGGACTTGTTAAAACACAAATTGCTGGGCGCTGCCCCCCAGAGTTTCTGATTTAATAAATCTGGGGTAGGGACTGAGGATTTGCATTTCTAACAAGTTCTCAGGTGATACTAATGCTGCTGGTTTGGAGGGCCCCACTTTAAGAACCAACAGAAGTAGATGATGGAATACTCCATGCCATGCCAAAAAAAAAAAAAAAGAACCTGGGATTTTCTCTAGCTCCTCACCTTTTAAAATGTGTTCCAGGGGCCAGCAGCATCAGCATTTCTGGGAGCTTATTATAAAAGCAGACTCTCAGGCCCCCACCTCAGACTTGTTGACTCAGAATCTACAGTTTAACCAGATCACCAGGTGATCGTTATGTGTGTAAAAGTTTGATAAGCACTGCTCTATCAAGCCCACTGGTTCCCAGCCCGGGCCTGCACATTAGAATCCCCTGGAGAGGCTTTTCAAATGTACTTGTGCCCAGGTCCCACTGTAATGCACTTGATTTAGGATTGCGCCAGGGCATGGGTATGGTTTCAGAGCTCCCCAGGTGATAGTAATGTGCAACCAGGGCTGAGAACCACCGCTATAGGCATCACCCTCAGTTAGGAGAAGAGCTCCCCATCAGGGCACTGTAGTGAACATTCTGTGATGGAAGTTCGAAAGAGCAGCCAAAAGCTGCAAAGCCATCACTGCCTGCTGAGAACAGAACTGGAGCAGGGGCAGGCAGATTACTCTCTTTCATGCTTCTCCCCTCTCACCTCACAAATCTCTCTTCCTTTTGCTTGCCTTTGACCTCCTATTCTTTTAGTTTCTCTTTCGCTCTCCCTTAATGATTATATAATATTAGTTAATTTAAAAATTGGTTATAATTATATAACTATATAGCTAATTATATAACTATATATTAATTATATAGTAGTTAATATAAAAACACTTTCCACATGAGCATATCATTTTAGTATGTAAAACACTGAAATGTATATAGTCGACCCTTGAACAACATGTCCACTTATAGGCAGATTTTCTTCTGCCTCTGCCACCCCTGAGACAGCAAGGCCAACCCCTTCTCTTCCTCCTCCTCCTCAGCCTACTCAGCGTGAAGATGACGAGGATGAAGGCTTGCCTTTTTGATGATCCACTTCCCCTTAATGAACAGTAAATATATTTTCTCTTCCTTATGATTTTCTTAATAACATTTCATTTTCTCTAGCTTACTTTATTGTAAAAATATGGTATATAATACATATAACACACATCATATGTGTTAATCAACTGTTTCTGTTATCAGGCTTCAGGTCAACAGTAGTTAAGTTTTGGGAAAGTCAAAGATTAAACCTGAATTTTCAACTGCATGGAAGTAGGTGTCCCGAACCCACAAGTTATTCAAGGGTCAACTGTATTTAGTTTTAACATATGGAATGTTATTAGATAATGTGAAAAGGAGATAGCTTAAAAGCCCTTGTATTCTGAAAGCTACGTGGCTTTCATGTGCCATTTTAATAACAAGTAAATTGAATGTTTTGGATTTCTGTCTCTGAAACAAAACCAATACAACTACTAGTTGAGAAGCTTTGTATTTGCATATGGCCCTTGACAGACCCGCCACCACCCCCATCCCCAGACACACACCTCAGAATTTGACCCTAATCGAAGTTCTCACCCTATTTTAGGGCACGTGTCTATGCAGTGTGTACTATGAGAGCACACTTAGTGCAGTTAGATTATGTAGTCTTCTGGGACAGTTTGGCCATTCTAAGGGGCTTTGCCATACAATAAAAGCCATTAGCACTGAACTTCAAAGACATTAGGCTAAGTGAAAGAAACCAGACACAAAAGACTACCTATTGTATGATTCCATTTGTATAAAATGCCCAGAAAAGGCATACCTATAGAGACAGAAGGTAAATTAGCGGTTACCTGGGGTGGGAGAGAGAAATAACTGCAAATGGACACTGCGGGTTTTTGGTGGGGGGAGGGGATAGAAATGTTCTAAAATTAGATTATTCCTATTGTGGCACAATTCTATAAATATATTCAAAAACTATCTAATTGTACTGGTAAAATAGATGCATTCATTGATATGTAAATTATACCTCAATAAAGCTACTTAAAAATAGCAAATAACTAAAAAATTAGCACTAAATATTTCTCCACCTTAAAATAAGTTCTTTCACCCTCGTCCTTTTCTAGTAATATCCGGTGAAGACGAAGGAGCAAAATGGTTTTAAGGCAGACTCACTTATTTAAGAGAAGTATATATTCCCATTGCCGGTGGTTTGATACCATTTTTATTTGCTTTCAAGTACACTGAGGTCTGGCAAGGCAAGGAAAGGAGGGAGAAGGGGGAAAAAAGGAGGAAAGTTTGAAAAGAAATAAAAGCTATCGAACTTTTTTTTTTTTTTTTGAGACGGAGTTTCGCTCTTGAACCTGGGAGGCGGACGTTTTTAAAAACAGCTGCCTGGAGAAGCGGCCGGACGCAGGGGAAGGCTGCGCTGCCGGAAAGGGTTAACCCCGCGGGCGCCGACATCTGGCAGGAGCGAGGGCGTTGGCAGAGCCCGGTCCGCCCGTACCAGTCTGTACAGGGGAACTGTCCCGCCTGCTGATTTATCATTCCCTAATGTCACGGGGATGGGATGTTGAAATTGTGGCTAGAATGTGAAATACGAAAAACACGAAGATTATGATTTAGCGTCTGGGGAAGATCAGCGTTAGCCTGCAGAACAGCTTGTAAACGGGAGGCATCCTTGGCCCTAGCTTGTGGTTTTTGACTCCAACACTCAAGCTGGGGATCTGGGCGGGCAGAGCTTTCTTGGGTTAGAGCAGACAGGCAAAAGTGGAATTAATAAGAGCAAAACCACTTCTGTGCTGCTATGGGGATAGTGCGGGCGAGCGCCAGGAGGACCAAAGTAAATTTTAATTAAACAGAGACCTGATGTTGAAGGATAAATAAAACAACGTGGGGTGTAAACAGCTTAAATCAGGGATTCAAATGACACCTGCGGGTGTCTAGACATGAGGTGCATCCTGATAATTTATAGTCTCGGAGAAGATGCAGATGAGTAGGATAATATCTGCAAATTTTGCTCCTTAAAAGAAGTAATAGCTTGAATTTTAAGGAGGTACTAAATAAGGGAACTAAGTGGGAGAATGATTTTAACAGTTATCCGTGGAGGAAAAGGGGTTAGCAAAGAAACACAAAACTACATGTGTGTAAATCTTGCATTAAAAAAAGTAAAAGATCAATGCTTTGTGTGATTTCTTGCTTCCCTCCAAGGATTTACATAGTGTGTTGAAGTTTTTCTTTTCTTTCTTTCTTTTTTTTTTTTTTTTTTTTGCATTTCCATCTTTCAGCATGCCCCTATTTACAGGGAAAAATGCAGTTTCCACATTGTTTGTTGGTTATCAAAATAAGCGTTGACAACCGCTCCCTCAATGCTTACAGTTTGTTTTAATTACTTCCTGTCATACCAAATGCATCTACCATATGGATTTTAAGAATTGGCCTCAAGACATGGGCGTGCTGTGTTGAAAGTTAAATAGGACAGCTTGACTACTGAATCTTGAGGTTCATTCATTTGTTCATTTATTTATTCATCCAGAAAAACTACTGCCCCAGGCACTGTACAGAAATGAACAAGTCTGCCTGCCTTCACAAAGCACGCTATCTGCTCAATGGGATGATATGAAAAGTGTGTGTGTCTGTGTGTCTGTGTGTGTGTGTGTGTAGCTGATAGCCAGCTAGAGTACTGAGTCCATTTTGCAACAATAGGTGGAAATATATATAAAGGAGTTATTTTTCTGTCCAGCAATATCGGGCAGTGGAACTTTGCCAGAATTCAGTACTTCAGATAACTGAGGATAATCATTCTTAAGAACCAATTAAAAATTGTAAAAGAATGTTTGCTGGGAATCACTCTAAAATATAGCACTTACTCCTCTGCCTTCCTTTCATTTGGTCATGATGACCCTTGACTACAGTTGCTTTGATACAGGGAGTCAGGGGCCTGGGAGGTTTTTGTTTACTTGTGTGTTTATTGTATGTCACAGTTTCATCCTTATTGTTGTGTGATTTGGGGCCATTAACCTCGCTAACTGTGCTTCTTCATCTGTAAAAGGAGGGGGTGGACTTCACTAGAAGTTCTTTAAAGGCCTGTTCTAGTTTTGATGTTTGTTGCTTACCTTGTGCCATCAGTAAAGTCCCAGTGCCTTTACACCGTGGAAGGTATCGCGCCCCTTTGGAAAACGCCCCTAGTATGTGATGACATGGGACCCTTGTTAGGATCAAGGCTGTGCTTGTTAGAATTGTGTCCAAGGTACCTGTAAGCATGTTCTGAGGGAGGCTGTGTGAAGCTCTTGGAGGTTTCCAGGTCATGAACTCGACGGCCGTTGTGAACTTGTTAGGATGCTCACAGGCTTCTTTTTTTGTTTGTTTGTTTCTCTCTCGCTCCTATTTATTTATTTGGCTTATTTTTGCTTTCGGTCATAGTCTGGAAAATTGAGGTCACTTTAAACCTTATCCCTAGATAAATGGGGTATAACTAGACATATACACCTTCCAGTTGTGCTATTACAAGGCAGAGGGAAATTTTTCCTACTGTGCATCTCTAAATTTCCAGAACAATGGCACAAAATACATTCCACTTTTCTGTGGGTCAGTTTAAGTTAGCTTCTTCTCTAAAACTGCTATCAAGGAATTCAGCAAACATTTATTAAGTAGGCACCTTCTCTGCTCCAGCCCTGGGAGAGTTGCTGAAAATAAGAGAGATGAAAAGCCTGGTCCCTAACAGGGTGAAGTTCCCTGGTATATGCAGCTCACTGGCATAATGTCATGACACAGCTCTGCATGGCCCGCTGGTCCCACCACACTCTCTCATGGGTTTGTAATTCAGATGCATTTGTATGTTTTGCCCCAGATAAAGACCTAAAAAGTGCAAGTGAAATCCCACTGTTCTGTTAAAATAGAAAACGTTTGATGTCGCCTATATTTATGCCTTTTCCAGATATTTTATAATTAAAGGGTTATTGTTATTTGCTATCATAACAATATGATGTAATACATGATTATTGTGGAAATCTTGGAAAATACAGAAAACTTGAAAAAAGGGAATACAAATCTGCATGAGTTGCCCCACTTAGAGGCAACTACTGGCAACATTCTGGCCTATTTCCTTCAGGTCTATATTCTTACTTACTGAGGCACTATGCTAGTGACACTGCAATGAATGACTGCATCCTCCTCTCAGAGCTCACAGCTTAGAGACCTTGTGTTAAGTGTGATGACCTGGAAGTACAAAAAGTAAGTAGGAGGGACTTGACCTCGGGGCACTTCCGTGGACTCTGGGTTTAGGAAAGGGTTTCCAGAGGGAGAGACATTTAAGTTGAGACCTCAGGGCACTTCCATGGACTCTGGGTTTAGGGAAGGGTTTTAAATTGAGGGAGGGACATTTAAATTTATACCTAAAGAATCAAGGGAAGTTGTCCAGGAGATGGAAAGGGTGGCAATGGGGGGAAGGTGTGAGTGAAACGTGGCTTTGGGGTGACTGGAGGGCAGAGGGCAGGGGCCTCGAGGAGGAGGAGTGATAAGAGATGGTGCTGCGGAGGTAAGCCAGGCCCCAGGCAGGGAGCTTATCAACCCAGTTATTAATATTCTGTAGCAACAACTTTGGGTCCTGAGTCTTTCTGGTTTTATTTCATTTTAGATTCTGCACTTCATACCATAGCATAAGCTTGTTTCATAATAATATAAATTATTTTAATGGATATATAATATTCCCCCAATGCATGAGGCGTCATTGACTTAACTGTGCCCCTTTTGTTGAATATGAATCTTCCAAGAATTTAAAACAAAAAAAAGAGTGTTTTTTTTTTTTTTTTTGGGCTTCACATTCCACTCCCCTTATAGTTCTCCATGGTCTCCAGGTAATGGTAAAACTGGAACATTCTAAGCAAGATAGATATATTCATGCTCTTTTACCCCAAATCAGAATTTCGACTATCAACCAGAATCCACTGCCTCATGACTCCTGGCAGCAGCTGTTAAATTCCCTTCCAGAAGTAGAATCAACACAGCTTTCATTTCTTCCTCTAAGCAACCCACTCCTGCATCCAAAGAAAGATAAATGCACAGAACCAGTTTCTAGGTAGTACCAAGTCCCCTCTTCCTTCCTCCACTGGTCTCCCCCTCCTCCCCTTACTCTAAAAAAAAAAAAAAAACAAAACTAGGATCAGAATCAGTTGACAAAATATCAACCTTTTATTAAATAAAACACTTTAGAAGAAAGAATCATCGCAGACAAAAATCGTGTATGACAAAACACACTCTTTCATCCCTCTTAACCCAGGAAAGTTACAAGCACTCATTCATACCTTCATTCATTCGTTTATTCAACAAGTACTTACTTGGTGTTAGGCCACCCTCTGAGTATAGAGTAAGGGCCAAAACCAACCTGGCTGCTGCCTTGCAGACCCTACAGCTGAGAAAAGAGTCTGACGTTCCACAAATAAACATATCAGCAAGCATTTTATGACCTACGGTGGTAGGTGGTGCTATGAAGGTAAACAGATGTGAAGGAAAAAGCATAGCAAATCTAAGGAATTGGAAGGAGGCTGTGGCTGCGCACAATGAGAGAGTGGGAGAATGTTGTCAAATGAGCAAAAAAGTTTTCTCATTTTTTTTCCTCTTTCTCCTTAACATAGCCATAGAACGTCCTGTGGGAGATGGAGTATTTCTGCCCATTTGGAAACTAAAATGTTCATCTTCAGATTGGGTGGGCTTGGCAGTGGGGCAGGGGAACACTTCATGTCACCTTCGATTTCTTCAGCCTCCTATTTCCTTTGGTCTTTAAGGCCCTGAGGGTCAGTAGCCTGGTTATGAAGGCAGCTCTCAGGAAAATTAAAATACTAAAAGCACACATGAATGAAGAAGTTATGTTTATGTAGGTGCCATTTATGTACAGCTCATTGGTTTCCCTTCTGTTGGTTGTTCTTTAAAAGTATATTGTGAAGATAGAATGTTATTGTGAGCACAGTTGTTAATATTAATGTTATATTTGTATTAGTTTGTTCTCACGCTGCTATAAGGACAGGCCCGAGACAAACCCCGGTAATTTATAAAGAAAAGAGGTTTAATTGACTCACAGTTCTGCATGGCTGGGGAGGCCTCAGGAAACTTTCAGTCATGGCAGAATGCACCTCTTCATAGGGCAGCAGGAGAGGGAAGAAGGCACCTCTTCACAGGACAGCAGGAGAGAGAATGAGAGCAGAGTGAAGGGGGAAGCCCCTTATTAAACCATTGGATCTCATGAGAACTCGGTTACTATCATGAGAACAGCATCAGGGAAACTGCCCCGATGATTCAATTACCTCCTACCGGGTCCCTCCCATGACATGTGGGGGATTATAGGATTACAATTCAAGATGAGATTTGGATGGGGACACAAAGCTGAATCACATCAATATCCAACACCTGCAGATTCTCAGGGAAGTAAGATTACCTTTAGACTATATTATTGATGTACTCTGCCTAACCAAAGCAGTTGGAACTCTTTTGGTTACAAGTGACAGAAAACCCAACTCAAGTTGGATTAAGCAAAGAGGGAATTTGCTGGCTCATGTGACTGGATAGTCCTGGGCTAGGGTTAAGTGTCAGGCACAACTCAATGTGGGGGTCAAACGATATTATTAGTACTCAGCACAGCTCTGTTCTTCCCATGTGTTGACTGTTCTCAGACAGTATCTCCCCTCGGGGTCAGAAGGTAGCTGCTGCAGCTCAGCTTTAAATCCCGTAGTGAAAAGGGAGCTGAAGACAACCAATGCCCACCCCGGGAGCTGGGAGGTGAGGGGTGGAAGGAAATCCACCCAGTGCATATGGCTGAGGGTGACGGAGGCAAGGGCCCTGCAGAAAATGCAAGGTATTGAACTTTTTTTTTTTTGAGACGGAGTCTCGCTCTGTCGCCCAGGCTGGAGTGCAGTGGCCCGCGGCTCACTGCAAGGTCCGCCTCCCGGGTTCACGCCATTCTCCTGCCTCAGCCTCCCGAGTAGCTGGGACTACAGGCGCCCGCCACCAGGACCGGCTAATTTTTCGTATTTTTTTAGTAGAGACGGGGTTTCACCGTGTTAGCCAGGATGGTCTCGATCTCCTGACCTCGTGATTCACCCGCCTCGGCCTCCTAAAGTGCCGGGATTACAGGCGTGAGCCACCGTGCCCGGCTTGAACTTTTCTTCTTAAGAAGAAAGGTAAATCCGTCTAAGACTCCTCCTGCCCCCTAAAAAAAAATCACTATACCTCAAACCTAAAGTCTGATAGGACCCATTTGTTACTTGATAGAAGAGAAACTCAAGAGAATGGGCCTTTGTTACTTTCTCAGGAAGCTGAGTTGCAAGTTGAATGTGGGCATCCTCCTTTCATTTTGTACCACTTATTTTCAACCTAACAGAATTTCCTTGAAATGTTCTGATATTTGCTGGGCACCCTTACCCAGCTACCAGTACCAATCCAGACTTACCCTATTTTTATGTATCTCCTATCATTTCATTTAGACTGGGAAGGAAGGGCCATGTCACCCTAAAAACTGAGTCTACCGTTTTTCGCTCATTCAACTTTGAAACACAGCTTGTCTTCCTGTTTGCAGTTGTGAGGGAGCAAGAAATGTAAAATTTTTTGCAAAACGTTTCAAATACTGGAGACTCACTAACATCCCATTTCTGGCAACACCTAGCGGAAAGGAGGACGCAGTAATGAGCAAAACCGTCCTGGGGAAAAGAGCACAGGAGATGAAGTGTAAGTCGTTACTCCTCGGTGATGCAGGGTCCAAGCAAGTCAGGGCTTCTGAGGGAGGCTGCTGCCAAGGGCTCTGACTTGCCTGCCCCGTGGGCCAAGGCTTGCCTTAGCCACAATAGTTTACTATGCCCAGACAAAAAAGGAAATTCATGAACAGAGAGCATGTCAAGTGTATGGCCACTGCCAAGAAAGAGAGCCAGAATCTCCCGGTCGGGCTTTTCCTTGGCCTTTCCGCTTTCACAAGGGTGGAGCCGGGCCAGGTGAACCAACCTGAGCACCTCTGGTACAAGCCTGCGGCTTGCTTGGGAAAGTGAGTGCTTGCAAGGGCTGTTTATGGCTCCTCAGCCTGAATGAGGATGCCCATTGTCACAGAGCTGTGTGTATGCTGTGTGTCTGCCCATCCAGGTTTGCGGGCAGAAGACATGCATGCCTTCCTTGGAGGGTGTGGAGGCTGGATGTGGCTTTCTCCAAACTGTTTTACCTTATTTTTTCCTGTGATGCCCGTCTGCATAGCATCTGCCCTTTTACTTCAAGAAGCTTGCTGGAGAAGATACTAAGGGGCCACATAACGAGGGTGGAGCCACACAGTGTCACTTAGAGCTTAAGGACAGTCAGCACCTCTGGGCTTAGACTAGACAGAACCCATTTATGTGATATGACAGAAGAGAAACTCATGGTATAGAAGGTCTTTGCTACTTTCTCAGGAAGTTGAGCATCTTCCTTTCCTTTCGTGCCAAATTCAACTTAATTTATGAATTTGGCCGAGCCTGACCCCTTACCATACCTTGCCCACTTTCAGGCAGACCATGCACCAACATGGGGAGGCAGGCACTGGAATACAGAAATGTTTGCTGAGGCCGTTTGATGTGCAGGAACATCCAAAGGATAAGCCTGGGGCCCTGATTCCTTTGCTAACTAGGTGGGTGGCATTGGGTGACTTTCTTTCCCTCTATGGGCCACATTCTCTTCAATAGTAAAATACGTAACGGTCAAAATGATTTTCATGGCCTGTATAATTCTGACATGCTAAGACAGGACAGTGCATAAAAACTCACAGTTACCTAAATCACCGTTCTAAGAGGAAACGGGAAAATGCTTGACCATTGGAAGTTCTCTTTCTCCCCCACCCAGGGCCATTGCACAATGCTAGAAGTGATGTCTGTCTCCCATGATAGAGTGAGCACCTCCCTGATGGGGCTGGGCATGGCATAGGGCTGCACATCAGCATGGAGGCCTGGGCTCCCTTTGTACTGGCAAAACACCCAAGGTTCGCTTGGATTCAGGGACCATCCCTAACCTGTCACCATGTGGGAGGTACCACATGGAAGACACAGAGATATAGAAAATACAGTCTCCACCCTCAGGATTTCTAGCTAATCTGAGCTTCTTCTAGTTATTCAATGCTTCTCCTTTTTCTTGTTTACTTCTAAGCTTTGCACATGCTGTGGTCTCAGCCTGAAATGCTCTCTTTGTTGCCCTGTTACTAGGACTGCTATGTACAGCTGTGCAAGTTTCATGCTGCATAATTCTAGATCTGTTTATATAAATGTATATGGTGCCCTCAGAGATGTGTAGTGTACAACTTATACAACTGCACAGCATGGCTCTAACTGCCACCTCCACCCCATTTCCCCTATCTGGGTGTAGCTCATACTCATCTGTTTTCAGCTTAGTTATTACCTTTCATTTCCTTCTGACCATATTCCTTTCTTCCTTCTCTCCCTCTCTTTCTTCCTGTCTCTCACATGTATTGACCACCTACTTTGTGCCAGGACCTGTGCTAGGAGCTGGGTATACAACTGTAACAAAAGAGAGTCCCTGCTCTTGTGAAACATTTATATTGTTCCCCTTCCAGGAAGCCTTCCCTGACTGCACCATAATTGTATCAGGTGCCTGCTGACTGACCAATGAACAGCTCTCACCTGCGGACCTTGTGCCCTAGAATATAGGGCCTCTGGTCTGAAGGAAATCTGAGGGTAGGAGGGCCTGGGGGAGACTGAGCTGGAGCTCAATTCCTTCCAGTTTCCTGTCCTTAGGAGTGCCCTGGGGCATTTATGAAGCTCATTAGTAAAGTATCAATTAATGTGGGGCCCAGAGCGTGGCTTCTTCCTGCCAGGGAGGCCACAAAGTTCCAGAACGTCCCAGGGAGGAATGGGGCACCACCCAGGCCTGCCTCCTGGGGCTGCAAAACAATCCCTAATGAGTCCTCTCCAGGGGAGGGTGAAGTCACCTGCAAGGAGGCAGCTGAGCCGAAGGTGTTCTCCAGGAGGCTTAAAATAGCCGGGCTCCCTCCACAAATGCCTTCCCAACACTGTTTAGGATGGCGAATGCCAGGAAACTAATGAATCTGAGCTTAGTGAATTAATTGTTGATGAAATAATGTGAATAGTGTGCTTCCTGTTCATCAGTCTGTACAGAAATTAATTAGCCCCACTTGGCAGCAAACAGGATCGAATTTTCAACTTAATTTATGAATTTGGCCAAACTTTCTATGGGAAATCTTGCCTGGAGGACCTTCCATGGCTGCTTCATGTCCCAACAGGCCTTGCCTTTCATAGAAGACATGATTGCTTTAAGAGAGTCCCAACCAGAGAAGAGGACGGTGGAGGAGGGAAGAGGGGAAGGTACAACTGAACAGAGGCTTTGATTGTGAGGCTCCAGCCAGACCCACGCTTCCTCCTGCCTTCCTGCCTCAACCCTCCCCGGTGGACCCCTCACCAGATGAAGGTCTGTTAGCTGAGCTGGGGGATGATGACTCAGAGGAACGGGGCTGACTTTCAGGCAAGGCCTGAGTTTGGTTTTAATTATGCTGCGCTGTGTGCATGAACTAAAATTGCGGGATGATGTGAAAGAAAAATAAATCTAATGAGAAGTGTATTTTTTGGACTATTTTTAAATTGAGTTTGGGGGCGGGGGGGGCATCTTCTTGGGTCTGGAGAGACTAATGTGAGGAATCGGCTCCTATGGGGCATGAATTAGGGCCTTGATCCTATATGCCCCTGAGTGGAACCCAGAAGAGATGCTGGCTGTCGTGAGTGAGCAGTCAGCCTTTGTCACCATGCAGGTCAGCCTCTCTGACTGCAGGTAGTGTGTTCAGGAATCCCAATCAGACTTCTCTGCTGGGCAGTCGAGAATCCCATGTAGGCCGGGCGCGGTGGCTCACACCTGTAATCCCAGCACTTTGGGAGGCTGAGGCGGGTGGATCACCTGAGGTCAGGGGTTCGAGACCAGCCTGGCCAATGTGGTGAAACCTCGTCTCTAATAAAAATACAAAAATTAGCTGGGCGTGGTGGCGGGCGCCTGTAATCCCAGCTACTCAGGGGGACCAAGACAGGAGAATCGCTTGAACCCGGGAGGCGGAGGCTGCAGTGAGCCGAGATCGCACCATCACACTCCAGCCTAGGGGATAAGAGCGAGACTTCGTCTCAAAAAAAAAAAAAAAATCCTATGTAAACCACCACTAAGCAGTGACTCCAGCCTCTCCAGTCTTGGAAACACTTATGTGACAGAGTGTGTGAATGCCTGTCTGTGTGGTGTACATGCTTTTTCTTTTTCTTTTTTTTTTTGACGGAATCTCACTCTGTCCCCCAGGCTAGAATGCAGTGGCATAATTACGGCTCATTACAGCCTCAACCTCCCAGGCTGAAGCAATCCTCTCACCTCAGCCTCCTGAAAAACTGGGACCATAGGGACGTGCCACGATGCCCTGCTAATTTTCAAATTTTTTGTAGAGACAAGGTCTTGCTACGTTGCCCAAGCTGGTCTTGAACTCCTGAGCTCAAGCAATTCTCCCACCTTGGCCTCCCAATGTGCTGAGGTTACAGGCATAAGCCACTCCACCCAGCCAGCACGTGCTTTTCTATGTTCCAAAAACACTAGTTTTATCATGGAAAGCCTGTGAACCACTGAGTGAAAATAGGAGGGAAACGAATGATGGAATGTGTTCTAATCTAACCAAAAAGTTCTCACCAGCCTCAAGAGTCAGGATGTGTTCCTACTACTTAGAATCATTTCTTAGAATTTCTACTTAGAATTATTCAGTAATTCTGCTGGGCGTGGTGGCTCACGCCTGTAATCCCAGGACTTTGGGAGGCCGAGACGGGCAGATCACGAGGTCAGGAGATCGAGACCATCCTGGCTAACACGGTGAAACCCCATCTCTACTAAAGTACAAAAAAATTAGCTGGGTGTGGTGGCGGGTGCCTGTAGTCCCAGCTACTCAGGAGGCTGAGGCAGGAGAATGGCGTGAACCCAGGAGGCGGAGCTTGCATGAGCCAAGATCGCACCACTGCACTCCAGCCTGGGCAACAGAGTGAGACTCTGTCTCAAAAAAAAAAGAAGAATTATTCAGTAATTCAACCATTCATTAAGCCTTGAGGATACAGCAGGGAATGTGCCCTTGAAGCTTAGAGTTATTATGAACACAGAAATAAGCTTTCAGTTCTGGTTTCCTATTCTATTAAAACTTAGGCACACGTACCCCCGATTCTAAAATTTTTTTAAAGGTAACACCCCCACAAAACCAATAAATACTAGATAATGGGATATATTGGAAAGAGAACAGGCTGTAGGGATAGGCTGGCTCTTCCCCCTACTAGCTATGTGACCTTGGACAATTTATTTACCCTGTTCTTTGGCAAAATGTTCTTTCTTTTTTTTTTTTTTTTTTTTTTAACAGAGTCTCGCTCTGTCGCCCAGGCTGGAGTGCAGTGGTGTGATCTTGGCTCACTGCAAGCTCCGCCTCCCTGGTTCACACCATTCTCCTGCCTCAGCCTCCCGAGTAGCTGGGACTACAGGCGCCCACCACCACGCCTGGCTAATTTTTTATGTGTTTTTAGTAGAGACGGGGTTTCACCATGTTAGCCAGGATGATCTCGATCTCCTGACCTCATGATCCGCCCGCCTCGGCCTCCCAAAGTACTGGGATTACAGGCATGAGCCACCGCACCAGGCTTACAAAATGTTCCTAATACCACTTAACTGTAAAGTCACAAGGATTAAACAGGATCCTAACCGAAACTGACTGTTTTCTTAGACCAAGGTTACCATAGTTTTCTTGCAAAGGGCCACAGAGTAAATATGTTATACTTGGTAGTCCTGTTGCAACTATTCAACTTCACTGTTACAGCATAAAAGCAGTCATAATACATATACACCATGGAATACTATGCAGCCATTAAAAAGAACGAGATCATGTCCTTTGTAGGGACATGGATGGAGCTGGAGGTCATTATCCTTAGCAAACTAACGCAGGAACAGAAAACCATGTGGTAGCATGTTCTCACTTATAAGTGAGAGCCAAATGATAAGAACACAAGGACACAACAGAGGGGAACAAGACACACTGGGGCCTGTCAGAGGGTGGAGGGTGGGAGGAGGGAGAGGATCAGGAAAAATAACTAATGGGAATTAGGTTTAATACCTGGGTGATGAAATAACTGTACAACAAACCCCCGTGACACAAGTTTACCTATGTAACAAACCTGCACATGTACCCCTGAACTTAAAAAAAATTATAAAAATAAAAGCAGCCATAGAAAATAGATAAATGAATAAGTATGGCTGTGTTCTAATAAAACTTTATTTATGGATGCTGAAAAAAACTTACTTTATCATGGGCTGCATTAATGAACTCTAAGTTCTATATTAGTTTCTGGGGGGGGTTTTTTGGTTTTTGTTTTGAGATGAAGTCTCACTCTGTCACCCAGGCTGGAGCACAGTGGCACAATCTTGGCTCACTGCAACCTCCGCTTTCTAGGTTCAAGCGATTCTTCTGCCTCAGCCTCCCACGTAGCTGGGACTACAGGCTCGCGCCACCACACCCGGCTAATTTTTGTATTTTTTCAGTAGAGACAAGGTTTCGCCATATTGGCCAGGCTGGTCTCGAACTCCTGACCTCGTGATCCGCCCGCCTCAGCCTCCCAAAGTGCTGGGATTACAGGCGTGAGCCACTGGCCCGGCCTAGTTTCTCTTTTTTAATGAAATGCACACTGCCTGACATACATGAACATCATGATTATCTCTCTCACATGCATGGCTATTTAAATTTGTATCTGTACAGATGACGTCAATTTAATCCAAAAAGGTTATCTACTAAAGGGAGCAACTGTTTCATGACAGATAAGGAACAAGAGGAAGCCTATTTGCTCATGACTTTGACGATTTGTAGGTGCCCTTGGGTCCCTGAGAGGAATCTCCTTGCAGGAAATTTGATTCTTACTGAGAACTCAAACCTAGATGCAAGGAAGGACTCTCCTGGGTACCCAGATCTGCTGCCATGGTCAGAAAAAGCATATTAAATGGAGCGTGCTGGAACCGGAGTAGGTGCCTACCTCCTTCCTGTAGGCGTTTGCAGCTGCAACCAGACTACCCTTCCCTTTAGGAATTTGTGATGTTATTACCAGCTCACTCTATGACCTCAGGCTGTGTCTGCCCTTTGTTTACCTTTGTTCTCAAACTGCCAGGTATATAATTCCATGGTTCCCTCAGGTAGCTTCTTGGGAGAAAGTAGATTGCATAAACAAAGGTGTGTATAGCGACGATGGGAGTTGGACCGGCTAGGCAAAGCATTTGATGTGCTAAAGGAACCAAAGCGTGGTCTTCCTTCAGTACAGCTTCCCAGCTAAATTGACAAGTCACTGTTCTGCAACAAATGTCCTTTACTTTCTTTCCCCACCCTCACCCCCATTCCCATGCCTTTACCGACTCAGGTCCTGTTGCCTGAACCTCCATTCCCTGCCTTCTCAGATGAAATGCCTCTCAGGCCCAGCTCACATGCTACCTCAACTCCATGAATGCTGCCTCTATGGTATTCTCTAGAGGTAATTTCTTTCTCCTTTCTGGCACTACATCACTCTCGAAATGCAGCCATTTGCATACTGTCTCACCTACAAATTGCAAAGTCCTCACGAGAAAGACTGTGCATTCTTAATCTTCTTTGTCCTCTATTGTCTTAACACTGAAGAAGGACTCTGTCTTATTTGTTCTGTCTACATCACCCTGGGAATATTTGAGGACAAATTACTGTTTATAGAATATGATGAAATTTAATGAAAGAGGTCTCAATGTTAAGTCTGATTGTGCTGAATATCTAAACATTTTTCTTGACTGAAAGCAAACAAGCAGAGTGATTCTCTTTAGTGCCCTACTGCCCAGAAATGTGACTTAGTAATGTTTCTCTGTCTTCCCTCCCTCCTTCCTCATTCTTTCTGCTGTTTACGTATTACTCCAGCATAGAAAATGGAGACCAGGAGTTGACAATAAGAGCCCAGAGACCAGGGTTCAAATCCCAGCTATGCCTCTTACTAGCTGAGTGATCCTGCACAAGCCATTTAATTTGCCTGGGCTTCAGTTTTTGAACTGTAAATAATGCCATCTGTCTTGCCTATCTCCAGAATGGCTGTGAAAGTTAAGTGAGATGGTGTACATGCAAGTACTTTAAAATGATGCAGTGTTTTCACCGTGTAAAAATCATTGAGCTGTATAGTTAAAACGTGGATGTATATTATATTTTAGTGAAAGGTTCTTTTTTTTTTGTCGCCCAGGCTGCAGGCTGGAGTGCAGTGGCACGATATCGGCTCACTGCCAAGAGCCGCTTCCCGGGTTCACTCCATTCTCCTGCCTCAGCCTCCCGAGTAGCTGGGACTGCAGGCGCCCGCCACCAAGCCCGTTTTTTGTATATTTTTTAGTAGAGACGGGGTTTCACCGTGTTAGCCAGGATGATCTCGATATCCTGACCTCGTGATCCGTCTGTCTCGGCCTCCCAAAGTGCTGGGATTACAGACGTGAACCACCGTGCCCAGCCAGTGAACGGTTCTTTATAGCATTTTGTTCAGACATTTTCAATTGCGTGGCTATTAAACTGATTGCTGAAGAAAAAGGTGAAAGAATGATTTAAAGTTAGCTTTAAGTCATTAATACAGTCTTGAATAGATATTGAGTTTATATGGGAACTAGCCATTTCACTGTACTGCGACAACTCCACATTTTGTTAATTATTACTTCATAAATAAATCTCAGTGTTTTAATTTTACCCTATTCAAATACAATAGAACTACCTTTTGGTAATCTGGGAACTTGTATTTGAAGTCAAATTTAGGAGCTCTTTGTGGAAAAGTATATGATAGAGTAAAGGATGATTTATTATGTTACTCATAAATTTTGTCTTTAAAATAATGCCTGGGATAGACGAGCTATTATAATTGTTTGGTTTTTGTTTGTTTACTGCTATATACTCAGTGCTTTGTACAGTGCCTGAAAAACTGTCCCCATTTATTTGAGAACTAAGGGGTACCCAGAACCCGGGACTTTCAGTGTTAAAGCTGGAAAAGTCCCGGGCAAACTAAGATGATTGGCACATGGAAGATGCTGATATATTCGTGGAAGGAAAGGAGGGAGGAAGGAAGGCAGGCAAGAAATTGGTGAATAAATTTTGGTACTATAGAACCCTCCTTTCCTTGAAATTTTCTAGAACTATATGTCATGTGTGCATATTTTAAATGTTTTAGTATTCATATTTGAAAGCCACTATGCTGCACTTTAAACATCATTACCTGGTAAAATGCCCTCAACAAAGTGGTTACTGTTTGGCAAATATTCCACGACTAGGACCACAGGCAGATGTAAAGATGCGGAAGCTACACACTTTAGACCCAGTTGTCCCAATTCTTTTCTCCTGAATTAAGGATTTAATTACTTAAAAAAAAATTATAAACCAGAGAGAAGATACCTATGTAGACTTTACTGTATCCATGGACAATTAAATTCTAAATGCAGAGTTTTGAGTTTCATGTTGTTCTCCTGGTTAAAGGCATGTAGGGCTGGAAGAGACCTCAGAAACCCCTCCAGCCCCTTCTATTACCAAAGGATAAAGTGAGTCCAGGGTGGGCCAGTGCTGGCCCAGGTCCCCTTGGCAAGTTGGTGGCAAGGCTGGGCTAGGATGATCCTCTGCTTTTCTCTGCAGGGTGCATACCACGTCCCCATATTGCCTCTTCCTTTGATTTTCACTGCACTTGTCCTCCTTGCCTTCAGCCTATGGCGCTTTGGATCAAATTATGAAATCACTTGTCAGATTTGAGGATTTCCTGTGCTTCCAGGGCATGCACACCTACTTCTATTTCAAAACTAGTTGCTCTTACCTAACCCAGCCTCCTAAAAACTCTCCAAAAAATTGGGTACTGTACAGGTCTAATGAGGGTGCCTGAGAATAAGCAATCTAAAAGTATTTTATCCATTAATCTCCAATGACCAGATGTGGGTTTCTACTCCTAATTTGGGGGTAAACACGGATGAATGGGGTCCTACAAATGGGCTGCCCTCTGAACCTGTGACTGATATGACTGTGAAGAGGAACAAATGAAAGTGGAGTGAATATACAGAACAGAGGTGAGAACCAAGCACAATAGAAGAAAGATTAACATAGCAAAACCAACAAGTCTCAAGACAAAAAGATAATGAGCTCAAAATTACAACATGAGTAATGAAATAGTGGACACCACTGTTATGGACTGAAAGTACGTGTCCCCCTAAAATGTATTATGTTGAAGCCCTAACCACCAATGTGTATTTGGAGATGGGCCTTCGGGGAGGTAATTAGGTTTAGATGAGGTCATGAGGGTGGGACCCCAAAGATGGAATTAGTGTCCTCAGAAGAAAATGAAGGGTGGCCAGAGCACCCTCTTTCTCTGCCATTTGAGAACACAGTGACAAGTGTCTGGCTGCAAGCTAGGAAAACAGCCAGACTTTGATTTTGGACTTTCTAGCTTTCAACACTGTGAGAAAATAAAATTTTGTTGTTGAAGCCAATCCACCTGTGGTATTTTCTTACAGCAGCGCAAGCAGACTGATGCAACGATATACACAATTCTTCCAACACCCTGGCCTCTTAGCTCCTTGACTTCTTATTCCCTGTGACCCTGCGTTCTAGCCTACCTAATCACCCACTGCTATCTAAATCACCTGGACCAGGGACTCTCCACCTTGACTGCACATCAGACTCACCTAGAAAGTCTAAAACTCAACACCTGGACATCACCACAGCCCACTGGAATCAGAGTATTTCACAGGGTGGGGCCTGTTATTTAAAAGTTCCCTGGGTGATTCTAGTGTGTGGCCATGATTGAAAAGCACTGCAAACACACTCAAGCAAGTTCAAATCAATAAAATGACAACCTTATATAAAATTAGGCAAAGAAGCCGGCGTGGTGACTCATACCTGTAACCCCAGCACTTTGGGAGGCTGAGGCAAGAGGATCGCTTGAGCCCAGGAGTTCAAGACCACCCTGGGCAACATAGTGGATCCCCATCTCTACAAAAAAATACAAAAATTAGCCAAATGTGGTGGTGTGCGCCTGTAGTCCCAGCTGACTACACTCAGCCAAGTGAGGTTGAGGTGAGAGGATCACCTGAGCCTGGGAGGACGAGGCTGCAGTGAGCTCTGATCTCACCACTGCACTCCAGTCTGGGCAACAGAGCAAGACCCTGCCTCAAAAAATAAAAATAAATTAAAAATTAAAAATAAGCAAAGAATATAAACAAGGAATTTATAGAAGAAATGCAAATGGTTAATAAATGTGTGGGGAAATGTTAATGTTTAACCTCAATAGTGATCAGGGAAATGTAACATTAAATATAGAGCTTTTATATTTCATATATAAATATATACATTTTATAAATATATTTAATATATTGTGCCATTTTAATAATGCAAAAGCCTAGTAATTGTAGAAAGTTCAATAATTGTGGCACATCCACATAATGAAAAATTATTCAGCTACTGATAGAAGGGAGTATAATTGTATGTATTGCCATGGAAAGATACAATATATATCTATACACACATGTATCATATGAGGAATAAAGCAAATCACAGAATAACATCTTCTATAATCTTACTTTTTGTTTTTTTTTTTAGAGATGGGGGTCTCACTACATTGCCCAGGCTAAACTCGAACTCTTGGGCTCAAACGATCCTCCTGCCTCAGGCTCCTGAGTAGCTGGGACTACAGGCACATGCCACCAACCCCAGCTAATCCCATTCTTGGTTAAAAAATGCTCTCATTACATGCGGAGAGACACATAGACTTATATAAGCATAGAAGACTGTCTTAAAAATCCTTTAATAGTAATTACCTTTAGGGAGTTGGAAAGGAAAGTGGGGACTTTCACATTTTGCTTTGTATTTTGTGACTGTTTTTACAATAAACAAGCATATGCTATTTTTGTAGTGTAAATAGTCTGCTGTGAGCTCAAACAGAAGCTTTACAGAAAAAAGCTTTCTGTGCCAGAAGGTTGGGGCCATTTCAAGGCCATCTTTTTACCATCATTTACCCTTAAAAAAAAAATCTTTCAGGAAATCTCACAGATAAGAAAATTTTTGGAAATGTGTTGTTTTCTCCAAATTCCTTTTTAGAATTCTCCTCATTTGGAAAATACTGCTGTACAGGTGATTTGTTCCTGGTATAGGAATTCCCAACCTGTATATTTTGCCATTGATGTTTCTGTTAAGGGGATGTGAGGAGAGTCCTCCATTGCTAAAGATTGAGGAGGAAAATAAGACTGTAAATGTGTCATGAACTGGGAAGAAATGTATGAATGCCACAGAGCTGGAGACTTATGTTCAAAGCATAAGGTTTCTGGCAGAAAAAATAAGGAGGCTGGGCATGGTGGTTCACACCTGTAATCCCAGCAATTTGGGAGGCCCAGGGAGGCGGATCATGAGGCCAGGAGATCGAGACCATCCTGGCCAACATGGTGAAACCCCGGCAACAAAGTGAGACTCTGTCTCAAAAAAATAAAAAAAGGAGCATGTAGAAATGATGCTGGGGAAGTAAATAGGTTTCATCTCACAAACACATACAATCCATGAATTGTGATGCCTGGCACTCAGGTTGGGAAGGCTTTAAGGCCATATTGTGGCTCAACTGTAAAGTCCTCAAGATCAACTGGTAATTTCTGCCATGGACACAGGAAGGGACAATGGGGATGACACATGTAGTATAGTACTCGTGGGAAAAAAAGCAAGAATTAAGAATGATGAAAGTTTACCTTTAGGGTGAAAGATGCAGTGCTGATTCCTTTTATTTATTTTTATTTTCTATTTTTTTGAGACGGGGTCTCACTCTGTTGCCCAGGCTGGAGTGCAATGGCACAATCTTGGCTCACTGCAGCTTCTGCCTCCCAGGTTCAAGCCATTCTCCTGCCTCAGCCTGCCAAGTAGCTGGGATTACAGGTGTGCACCACCACACCCGGCTAATTTTTGTATTTTTACTAGAGACAAGGTTTTACCATGTTAGCCAGGCTAGTCTCAAACTCCTGACCTCAGGTAATCTGCTTGCCTCTGCCTCACAAAGTGCTGGGATTACAGGCGTGAGCCACCATGCCCAGCCTGATTCCTTTTAAATTTTGTTCCAAAAAGAACAAATAAATGATACTCTGCTATAATAACTCAACAATTCAGAACTGTAATTGACAGTAATCAAATGACTTCTCTGTGCTCCACATCTAGCATAATGGTGTAATGCTGAGATTTGAGTTCTTGAAACAGCCACGTGCAACTTGAGAATGCTGATCTGCGTTCATATTTAATTTCGGTTCTCTTAATAAAGAGGTATTCAGAAGTTCTCATTAACTGGCTGATGAAAATGTTCATGGTTCTCTGTGCCAATTTAAGCAATAAATATTTATTTTTACTGAGTCCAAATTGCAAAAGAAAGGAAAGGATAGGAATGGAACCCCAGAGAGGAGGAGCTGATGGTCTGGAATAGGTACAGAAGTTCCCTACTTAAAAAAGATTTTCCATATGCTCTACACCAGTTAGATTAATCCAGTTGAAAATTCAAAAGCCCTCAGAGAGAGTCAAACCTCATTCCAGGCAGTTTGCTGATGTCAGCACTCAGAGAAGAGGAATTTTGATTGGGCAAAGAAGTAAGAAAGACTTCAACCTCACTTGGCCACCTTTGCCGCCACTGTTCTCCATTCCTCTCCATTCCCCTACATGCTAAGCATGCCTTGCTTCCTTGACACTTGATGCTCTCACAAGCTTCCACATTGTGACACGTGCGTTTCCCTCTGCCTAGAACCATCTTCTCTACTAACAATTTCTATTCGCTTAACTTCTCAGCAAAGTCTTGCCTGATTCCCCCCAAATATGAAGGACAGTTAAGAAGGAGAATACTTACTTTGTTTTCCCCTGAAGTTTTTTCACACTGTTTCCCAGGTCCTTTTGGAATAACACAAGCAGCTTATGTGCAAGGAACACTTAGCACTCCCTTGAGGGCGCAAGCCACTCAAGAGCAAGAGCATATCCTCATCCTCATTTCCTCACGATGCTTGGTGTGGTTTAGGGCAATAATCATAGACTCTCTTGCTGTGTGGGCACTCTAAAATATATTCTCAGCAAATGCAAACAGCCAGCTATGGTTTGGTTTTTCTGCAATATAAGAATTTACAAGGGGCAAAAGAGTGACAGATTTAACTGTATGGGGAAAAAACTTTGAGAAATAAAATAGCATAGATTTAAAAGGAAAGCCTTTTTTTTTTTTTTTTTTTTTTTTTTTTTTTTTTTTTTTTGAGACGGAGCCTTGCTCTGTTGCCCAGGCTGGAGTATGGTGGCCCGATCTCGGCTCACTGCAAGCTCCGCCTCCCGGGTTCATGCCATTCTCCTGCCTCAGCCTCCCGAGTAGCTGGGACTACAGGTGCCTGCCACCACACCCGGCTAATTTTTTGTATTTTTAGTAGAGACAGGGTTTCACCTGTTAGCCAGGATGATCTCGATCTCTTGACCTCGTGATCCGCCTGCCTCAGCTTCCAAAGTGCTGGCCTCCCAAAGTGCCGGCCTCTCAAAGTGCCACCGGCACACGCCCGGCCTAAGGAAAGCCATTTTTAAGTATTTATGATAGACTCAATTTTAAAAATAAAGACTGGTCGCAGGCAGTTTACTGAGTAGATACGCAGGCAATTTACTGAGTAAATAGAAGTTTCAAGACAAGTATATAAGACAATTCAGGCTACGTGATATAGTTATTAAAATTAGGATTACATAGACTAATAGAATGTTATATATATATAATTTTTTTATTTTTGAGACGAAGTCTTGCTCTATCACCAGGCAGGAGTGCAGTGGCGCGATCTCAGCTCATTGCAACCTCCATCTCCCAGGTTCAAGCAATTCTCCTACCTCAGCCTCCCGAGTAGCTGGAAGTACAGGTGTGTGGCACGATGCCCGGCTAATTTTTGTATTTTTTATAGAGACAGGGTTTCACCATGTTGGTCAGGATGGTCTCAAACTCCCGACCTCAAGTGATCTGCCCACCTCCGCCTCCCAAATTGCTGGGATTACAGGCGTGAGCCACTGTGCCTGGCGTGATAGAATATTTTTATGAAGTGATGTTAAGGGAAATAATACATCAATTATGGCACCATAGATAGAATTTATGCATGAACAAAGGGCATATTATAAAAGTAAGTCCCCCAAAATAAAAATAAAAACAGAGGTGTGTTTTTATTTAGAAGAATGAGATCATGGGTTATTAACTGCTTCTTTATTACTGTTGTTGGTATAATAAATAAAATTGGGGAGGAGGAACACAGTGAAAAATCTCACTAAACGAATTAACAGTTAATCATATCTGTGGTGTGGGCTCTTAGTTGAACCTTGTAAAAAAGGTATTTCTTTCCACTGGGGGTCAACTTACTCTTAATTTTTTGAATTTTAAATTCTTACATATTTTTTAAAGAGATAAAAATTCTCTGAAAAAGGATTTTCACTTCCAGCAAGGGGAGACCTGCTTAAAACTAGATAATAGTAAGGAAAATACAACCTGTTTGAAGTTGTGCAAGAGCCATGCAGGCAGTGAACCTGAGGGGCCAAGATCCCGGAGAGGAGGGAGACACAGACTAGCAAGCCTGGTGGAGGCACCACTCTTGCTCTTGTCAACTCTAAGGCAACAGCTGAGAGACTGGGCACTCGGCACTGCACAGAAAGCTGTGAAGGAACAACTGAGAAGCTGGGTAGAGCTTACTGCAGTCTCATACAGCTGGGAGGAGTAAATATTCGGGACCACCAGGAAGAAATGGCCATGCATGGTAAACACTCAGGATTTCATTTGAAGCACCTGAAGAACTGAGACTCTAGGAATAAAGGAGACTTGGAAGTAGGCTAGTACTCACCAAGACAAGAGCCCAGCCTTGCCTCATGGTAAAAGATACTAGCACGCTTCTTGTAGTAGTAACTGATAGAATAAGCAGACAAAACATGAGTAACAATATGGGAAGATTTTAACAAACAATCTGATTACACACACACTTTATCTAATAAATGCAGAATGCACATTCTTTTTTAAATTTTCATTTTAGATTCAGGGGGCACATGTGCAGGTGTCTTACAAGGGTATATACTTATGCTGTACTGATCTCATCACCCATATAGTGAACATAGTACCTGATAGAAAGTTCTTCAGCCTTTGCCCCACTTCCCTACCTCCCCTCTTTTGGAGTCTCCAGTGTCTGTTGTTCCCATCTTTATGTTCATGTGTACCCAATGTTTAGCTCCCACTTATAAGTGAGAGCATATGATATTTGGTCCTCTGTTTCTATGTTAATTTGCTTAGGATAATGACCTCTAGCTGCATCCATGCTGCTGCAAAGCACATAATCTCATTCTTTTGTATGGCTGCTTAGTATTCCATGGTGTATATCTACCACATTCTCTTTATCCAATCCACTGTTGATGAGCACCTAGGTTGATTTCATGTCTTTGCTATTGTCTATAGCAAATCCACATTCTTTTCAAGTGTACATGGGAATGCTTTTCCAAAATTGACCATATAATGTTGGTTCAAAAAAAAAATTTATTTTTGAGACAGAGTCTCGCTCTGTTGCCCAGGCTGGAGTGCAGTGGTGCAATATTGGCTCACTGCAGCCTCTGCCTCCTGAGTTCCAGTGATTCTCATGCCTCAGCCTCCCAAGTAGCTGTGATTACAGGCATGCATCACCATGCCTGGCTAATTTTTGTATTTTTAGTAGAGACAGAGTTTCACCATGTTGGCCAGGCTGGTCTCAAACTCCTGACATCAAGTGATCTGACCGCCAAGGCCTCCCAAAGTACTGGGATTACAGGCGTGAGCCACCGCACCCGGTAGGCTCAAAAATTAAGTCTCAACAAATTCCAGCATTTTGGGGTGTGTTTTTTGTTTTTGTTTTTGTTTTTGTTTTTTTGTTTTGAGATAGGGTCTTACTCTGTCACCCAGGCTGGAGTGCAGTGGTACAGTCATGGCTCACTGCAGCCTCAACCTCCCAGGTTCAAGCAACCTTCCCACCTCAGCCTCCTGAGTAGTTGGGACTACAAGTGCGTGCCACTACACCCAGCTAATTTGTTTTTATTTTTTGTAGAGACGGGGGTCTCCCTATGTTGCCTAGGTTGGTCTTGAACTCCTGGGCTCAAGTGATCCTCCCACTTCGGCCTCCCAAAGTGCTGGGATTACAGGCATAAGCCACCACACCCTACCCAGAGTGTTGAGATTATACAGGACATGTTCTAAGATCACAGTAAAAATTACCTATAGATTAGTATCAAAAACATAACTTTTTAAAACTCCCAAATGTTTGGACATTAAGTAATATACATCTAAATAACCTACAGGTCAAAGAAGAACCACAGTGGAAACTGTAAAATAATTTGAATTAAATGATAATAAGTATATGACATCACAATGTGTGGGATGCAGCTAAAGCTAGGCTTAGAAGGAAATTTATGATTTTAAATGCATATATTAGAAAAACAGAAGTCTGGCCAGGCGCGGTGGCTCACGCCTGTAATCCCAGCACTTTGGGAGGCCGAGACAGGTGGATCACGAGGTCAGGAGATTGAGACCATCCTGGATAACATGGTGAAACCCCATCTCTACTAAAAATATAAAAAAATTAGCCGGGCATAGTGGTGGGCACCTGTAGTCGGGAGGCTGAGGCAAGAGAATGGTGTGAACTCAGGAGGCGGAGCTTGCAGTGAGCTGAGATCACACCACTGCACTCCAGCCTGGGCGACAGAGCAAGACTCCGTCTCAAAAAAAAAGAAAAAAAAAAAGTAGAAGGAAGGAAGTGATGAAAATAAGAGCAAAAATTAATGAAGTAAAGAAACAAAGAACAGTTGAGAGATCAAAGAATCAAAAGTTAAGTCTATACAAAGAACAATAAAATTGATAAATCTGTGGCAAGATTAATCAAGAAGAAGGCACAAATAAATCAATATCTGGAATGAAAAAGGATACATCACTATAGTTGTCATAGGCATGAAAATTCTCAACAAGGTAATCTCTCAATCTAATGATATAAAATAATGATGCTAAATTTGAAAACATTTTAAATAGAAATAAAAACGGTAGAATTACTTGAAGACCTCAACAGCTTTTTTTTCTATCTTAAGATGGGAGCCTAGATATATAAATTTTACTTCATTAACCCTGGCTTAATAAGGTACTCAATATACTTCTCATGGCATATAATATCTGGTAAACTAGGGACATCAGCAGTTAGACTTCAGAAAAGATTTAACATTCCCAAAATTATACAGTATAGAAGCCCAAAAAGCTCGAGAGCCTCTTATCTGGACCTCACCTTTAAGGTTGACTATACCTCAAAATATTCGAGAAAAGACTGTAGCACCCCAAATTTCCTCAATCACCAATTAAACTGTCAGTGTAGCCTTGTAATTTTTTGTACATATTTCTGGTGATAGCTTAAATAGCATTAAATCTTTGCTGTGCTATGTGACTAATTTTGAACACCTCTGCAATTAAAACACAAAATGGAGCAGGATGTTTTGATTTATAACCATTGTAAGAGTACTTGTCACTGATTATTGTTCAAATTTTTGTTAACCACCTCATGACATTAGGAATTACAGTTTACAATCACACTGTTCATCAAAATGTTTAACTTGATGGGACAGTAAAGCCCTTTAGATCAGTAACCATCCCTTGAATATTTTAAAAACTCACCTTTTGAGTACAAAAAGCTAAATCAATTCCCTTTTAGCTCTGTGCTTTTCAGCATAGGGGTCCTCTTCTGAATAAAACAATAAATAAACTGAGGTAAAAAATAGCTGAGCAGTATGGTGTGTTCATGCTCGGTGCACTAGAGTAAGAACCTGACAATCAATTTTAGTTCTGATATGTAATTACCGTAGTTCTAAATGTAACTCAGCAAACTTGGGTAGGTCCCTTCCCCTGCTGGGCCTCAGTTTCCTCATCTGAGAGACCTGACAGGAACATTCCAGGTGATCTCTGAGGGAGGGGTCTACCTAAGCTCAACATCAGGGGCACATCCCCCCTTAGTGGAGAAAGCAGTGGAGACTCACTCCCTAAGGCTGGCCCCCAGGAAAATGGGCTCCCATAGGTATCTTGCTAGCCCTAGAGTTAGGTGGGCAGACTGGGGCATGTGAAAACAAAGGGCCCTCTTCCTTGTATTTAAATACCCTGATGTGCAGCAGTGTCATCAGGTGACTCTAAAGCCTCCTCACCCCTACTCCATTTATCTACTTCAGATTATGAGGAATCAGCTTGTCCCATTGTCTTAGGGGCCCTTATATTAGGGTTCTCCAGAGAAATGGGACATATAGAATGTGTAGAGAGTCTGAGAGATTTATTTATTTATTTTTATTTTATTTATTTATTTTTTTGGGGGGGGGGACGGAGTTTCACTCTTGTTGCCCAGGCTGAAGTGCAGTGGCACAATCTTGGCTCACTGCAACCCCTGCCTCCCAGGCTCAAGTGATTCTCGTGCCTCAGCCTCCCGAGTAGCTGGGATGACAAGCATGCACCACCACCCCGGCTAATTTTTGTATTTTTAGTAGAGACGGGGTTTCGCCTTGTTGGCCAGGCTGGTCTTGAACTCCTGACCTCAGGTGATCTGCCCGGCTCGGCCTCCCAAAGTGCTGGGATTACAGGCATGAGCCACTGTGCCCGGCTGAGAGATTTATTTTAAGGAAAAATAAATCTCATGGATTATGGAAGATGGCAAGTCCAAAATCTGCAGGATGGACCAGCAGGCTAGAGACTGAGGGAGGAGCTGATGTTGGAGTTCAAGTCAGAAGTCCATCTGCTGACAGAATTCCCTCTTGCTTGTGGGAGGTCAGTCTTTGTTCTGCTGAGCCTTCAACTGATTGGATGAGGCCCACCCATATTATGGAGGGTAGCCTGCTTTACTCAAAGTCCATTAATTTAAATGTTAATCTCACCCCACAAAAAAATACCCTCACAGAAACATCCACAATAATGTTTGACCAAATACCTGGGCACCATGGCCCAACCAAATTGACATAAAACTAACCATCACAAGTCTACCTTTTGTCAACTTGGCACCCATACACATTTCCTTAAACTATACTTAATCTCCAGATAAAGAGGGTAAAAAGTCATACTTCTACCTAACATGATACAACTATCCTGCATACAATCAAAGAGGCACCAACCCTTTCCCCAGAAGAGGATGCAGACTCCTCGAGTGATGTTTACTCTTCTCTTTGATATCCTATAACTTAAATACTATGATGGAAAGCTAACAATACTTAAATTCTATGATATAAAGTCAATACATCTTATGTTACATGATCAAAGAATAAGAGGAAGAAAGATATTTGTACACACACATAAACATATAACAAAATAAGAAGGAAATGCTTATAACAATTACAGTCCTCCGTTCTGTAACTGACCACATGGTCACAGCTGGTATTTATAACAACCTTCTTCCACTACTCATTCCATATTCCCTTTACCCTCAGCAAGCACCTCAGCTGGTCGTGGTTCTTTACCTGGTGATGGTGACTGAAACTTTCATTCCTCAAAGGTCTGAGCCATGAGTAGTCCTGCCTGGATTGGGTTTTTGTACGAATGTTCCTGGCTTTATAATGGGGCTCAATTTACAATGGGCTTATCTGCATATAGTCCCGTGGTAAGTTTAGGAAAGCACTGAATACCTATTGCTTTGCATGGTAAAGTCAAAAAGTCATAAGTCGAACCATCATAAGTCAGAGACTAACTGTAATTTTCTATTGACTTTAATCACAGAGCATGCTAATACTAAGACATGCTGTAAGGAATCTTACATATTCCAGACATACTCTTCCTTACCTCCATTATGGAGTAGCAGTCCAATCTCTCCTTTGTAGTCAGGATCAATCACCTCCACAAGCACAGTAACTTTCTTTGCCTGTTAATTTAGAGGTCTGAGAAGCCCAAAGTGGCCAGGTGGCAGTCTTAACTTCTTGTTGAATGGGATAATTGCTGTCTCCTGGTGGAAGCATTCCTCCACTTAGACCTAAGACATTTAGGCTAGCAGAGCAAAAGGTCACAGGGACAAAGGAAAAATTTTGTTAGTGGGTCACTAGGGGTGATAGTAACCTCTTGATTTCTGGACCTGTGATTCATGGCTATGGGAGAAAGAGTACTAATATTGGACACTGATTCTCAGCATATACAGCTTCCTGGAGAACCTTGCCCCAGTCCAACAAGGTAATGTCACCTACCTGGCACTGTGACTGAGTCTTCTAAAGGCCATTCCACCATCCTATCAATCCAGCTGCTTCAGGATGGTGGGGAACATGGTAAAACCAGTGAATTCCACAAGCATGGGGCTCATTACCACACTTCATTCAAGTGAAGCAAGTTCCTCAATCTCACAGCTGTGCTGTGTGTAATACTGTGATGTTGGATAAAGTATCCTATAAGTTCACAGATGGTATTTTGGCAGAAGTATTGCATGCAATGGAAGGCAAATCCATATTCAGAGTAAGAGTCTATTCCATTAAGGATGAAATGTTGGCCTTTCCATGATGGAAGGGGTCCAGTGTAATCAACCAGCTGCCAGGTAGGCAGCTGGTCACCCCAGAGAATGGTGCCATATCAAGGAGTCAGTGTTGGTTTATTCTGCTGGCAGATTGGGCACTCAGTGGTGGCTCTAGGCAGGTTGGCCTTGCTGAATGAAAGTCGTCGTTGCTGAGCCCATGCATAACCTTCATCCCTATCACCATGGCCACTTCATTCAGGAACCACTGGGCAATGACAGAAGGGGCTAAGGAAAGAGGCTGACTGATAGCCACAGACAAGTCATCTTAGCCACTTGATGATCAAAATCCTCTGCTGAGGCCACCCTTCGATAGGCATTAATATAGAATACAAATATCTTCACATTTTTTGCTCATTCATAGAGGTCTGTCCACATACCTCTTCCCCAAATTTTCTTGTCATCAGTTTTCTAATCATGTTCCTTCCAAGTTCCTGACTATCGAGCCAAACCATGGCCACAGCCATGAATCAGTATAGAATCACATGTCCGACCATTCCTCCTTTCAACCACAGTGAACAACCAGGTACATCACTCAAAGTTATGCCCACTTGGAGGACTTCCCTCCACCACTGTCCTTCAGGGATGATCCAGAAAGGGACAGGCACACAAGGCCCACCCTATTCCAGCCCCTGATTACTTCTCCAGCATCACCTGTTATCACTGCCCCTGAAATTCCCTGCTGGAGTCCCCAGAGACACTTCCTCTTTCCAGACTTTGCCATGTTCTTTAGTAACTCTAGGCCTTCATCTATTCATTTATTCATTAATTCATTTGTTCATGTGTTCAGTTAGTATGCATCATTGGTGGGAGGACAACTTGGTCTTCACAGAAAAAAATGTGTTAAATAAGTCAGTACATCAACAAACAATGACTGGTGAAATAGGGAATGCGCTGGGACCGGGGAACAAATACCTAATCTATGGGGTCAAAAAAGACCTCCCAGAAGAGGAAACATTTAAACTGAGATCTGAAGAATACGTAGGCATCAGCCAGGTGAAAAGAATCAGAAGGATGTTTTGCCAGAGGAGGCAGGATGTATGAAATCCTGGGAGTCAGAGCCACTGTGATGAAGCTCCAAAAACAAAAATGAGTGCAGCAAAACTTGAGTAGAAAATGCCAGGGAAGAACAGTAACAACCGTGGCTTAAGAGGTGGGTGGGGCCAGGCCCTACAGCCTTGTAACCCATCCTGAGCAGTCTCAGAAGCTATTGAAGAGCATTCAGTGGAGGGGATTGATATAGATTTGCATTTTAGAAAGATCTTTCAGACGTGTAGCAGGGAATATGCATTGGAGGAGGAGAAGGAAGAGGAGGACAAACTATGGAATAGGGAGACATGAGACATCTGGAAGCTGATATAATATTCTAGCCAATCCAGGCGCGGTGGCTCACGCCTGTAATCCCAGCACTTTGGGAGGCCTAGGCGGGCGGATCACGAGGTCAGGAGTTAGAGAGCAGCCTCGCCAACATGGCGAAACCCAGTCTCTACTAAAAATACAAAAATTAGCTTGGTGCGGTGGCACACGCCTGAAATCCCAGCTACTCCGGAGGCTGAAGCAGTAGAATCGCTTGAACCCGGGAGGCGTAGGTTGCAGTGAGCCGAGACCGCGCCATTGCACTCCAACCTGGGCAACAAAGCGAGACTCCGTCTAAAAAAAAAAATTCTAGCCAAGAGATAATAGAAGCCTGGGAGATATGGATAAATTTTAGAGATATTTAGTAGGAGACATACAAAAACTCGATGAATGATTAGATGTGGAGGCTTGGGGTCATGCAGGAATATTTCTAGGTTTCTGGTTTAGGCAACTGGCTGAAGAGTGAGTCTCTTGCTACTGAGGTGTTTGCTGTTTATTCCCAGAGCCTGGGAAATATTTATTAAATGAATCAATGAACGAATGGAAGAATACGGACAATCATTTTCAAAGGAGAGGAAATGATGTGTTCAGTTTTGGACGTGGTAGGCTTAAGGAATCTGTGGGATATCTGAGTGGAGAAATATCCATGAGACCGTTGTATCTGCAGGTCTGAGCTCTGGAGAGAAGCTTTGGGCACAGCCTTTGCAGTGCTATGCCCTGTGTAGAGTGGGAATAACAGTCCCTCCTCTGCTTCAGATCCCCATGAGAATCAAATGAGGGAAGACGACAGTGGTGCTCTGAAAATAGCCATATGTTGGAGGAAAGGTTTAGGCTTAGAACCAGCCAAACCTGATTTTAATCTGCACTTATCTCTTTATGAGCTGTGCATCCTTGGGCAAGTCAATTAACATCTCTGAGCCTTGGGTTTTCATCCACAAAATGGAGTAGATATCACCTCTCTCCTAAGGTTACCATGAAGCTTAGGTTAACTAAGCTTCCTTCGAATCTAGTGCTATGTAAAGGCTCAAAATGGTGTCACCACCATTACTGTTTTGCAATGTGTAGTAATGTCCTTAGTCCTGTCCTTTTTAATTATTTTGAGGAGTTGTAACTTTGAATCTATCTATCCTCCACCCACTCAAAATGTCACATGCACCTCTGTTTCAACAATCTTCTTACCTTTCTTCCTCATATCATAGCTCTACACAGTGTCTTCTTCCATAGGCCAACTAGACCAAAAATGGTAACATGTATGTGAGCTTCATATTGACATCCTCCATGAGGAAGAGATTCAAAGCTTAGGTTCTAAGGTCAAAAGAACTTGCTTCAAACACCCAACTTCACCACTTGTAGGTGGGTGACCTTGGACACATCATCTAAACTCTCTAAAACTCAGTTTCCTTGTCTGTAAAATGCAAATAATAACAGTGCTTACCTCACAGCTCATAGGAAGAAACAGAGAAGGCTAAGAAAATGTGGCACATATACACCATGGAATACTATGCAGCCATAAAAAAGGATGAGTTCATGTCCTTTGTAGGGACATGGATGAAGCTGGAAACCATCATTCTCAGGAAACTATCACAAGGACAGAAAACCAAACACCACATGTTCTCACTCATAGGTGGGAACTGAACAATGAGAACACTTGGACACAGGAAGGGGACCATCACACACCAGGGTCTGTCGTGGGGTGGGGGGAGGGGGGAGGGATAGCATTAGGAGATAATACCTAATGTAAATGACGAGTTAATGGGTGCAGCACACCAACATGGCACATGGATACATATGTAACAAACCTGCAGGTTGTGCACATGTACCCTAGAACTTAAAGTATAATAATAATAATAATAAAAGAAAAGAAAGTGGCTCACCAAGGAGTCTCAACTCATTGAAGGTGAATATTGTTTTATCTGTATTAGTCTGTTCTCACACTGCTAATAAAGACATACCTGAGACTAGGTAATTTATAAAGGAAAGAGGTTTAATTGACTCACAGTTCCACATGGCTGGGGAGGCCTCACAATCATGATGGAAGGCAGAGGAGCAAAGTCACGTCTTGAATGGCAGCAGGCAAGCAAGAGAGAGTATGTGCAGGGGAACTCCCCTTTATAAAGCCATCAGATCTCATGAGGCTTATACAGTATCACAGGAATAGCAGGGAAAGACCCACCCTCATGATTCAATTACCTCCCACCAAGTCCCTCCCATGACACGTGAGAATTATGGGAGCTACAGTTCGATATTTGGGTGGGGACACAGCCAAAGCACATATCAGTATCTAAAACCTGCCACTGATTATGTTCCATCAAACCCCTTTCCTGTTAGATAGTAGCACCCTTAATGATATTTCATTCTGGTTCTATAACTTCTTGGCCATTTTTTGTTTTCTCATTTTTATTGTTGTTGTTGTTGTTTTAAGTAGCCTTATTTCAATCCTTTGGATTAATTCTTATTCAATGAAAACGTACAGATTCTGAAAGCTGGCTGCCTGGACTGGAATCCTTGCTCTGCCACTTACTAGCTGAGAGCTTTGGGCATGTTACTTAACCTCTGTGCCCCAGTTTCCTCATCCATAAAATGGGGATAATGATAGTAGATACCTCATAGGAACACTGCCAGGGTTAAAGGGTCAATATGATTAAGGTGCTTAGAAGAATGCCAGGCACAGGAAGTAAGTGCTATGAAAGTTTTGCTATTAGTATACCAAACTCAAAGTCCTCGTCCTCTTCCCCAGGCAAGATTAGACCTGGGCTTTGTCTACTTATAGTTCTGGTGTTCGCTTCCATCATCCTTTCTTCTCCCTCAATATTACCAGAATAAGGCCAGTATTGGGGCCTGGAGGAAGAAGTAAAAGACAGTTGTTGTCCCATTTGACCCAGCAAGGAGACATTCTCTCCGACCCAGCAAGGAGACATTCTCTCCTATCCAGCAGTAATGCACTATGCATGGGCTTGATGCTGACCAGTGGTGCTTCCAATAGGCCCTCTAAGGAGAGCCCCCTCCTGTGTATCTCCCATAGCCATTGATGGTCCTTTTAGACTCTTGGCTTGTATCTTCCCGCCCCAGCTCACGGCATCCTGCTACATGCCTCAGATGTTCCACTCAGTAGTGGTCACAGGCTCCCAAACTCACCTACCCTTGGTAGCAAACTATTATGCCCATTGGCATATGTAGAATCAATTTTATGTCCCAGCTGGGACTGAAACTCCAGGCCAGGGGACAGGAAGATGGGTCTTGCCCTCTGTCTACCCACAGCCCTCACCAAAAAATAGCTCACCCCAGGGCTGTTCACCCATACCCTGGACCCTACTGCATCAGACTGAATTAAAGGCTCACTGGTTCCTAAACAAGCCAGGAGTGTACAGAACTCATATCCTGCCAACTCGACAAGGGTTTCCCAGACGGCTGCCTCCCTTGGCTTAAAAAAGGGAAGCAGCTCCCTTGGCTCCCCCAATAGGCCAGATCTGTCTTCCTCCAGGCCTTTCCTTACAGCCAGCATTACGGGGTTGGGGCTGGTGAAGTGATGCCTACACATTCTAAAAAAGTGGTTCCCCCAGTAGCCCCATGCCACAGTTCCCTGACGCTAGAAAGTAGGGTCCTCAGCCGGGTGCGGTTGCTCATGCCTGTAATCCCAGCACTTTGGGAGGCCGAGGCGGGTGGATCACCTGAGGTCAGGAGTTCCAGACCAGCCTGGCCAACATGGTGAAACCCCATCTCTACTAATAATACAAAAATTAGCCAGGTGTGGTGGCGCATGCCTGTAATCCCAGCTACTCGGGAGGCTGGGACAGGAGAATTGCTTGAACCCAGAAGGCGGAGGTTGCAGTGAGCCGAGATTGAGCCATTGCACTCCAGCCTGCGCAATAAGAGCAAAACTCCATCTCAAAAGAAAGAAAGAAAGAAAAATAAGAAAGAAAGAAAGAAAAGAAAGAATGAAAGAAAGAAAGAAAGAAAAAAAGAAAGAAAGAAAGAAAGAAAAAGAAAGAAAGAAAGGGTCCTTGATCCCTTTCTTAGCTGCAGGCTTTGGTTACCAATTTAGGTACATGACATAGGACACCATCCTGTGACATATAATTTTTTTTAAAAAAGAATTTGCACATTGTTTTCAAAGCATATTTGAATGAGTAAATGAATGAAAACCAGTCA
Source organism: Homo sapiens (assembly GCF_000001405.40). NCBI lineage: Eukaryota > Metazoa > Chordata > Mammalia > Primates > Hominidae > Homo > Homo sapiens. Next base: position 83,333,086 of record NC_000015.10, on the reverse strand, counting down.
TATTATAAACCCAGATTATAAATATAATAATAAAGTCATAAACTGACAAAAATAATAAACTATTATAAATATGATCATTGTATAAATAATATTTAAAGGCCAGGCATGGTGGCTCACGCTGGTAATCCCAGCACTTTGGGAGGCCAAAGTGGGCAGATCACAAGGTCAAGAGATGGAGACCATCCTGGCCAATATGGTGAAACCCTGTCTCTACTAAAAATACAAAAATTACCTGGGCGTGGTGGCATGCACCTGTAGTCCCAGCTACTCGGAGGCTGAGGCAGGAGAATCGCTTGAATCCGGGAGGCAGAGGTTGCAATGAGCTGAGATCGTGCCACTGAACTCCAGCCTGGCGACAGAGTGAGACTCCATCTCAAAAAAAAAAAAAAAAAAAGAACTTATCCATGTAGCCAAATACCACCTGTTCCCAAAAAACCTTTTTATTGAAATAAAAAATAAATTAAAGAAAAAAAGATATCAGAGTCTCTGCATAGCTAGTTTTTAAACATTTTTGAGATCTTCCTATGATCAGATAATTGATGAATTTATAAATGTCACATGACTGAAAAGAATATAAAATCTCTGATAAAGTCAAAATGTTTCTTTTATATAATTATTAGTCCAAGTTTTTTATTTGTATTAATTTAAGTCCTCTTCAGTGCTGTCCAATAAAGCCACATGTTATTTTAAATTTTCTAGTAGCTACTTTAAGAAATGTAAAAATAAACTGGTAAGATTACTTTTAATAGATTTAACTCATATCTAAAGTATGATATTTTCAACATGTAATCAGTATTTTAAAATATTAATGAGATATTTTACTTTATTTTTTCATACCAAGTCTTCGAAATCCAATGTATGTTTTACAACTTAGAGCACATTTCAATTCGGACTAGCCATATCTGAATGGTCGATAACCTAGTGACTATGTGGCTAGTGACTACTATATCGGACAGTGCACCTCTAAATCCTTGGTTGTTTTTTTTCTACTTGTGCTTTCTTTATATATTTTGAAGCTGTGTACAAAGGTTCATGGATGGACAAGAACAAAACAAAAAAATTCTTCTTTGACCATTAATTCTTTAGGCTTTGAATTCATTTTCATCTCATATTAATATTGGCACAACTGTTTCTTGGTGCTAGCACTTCCCGAGTTAATATATACTTTTTCTTTTCTTTTTTTCTTTCTTTTTTTTTTTTTTTTTAAGATGGAATCTTACTCTGTCGCCCAGGCTGGAGTGCAGTGGTGTGATCTGGGCTCACTACAACCTCCACCTCCCAGGGTCAAGCGATTCTCCTGCCTCAGCCTCCCGAGTAGCTGGGATTACAGGCACCCCACCACAACGCCCAGCTAATTTTTGTACTTTTAGTAGAGACAGGGTTTCACCATGTTGGCCAGGCTGTTGTCGAACTCCTGACCTCAGCTGATCCACCTGCCAAAGTGCTGGGATTACAGGCATGAGGCACCACACACAGCCAATATATACATTTCCCACTCCTTTATTCTGCAACTGTCACTTTTTTAAAATGTGTGTCCCTTGTAAACAACATACAACTGCATTTTGTTTTGTTACCCAGAGAGTTGCTATCTTTTAATGGAAATATTAACCAAATTATATTGATTCTAAATAGTGGTATATTTGGACTTGTTTTGTTCATACACTTGTACTTTTTGTTTACTGTGCTTTCTTATTATTTCTTTTCTTTTTTTCCATTCCTTACTTTTGTTGGATAAATCAAGGGTTTAGGTGTTCTGATTTTTTTTTTTCTCTTTTGGCAGTTTAACAATGACATATCCTATTTCTATTCTTCCAGTAGTTACTGTCACGCATGTCCGTGTGAAGAGAGTCCACCAAACAGGCTTTGTGTGAGCAACAAGGCTGTTTATTTCACCTGGGTGCAGGCGGGCTAAGTCCGAAAAAGGAGTCAGCAAAGGGTGGTGGGATTATCATTAGTTCTTATAGGTTTGGGATAGGCGTACAAAGTACATTCTCAAGGGCAGGAAGAATATTACAAAGTGCCTTCTTAAGGGTGGGGGAGAATATTACAAAGTACCTTCTTAAGGGTGGGGGAGAATATTACAAAGTACCTTCTTAAGGGCTGGGGAGAATATATCGTATCAGCTAGGGTGGGGCAGGAACAAATCACAATGGTGGCATGTCATCAGTTAAGGCTATTTTCACTTCTTTTGTGGATCTTCAGTTGCTTCAGGCCATCTGGATGTATACGGGCAGGTCACAGGGGATATGATGGCTTAGCTTGGGCTCAGAGGCCTGACAGTTACCTTTTTTTCAGCAAAGAAAGCAAAAAGTTTTATGTCCAATTATATGTACTGTCAGTTGATATGATATGTGACTGTCAGTTGATAACTACTTATTTTGTACTCTTTTGTTATTGTTATCTTTAATTTTAACTAATTTTAAGTTACACATATATTTTCTCCCTGTGAAAAAAAATAAAACATTACAGATTTAGTCAAATTCCTCTTTGACTACATCCCCAATACAAGTCCCTTCTCAAGAAGTAATGGCTATATGTAAGTTTAAAATATATTTTATGACTATATATGTACATGTACACATGTATGTATGAGTGTATGTGTGAATGTATGTATATACACACAGTTATGTACATATGTGTGTGTATATCCATCCACCAAATGAAACATTTTCTGTAACTTCATTTCTAGGAATTTATCATGAAGAAATAGTTGAATAAGTTGGCAAATATAGATATAAAAGAACGTTTCATAACCACATTGTAAAATATTTTTATACCCTAAATATTCACTAACAGGGGAATGGTTAAATAAATTGTGGTATATTCAAATATTACATCAAAAATGATATAATATATTCTTAAATCCATTGACATAAAAAGATGACTAGAATATATTCTCAAATTTTAAAAATTCAAGTTACAAACACGCACACTCATGTGCACACCATCAAAAGGATATTCACCAAAATATAGTAATACAGTGATTACTTCTGACAGCTAAGATTGCAAGTGAGTTTTTACTTTCATATTCTTTTTTTTTTTTTGAGACTGAGTCTCTCTCTGTCACCCAAGCTGGAGTGCAGTGGCACGGTCTCAGCTCACTGCAACCTCCACCTCCTGGGTTCAAGCAATTCTCCTGCCTCAGCCTCCCAAGTAGCTGGGATTACAGGCACCCACCACCACACCCAGCTAATTTTTGTATTTTTGGTAGAGAGGGGGTTTCACCATGTTGGCCAGGCTGGTCTCGAACTCCTGACCTCAAGTGATCCGCCCACCTCAGCCTCCTAAAGTGCTGGGATTACAGGTGTGAGCCATCGGCACCTGGCCTGCTTTCTTCTTTAATATTTTATACTGATCAAATTGTCTAAAATGAGCATATATACATGTTATACTTAAAAAATTTTGTAACAAAATGGGAGAAAATTTTTGCAACCTGCTCATCTGACAAAGGGCTAATATCCAGAATCTACAATGAACTCAAACAAATTTACAAGAAAAAAACAAACAACCCCATCAAAAAGTGGGTGAAGGACATGAACAGACACTTCTCAAAAGAAGACATTTATGCAGCCAAAAAACACATGAAAAAATGCTCACCATCACTGGCGATCAGAGAAATGCAAATCAAAACCACAATGAGATACCATCTCACACCAGTTAGAATGGCAATCATTAAAAAGTCAGGAAACAACAGGTGCTGGAGAGGATGTGGAGAAATAGGAACACTTTTACACTGTTGGTGGGACTGTAAACTAGTTCAACCATTGTGGAAGTCAGTGTGGCGATTCCTCAGGGATCTAGAACTAGAAATACCGTTTGACCCAGCCATCCCATTACTGGGTATATACCCAAAGGACTATAAATCATGCTGCTATAAAGACACATGCACACGTATGTTTATTGCGGCATTATTCACAATAGCAAAGACTTGGAACCAACCCAAATGTCCAACAATGATAGACTGGATTAAGAAAATGTGGCACATATACACCATGGAATACTATGCAGCCATAAAAAATGATGAGTTCATGTCCTTTGTAGGGACATGGATGAAACTGGAAATCATCATTCTCAGTAAACTATCACAAGAACAAAAAACCAAACACCGCATATTCTCACTCATAGGTGGGAATTGAACAATGGGAACACATGGACACAGGAAGGGGAACATCACACTCTGGGGACTGTTGTGGGGTGGGGGGAGGGGGAGGGATAGCATTGGGAGATATACCTAATGCTAGATGACGAGTTAGTGGGTGCAGCGCACCAGCATGGCACATGTATACATATGTAACTAACCTGCACTTTGTGCACATGTACCCTAAAACTTAAAGTATAATAATAATAAAAAAAAAAGAAAAAAAAATTTGTAAAAACCTCATTCCCTTCCTTCCAAAAAAATCTTAAATAAAATATAGAAAGAAGAAAAGAAAGAAAGAGAGAGAGAGAGAGAGAGGAAGGAAGGAAGGGAGGGAGGGAGGGAGGGAGGGAGGGAGGGAGGGAAGGAGGGAAACTCCCCAAGGCCACACAGCTGTAAGTGCCACAGCGTGAGTGTAAACCCAGGAAGGCTGGCTTCACAGATGATGCCCTTAATGGCTGCACTACTATTCAGAAGCAGTGATCCAGTAAACATTTAGCTTCCTATGTAGGGCTTTGCCATTTTTATTCCAAATTCAGGGGCAGATTATGAAGCCAAACCCTGGAGGACAGAGACTCTGAGCTCAGCAGCAAACAATGCCCTCAGGCAAAAGAAATAAGGCACAGTTCTCCCTGGATGAACATACTGAAGCAGACATGGCATCATTTCCTCTAAAAACATCTTTTCTGCCCATCTCCTCCTTGTCAGTTCTTCCATCAGGAAAATGGGCACATATTAATACAATGTGCACCCATGGCAATAGATGCAAGAACTAATTAGTGCCTGAAACGTGTGTCAAGATTCTCTGCTAGAGGTGCTATAATAAGGGCAAAGTATTCTCATATAAATTCCAGTTTTGCATCCTGTGGCCTGTTCCTCTCTGGGCAGGAGGTGGTGCCCTGTCTTGTTGAGATCTGATCTCTAAATGCAACCATGTGTTTTCTTTCATCCAAATGACTGTGCTCATCTCGGGAGCAGCCTTTAATTTTCTTCTTGGAACCGACGACCATCCTTACTTACAGCAACAAAAGGTCCCCAGGACGGTGAGGTAAGATTTGAATTAAGATACCTTGGCATATTCCACTCCACAGCAATTAAGAGGCAACAGGTTTTTAGCAGCACCCACTCTCTTCAGAGCAGCTACCTTTTGTCTTAAGAATCCCTGTCTATCATGTTATCAAGTTGTCCTGATTAAGCAGCCCCCAGTGGCTGGCTCTCTGCAAGGTGGTAAACCAAGTAAATGTCACAGATGGGACCTCTTCCTCCAAGGGCCCACCCTTATGGGGTAGCCATGGGATTATCGGCCTGGCTCCACATTGGTGACTTCAAGTACAGCCATGGCCACATGATTCAGAGGGGATGGCTATCCAGTTGGCCCATGATCCAGTTTCTTCCTTACTCTCACCTGCCACTTGGCCACTGTTGTTCATTAGCATCTCTCCCAGGAATAGAGGAGAAAAAGGAAAGGAGAGCCAATATTTGCTTGTCCATCTGGCTCCCCATCAGCAACTCTGGTAAGTGTGTAATCTGATGGAACCATGGTCCAAGGTAGAATTTGGACTCTTTCCCTCACCCTGCCCCTTGTCAGGCATGTGAACTCCTGTTATGGCTTCAAGTCCCAGCCTTCTCTCAGGCCCCCAGGCAGTCAGAAGTTAGTCACTCCCTCCCTGGCTCCTGGAGACCCTCTCCAGGACTTGAGAACACTCATCACATTGTGTCGTAATTATCAGGGCCCTCGTCTGTCTGCCATTGGATGGGAGCTCCGCGAGGTTGGAGCTGCATTCTTTCATCAGCTTAAGTCCCAGAGATTCTGGGCCCAGTGCTTGGCCATGACTGGAGTGTAAGAAATGTATGTTGAATGCACAAATAAACCCAAATGGCCCTTCTTTGCCATTTTCTCAGAAAATCAAGAGTTAATACTCCAAGGGATTTTATTTTTTATTTTTTTTGGCTTGTTTGTCTGTTGCTTTTAAGAAAACAACATCTCAGGATTTCTGGAGACAGGCAGGGTGTTTTAACAAAATGATTCATCTCATTCATTAAGTGAACATTTTTTGACTTTCTGTGAGTACTGGGCACTATCTTTGGTGCCAGGGAAGCAAAACAGACAAAAACCTGCTCTTGGGGTACTAACATACTAGTGGTGATATTTTTTCTCAGGTACTGGCATTCCTCCATAGTTTCCTACCTTATATTTACCTCTCTAGCCCTTTTCCCTGAAGACAACAAACCATCTAACCAGTTTCCACCAAATAAACAAAATAACCAGGGTACAACTATAAAATAAATACATATGTAAAATAGTAGGCTCCCCTTTTGGAGCTTTCAGTGCCCCCCACCAAAATCCATGCTGTTAACTAAGGAGCTTTTTAGGAGACAAGGTGTCAGAGGAAGGCAGCAACCTCAAAGTGCAGGGAAAGCAGACAGTAGGACAGTGAGTGAGACCTTCCCCGAGCTCTGATCACCTCGTTAGACACAATGGCAGCCAAAGATGGTTTGGGTCACCCAAGGAAAGACAGGGTACTGCCCTCATCCCATGCCCTTCAGGGTTCAGGCTTCCAGAGCCTGGACATCTCCATTTGTACTCCCTGGAATGTGGAGACATGGGCCTCCCTCACTGCAGTCCAGATGGAAGCTGATCTCTGAGAGGCCACTCATGGTGAGTGAGTGAGGCCTCCAGCCAGGCGGTGAGGTTGAGCTGAAAGAAGAAAGTTTCCTAAAAGTAAAACCCAGACCTTCGCCGGGCATGGTGGCTCATGCCTGTAATCCCAGCACTTTGGGAGGCCGAGGTGGGCGGATCATCTGAGGTTGGGAGTTCGAGACCACTCTGACCAACATGGAGAAACCCCCGTCTCTACTAAAAATACAAAATTAGCCAGGTGTGGTGGCACATGCCTGTAATCCCAGCTACTCGTGAGGCTGAGGCATGAGAATCGCTTGAACCCAGGAGGCGGAGGTTGCGGTGAGCCGAGATGGCCCCATTGCACTCTAGCCTGGGCAACAAGAGCAAAACTCCATCTCAAAACAAAAACAAAAACAAAAACAAAAACCCAGACCTTCTTGAAGACTACTTTGAGATCTTAAAATGCATATGCATACAGAGAGGGGGAAGAGGGGCTGTGTATATTGTCTAGGGAGGACAACAAAAAGAAGACCTGGCAGTGGAGATGGAGGAAATAGACAAGTTGAGGAAATAGGAATGGGAACTGTGTTCTAATAGTCAGGGTTCTCCAGAGAAACAGAACCAATAGTGTGTTGGGAGTGTGCGGGTACATTAAGAGATTTAAAGAATCGTCTCACGTGATTGTGGGGGCTGGCAAGTCTGAAATCTGTAGGGCAGGCTGGCAGGCTGGCAACTACAGTAAGATTTCTGTGTTAGTGTTGAGGCAGAACTCCTTCATCTCTGGGAAATCTGTCTTTACTCTTAAGGCTTTCAACTGATTGAATGAGGGTACCCAGATTATTGAAGGCAATCTCCTCTACTTAACGTCAACTAATTGTAGATGTGAAGCATATCTACGCTAGTGTTTGACCAAAGAAGTGGGCACCATAGCCTAGCCATGTTGATACATAAAATTTAACCATCACATGTGAAAATTAAGTGAAGTCCTATGGGTATTAACAGCATGAAAAGGAGTCTTGGGATGATGACAGTGAGGAAACAGAAACTTGTAGATAGGGACCCATGGGATGGGGGTGGGGAGCATGAGAAAAGGTTAACTATAAGCTCCTCACTTTGCAGATTAGCTGAAACTCTAAAAGGATTTATTCAGTCCATTGCACCTAGGTGATCAGGGAAGCTCCTCCTAGGCTGGCATCTTGCCTCTAGCTCCAACGTGTCTGAATCCAGCGTGCAAAGCCTGGTTTTGAGTGGGGAGGCAGAACAGGAGACTAAACCACCTTTGGTTCTGCCTGAGTCAGGTCTTTAAAGGGAAGATCATTTAGTTTATCTAAAGAGCTGTGAATTCCCACAGCCTTAGGCAGACTCATATTCCAGTGTAAGCACAAAAACAAATTCTAAAGCCAAGTAAATGACTGGTGATGAGCCACAGGTATGTATTATCATGACCATTGCTTTACCCTGTGAATTTTCTCTGTGAAGGGAGGGGAATCCACCCCAAAAATATGAGGTTTAGACAACTTTTTGGGGACTGTTTTTAGTGCTTGGTACTGAAATGGTGACTGGCAGACAGGTCAGTGCACACAGTGTACTGCTGATGACCTAAAGGAAAGAGATACATTATGCATGACAGTTTCTCTGGTGCTTGCAGCTCTAAGGATCAGCTTTTAAGCAAGCAGAGCTGTGATTTCTATAAAGGAAGATCTCTGGGTAGACAGGAAGGCCATAGTTTTTGATGAGGTGAAGTGATGACTGAAGTAGATTTGACTTTCCCAGCGTCTAGGTAGGAGGAGAACATGTGTGTGTGTCTTTGCCAAAAATGGCAGCCTAACAAGTCTATCGATGGTGTCCTCATGCAGTATCAGTGAATTCTGCAGAGGCTGGGAGGTCTGCAGATGAAAGCACTGTGGAGTAGAGCCCTCCATGGCCTGGTTTCTGAGCAATTGGTGTGAACAAATGCTAAGAAATGTTTCCACATCTGCCCAACCATATTTGCCCATGAAAACTACGTACCATGACTTCTGCCTCAGTACAATATTTGCTGCTATTGGCCAACCAAGGGGTTGTGGGTATGTATAGGCTGCCCTGGGATGTCTCTGTCCTTGTCTCTTCATCCATGTGTCTTTCTCTGAACGACATTATGTGTGGTTGCCTGCTTCCTCTCAAACACACAGAAGTGTGTGTGTGTGCACATGCACTTGTGAGCAAGTAGGCATACACATTTCCTTCTTTGTAATCAGAGCAGGTAGGATTCTTGTAAAGTCTGTCTCAGTCAGTTTAGAACATTGGGACAAATTCTACACTCAGATCTTTCTATAAAGGGGAGGGGCAGGTGGAGGCCTTGGAGGCTTACCAAGGGGCACAGAGGGGTATCCTTGCAGGCAGCATGGGCTCCTGGAAAGCCACACCAGGACACAAAACTCAGTCACTAAACAGTTTTTCCCAAACAGCCTGCCATGCAGTTGCATTTGCGATTATTCAAAATAACACGGAGCAAAAAGGCACTGCACCCATGTTCCCTGGCAGCTCACTGAGGTCTCTTGACACACTGCTGGGTACAGGAAGGGGCGTTTCTGCCACTCCATGTAGTTTAAGCACAGATGTTCCAGGCAGCCTCAGAATCAAGCTGACACATCCCACAGCATGACAACTGTGGCGCGAGGTTCTCAGGAAGGGCTGAGTGTGAGCATTAGGTCACTGAGCTCTGTTACTGTTTAACCAGCCTCAGCCTGCGTCATGGTGACACACATCTGCTGACTGGACGCATCGGTGCATCGTGCTGTAGGCTGACTGGTGGGCCATGCTTGAAAGACTCCTGGCATGTACCCCTTCCCGCATTCTTCACTCTTGACTGAAAGCATATGCTCTACACAATTGGGATAGTGTTAGCATGTGGGTCCGAGGCAGCTTCCTACACATCTGGCTTAGGCTGGTTGAATCGCTTCCCCTGGGAGGGTGGCTTCCAGCTCTGTGACATCTGGCCAGTGGCAGGAAGTGTCTGGATTCATCCCAGAGTGAATTTTATCTCCACATGCTTTTCCAATTTCATCAGGGCCTCCATGCTACATTCCGAATGACATGTCCACATTTGCCATGGACAAGAATGACAGATGGAGAAAAATCATCTTTGACCCTTAAAAGTCAGTCACATTTTATAAGATAAGAGCTTGGGCACAAAAGGTATTATAGGAGAGAACTCCAGAGATGGCTTGAAATATTACATAAGTTATACATGATTTAGCTTTTGGAAATAAAAGCGCCTACCCAAACTGCTGGCATAGCAAAGCAATGAAAACAGCATTTAAAATTTTTATTTTTCTTTTTTTATTGAGGCATAACTTACATAGAGTAAAATGCACAAATCTCAAGTGTGCCCCCTGATGACTTTTTAATTTTTACACATGCACATACCCAAGAAGCCACCACCCAGACCAAGGTTTAGGACACTCCCAGCACTCCAGAGACTCCCTTATTCCCCTCCCTTCACGGTGGACAGCCTACCCGCAAAGGTTCTCACTGTTCTGGTCTCTATCACCATAGAGGCATTTTTATTTTGGGGTCTTACTGGTTTAACAGATATCTCATCATAACACTCTGTAAACTTCCATGCACTTGCATGAAAAGTCAAGTTTCAGAAGAAAAGGTTTTGTAACACTCTATGCTCCAGCATGTGGCGATCTTCTCTTCCTATATCCAATGTTTCACAATTGAAGAAGAACCTATTCCTGGAGGAAAACTTTTTTTGCCTTTAGCTATGAGGGAGAATTCTGGATTTGTTCTTGTTTCTGAAGCCCATCAGTATCTTGCAGCTGTGTTCATGCATTTGTAAATGTATAGCCACATGCCTTTAGGTCTCCCCTCTTTGAAGGACACCCAGGCCCCAGGCCAAGAACCCCAGCTCTCAGCCTTGCTCTGCCTCTTCCCGGGTCTTGCACCCAACCAGGAATGAGGCCCTCGTTGCAGCTTGCTCCTCTCCAGTTAAAAAAAAAAACAAAAACGCTTAGTCAGACCCAAAGCTAGTTGCTGCAGGCCCCATTCGGTCCTCAGGAAATACCAAGAGAAAAGGCTGCAGGAGAGAGGATTAAACCCTTCTAAGTGTTCGGATACCGTATATCTAACTTCAGCAGCTGTTTCATTAGATTCAGTGGGCACAGCTCCCCACTTTGCCTGACCAGCTGCTCTCTCTCAGAAATCCCCATTGTTGCAAGGAACTGACTTGAGGTATACTCATCTTAGCAACATGGACACACCTTTTCTGGAGGATTAGCCTCTTTGCCACTCTTCTTTTATTTTTAGATGTGAAAGCAACCACTGGGAAGGATCTGGGTTGAGTTTTGGGGGGCAGGGGAAGGAGGCCTTACCCACAGGAAGGAGGCAGTGCTGATGGAAGAGACCTGAAGAAGGAATCTCCATGGAACCGGGGCTGCTTCTGCCCAAGTACAGCACTGACGCTCAATGGGACCCTGGATAGGCCACAGTTTCTCCACCCCCAGTTCTCCATCTGTAAAACGCGGTGCTTAAGTGAGACCAGGCTATTGTATAAAAAGACTAAACGCAGAGCTCTTTGGCTTAGAGTAGGGAGTGTGGGTTTTTGTACTTCCACTGTGTGTTTAGCACCTCCAGGAGGACTTAGGCAACATGGGACTCCATAGATAACCAAAAATTCCTACAAATAGGAGGGAGAGGGCATGCTTTGCCATGTGTGAAAAGGGTAGTCTTTTCCTTCTTGGTGGTCACTGTCCACACATGCCAACTGCCAGCAGAATGACTTTCCAGAGCCTTGTAGTATTTCAGGGGCTGGTCTTTTGGTAAGACAAGAACATCCCGGAGAGAGAACATTCAGGGATGCTCCTTGTTGCTGTATCATGGGATCTTTACTCTCAGACCAGGGCCTTGCCAGCATGCCAGTCTACATAACGGGCTCTGGTCACTGAGCAGAGGCTATCTTGTTTAGAACTACTGAGACAGAACTTTGTCAGAATTTTAAAGGCAGCAGAAAGAATTACTCCATTTGGTCTTTTTATCTATCAGGCTGCTCTTATCCAAGCACTTCATATTACTGAGAATTAAATTCATCTTTTAAAATGTGCCCCATGCAGCTTCCAGAATGATTAATCCTATTTATATATATATGTGCTGTAATGCAAATGCTCTACAACATAGTGGGTTCTGATGTTCACATCCACTTTTGCCCCCACTGAGGCTCTCAGCTGTATGTGGAAGGAGAATTCTCTCACATGCTGGTTGCATCTTGTTCTGTCATTGTCTTGAGTTTACATCATCCCCATGTCCTCTTCTGGCCCTATGCCATGCCACATTCCACATGGATAATATGAGAAAGTACTCCTCCTGGTTGTTCACTGCTTTCACATCAATAGCAAGGGGCTCTATCTCTCTATCCATAATTGCTCAGAGTTTACACTCTAAGCACATCTTCATCAACACAATTCATATAGCTCTGGGTAGACCCATACCTAATGGCTACTGTGCACATGCCACGAGTTCTGGTATGCACAATGCAAAATGTCCACTACATGGCTCCATCAGTGCTCTGTCTTTGTGCCATTCACTTCTTGCCCATAAACACTTGCTTCATTCAGCAGTCTACATCTCTGATTACCACTGTGACCATGAGGGAGGTTTTACAGCATCTGTTTTTTTGGTGGAGGGAACTATTTCCAGGCTGAGAACAACTTGAAAATGTCTCCCCCACCGTGCAGATATCATCAACTTTACCAAGCTTCCTGTGGCAAACATTCCCAGGAATTTGTTGCTTAACCATTTCACAACCACCCTCTGTGGGCTGCAGTACTACGTAAGATCGTTTGGAATTGGTTTGTTTCGGACCATCCTTCATTTACTTTCATCCTCAGTGGTGTGGGACAGTGACTTACACATAGAATTGATATTCAATGGATGAATGAATGAACTTAGCATCTTTTAACTTAAATCAAATCTCAATTTCAGATGATGTTAGTGAAAAATAAAGCTGCATCTGAAGTTAGGTTTATTTACTGTAGAAAAAAGCCGCCATGCTCTTTAACAACGGGGATGTTGGTGGGAAGAGTGCTGGATGAAGACTTGTTTTTAATTCCTCTGATATTCATCAAATCATTTTAATGAAGTGGGCTATTTATAGATAATGCCAACCTCTGTGACTTTTCTCATTTCCATTTCATCCTCAATTCTGAGTGTCTACTTATGTCTATTATCCAGGACCCACCCTCCAGGAACCCCTCCTTGATCTCCCTGAACTCCCCTCATCAAGGTATCTCCTCGACTTTTATGGCATTCTGCCCTACATCCCAGCCCCCAGGGGTCCTTGCCCTTTCCGCTTGCTATGCTTGAGAAAACTCCTGGAGAACAGGGCAGGGTTCAGAGCTTTGCACACCATGGGCAGTCAGTGAACAAGCAGGAATTAGTGGTTCCAATGGGAAGCATTTCGTGCTGCCTTTTAGTAGAAGTAATTCAGATGAGCTACTGGAAACATTTATTTAAATTATTTTTACAACTTTCTGTTTCTTCTTTTCCATATTGGAAAAGTAAACCATAGAAGATAATCTGCATATTTGTTTGTCAATCTTTGGATGTACGTATCTTAAAACTTATTTTTATGTGTTCCTAGTTGAACTATTTGTAATAGGCCAAAACTGGAAACCATCCAAATGCCCATCACTAGTAGAATGGATAATAAGTAAACTGTAGGATTTCACACAATAGAATAACTGCCCCTGTAGGGCAATTATAATGAGCAATCTACAATTACATGCAACAATTTGGATACATCTCATAAACACAATGTTGAGTAAAAGAAGCCAGGTACAAAAGAGTATGATTCCAGTTATTCCATTAAGGAATAAAACAGGCAAAACTCTTTGCTGCTAGAGGTCAAGATACCCTTTGCAAGGGTAATGACTAGAAGGGGGCCTGAGGGGAGTTTCTGGGTGTAATAGTGAATTTTTTCTTGATTTGTGAGCTGGCTACACAAATTTTCAGTTTGTAAAGACTTGTTGTATGTAACACTTATGATACAGGTACATCTCTCTGAGAAGATCTCTGCCACATACACTGTCTCTGGAGAGATCTTGGCCTGGGTCCTCTTTCCAGATAGATGTCAAGAACCAAAAGGTGTCAGGACTCAAACTCTGCCAAAATGGCACTGTATCCATGTGTTATCTATTGCTGTGTAACAAATTACCCAAACACAGTGTTTTAAAATAGCAAACATTTATTATCTCATAGTTTCTGTTGGTCAGGAATTTGGGAGTGACTTAGCTGTGTAGCTCTGGCTCAGAATCGCGCATGAGATTGCAGTCAAGGCATTGACGAGGGTTACAGTTATCTGAAGACTTAACAGGGCATGTGGAATCCACTTCCAACAGGACTCATTCACATGGTCAATGGCAGGAGGCCTCAGTTGTTCACCATGTGGATCTCTCCATATGGCTGCTTGAGGGCTCTCACAACATGGCAGCCGGCTCCCCCCAGAACAAGTGAGAAGGAGCACAAGGAATAAGCCACAATGTCTTTGATGAGTTAGTCTCAGAAGCTACACACCATCTTTAATACCATATTCTATTCATTAGAAACAGGTCACTAAGTCTAGCCCACCCTCAAGGGAAGGGAATTAAGGTCTACCTTTTGAAGGGGAAAAAGTATCAAAGAATTTGTGGACATATTTTTAAAACCACCAAAATCCACCCTCTGACCACAAATTATTTACATTCTTCCCATATGTAAAAGATACTCACCATCTTCCAAGGCCACCAAAAGTCTCATCCCATTCAAGCATCAGCTGTAAGTCCAAATCCCATCATTTACATCAAGTCCAGATGCGGATGAGGGTCCTCAGTTGTAGTTCCTTAAGTACAGCTATTTGGGTACAAATCCTCTCAATCTGAAGACCTGTGAACTACAGATACAGCTATCTGCACCCCCATCCACACACACCCAACATACATATGATGGTGGGACAAGCATGGACACCCACTAGAGAAGCTCCTGTTCAAAAGGGGGTAAAACAGGAGGCATGCAGAAGTTACTGGTCTGTAGCAGTTCTGAAATCCAGATGGGCAAATGTTGGAAATTCCTTGATTAGGATTCAGTTCTATTGCTGCTCAATGGGGATTTTCATGACTTTTGGCTCCATTCTCTGGACTCTTGGTCCCACCCTCTGGTTTTCCTTCCTTTTTCATGAGAAGTAACCTATGTTTGCAGCTGCATAGTTATCTCAGCTTGCTTCTCACCAACAGAATTCTTGGAGTCTAAAAGCCTCTTTTTATTTTGTACTGTCTCTGTCCCTTTCAGTCCAAGTGTGATTTTTAAACCAAAATGCAGTAGAAGTGATGCCATAGCTCCTGAATCTGAGATGGAGGAACGTCTCTCCTGAGACACAGGCCTCTAATGTGAATGTGCCACTCTATTTCAAAATGGCATCTGACCACCACACCCCAATGCACCCTCTCTTGACTTGTCACTAACATGCCCATGAAACATGGGAAAAGACTTTTTCAAAAAATTTACAATGTTGAAAACAAAGACAATAAAAAGACAAAACCTTGGAATAACAGATATTAGACATGGGCAGACAGAGAAGAAATTGTATAACCTTACTTTAGTTTTCAGCTCATGGAATGATCTGGCTTTGCTTCTCAAAACAGAGAGTCTAACAAAAATAAAAGGAAGATATATTTGTACCTTCTTTATCATCACCAGAAAGCCAGGAAGCTAGCCCTCCACCTATGTTGGGCACTGCCCAGTAAGGGCTCTTCTGCCTTTGCACACATGCGTGCACAAACACACACACCATCCAGTACAACCATCTCTGCACACTCATACAGATATGGATGACCCTGGCAGTAAGGGTACCGGCACAGGATGACACATATTGTAAGTCCGGAGATGTGATTTCCACAAGTGAGGCAATGGAGACAAAAGAACCCTGGTAAAGGCCGGGTGCAGTGGCTCACGCCTGTAATCCCAGCACTTTGGGAGGCCGAGGCAGGTGGATCACAAGGTCAGGAGATCGAGACCATCCTGGCTAACATGTTGAGACCCCGTCTCTACTAAAAATACAAAAAAAAAAAAAAAAAAAAATTAGCCAGGCGTGGTGGAGGGTGCCTGTAGTCCCAGTTACTTGGGAGGCTCAGGCAGGAGAATGGCATGAACCCAGGAGGCGGAGCTTGCAGTGAGGCGAGATTGGGCCACTGTACTCCAGCCTGGGTGACAGAGCCAGACTCCGCCTCAAAAAAAAAAAAAAAAAAAAAAAAAGAACCCTGGTAGAGGTGCATACTGCGAATTGCAGTTTTTCTACTCTGTAGTAATTCAGAGTTTGAAAGAAAATCAAGAGCACAAGAACAGGGAAATTATGATAAGCCCTAAAACTAGCTAAAATAGAGAAACTTATAAATAAAATAAAATTGGATAGAATCTACGTCTTAAAAAATAATAATCTAGATCTAAAACTCCACACTGAGTTTGTAAATGAGAGAGATAGAGGCAAGGATATTTTAAAATATCAGTTAACTATTGACCCTAACAATAAAAAAAAAAGGGTGGGTAAAGGAAGACTTCAAGAAGGCTTTAACAACTTATAAAATTAGAACCTGGATATATGTTCCAAAACACTAGACTTCAGCCAGAAGAATTAATAAACGTAGAAAAAAAACAGGACAGTGTTAAAGAAGTGTAATAAGGTATATCAGTGATTCTCAAAAAGTTGTGCATCAGAGTCACCTAGAAGCCTGATTAAAACAGATGGCTGAGCCCAGGCCCACAGGTCATAATTCAGTAGGTCTGGAGTGAGACCTGAAATTGGCAGTTCTAACAAGTTCTCAGCTGATGCTAAAGGTCAGACCACACTTTAAGAATCACTGAGATACACTATGCCCCACTAGAAAGTGTATTATAAAATTACAATAATTGATGAATGGATAAACAAAATACATCCATACAATGGAAACTATAAAAGGAATAAAATATTGATTCATTCTACAGCATTGATGAACATTGAAAACATTATGCTAAATGAAAGAAGCCAGACACAAAAGGCCACATATTGTATGATTTCATTCATATGAAATATCCAGAATAGGCAAATCCCAGAAAGCAGATTTGTGGTTTTCAAGAGCTGGGGGTGGGGAATGAGGAGTGATACTAATGGGCATAGGGTTTCTTTGTGGGGCAACGAAAATGTTTTGGAATTAGATAGTGGTGATGGTTGCACAACCTTGTGAATATACTAAAAACTACTGAATTCTACATTTTAAAATGGAAATTTTTATGGTATAGGAATTAGATCTCAATTTTAAAATGTACCCATACAGATTACCAGAAAAAATATAAGGTAGCTGGCTATATATTCTTGGTGCAAATAAAGATTGGAAATAAAAAGGAAAAGAATATAGATTAGATGCCATGTGTTTAAAACAATTAGAACAAAATTAAAATATAAATAGTAAACAAAACAATATTTGCAACAAATATGACAGCATTAATAACCTGACTCTTTCAGAGTTTACAAATAAGTACAAAAGAAAGAGACTAACCCCTCCACAGAAAAAACAAACTAAGGACATGAATGGTAGTTCTTAAAAGCTAAAATATACATGGCTAGAAAACATATTTCATTTGTTAAAATTTCAATAGCTTTAGGGATACAAATGGTTTTTGGTTACATGGATAAAATGTATGGTGGTGAAGTCTGGGCTTTCAGTGCACCCATCACTTGAACAGTGTACACTGGTACCCAACAGGTAATTTTTCATCCCTCACTGCCTTTCCACCCTCCCCGCTTCTGAGTCTCCAATGTCCATTATACCACTCCATATTTTAAATATTCAATCTAGTTAGCTATCAAAATATAAATTAAACTGGGCCAGGCACAGTGGTTCGCACCTGTAATCTCAGCACTTTAGGAGATTGAGGCAGGAGGATTGCTGAAGGCCATGAGTTTGAGATCTGCCTGGGCAACATAGCAAGACCCCATCTCTACAAAAAAATTTAAACAAATTAGCCAAGCATGCTGACCTGCACCTGTAGCCCCAACTACTAGGGAGGCTGAGTCATGAGGATCTCTTGAGTCCAGGAGTTTGAGGCTGCAGTGAGCCACTGCACTCTAGCCTGGATGACAGAGCAAGACCGTGCCTCAAAAAATAATATGTTAAACTAAGATACTATTTTGCTTAATAGGTTGGCAAAGAATTAAAAATATATATATTTCATAGGTGAGAGGTTCAACGGTCCAGACTTCGAGGGGGACAATCTGGCAACATGCATCTGAAACCTTAAAGTGTACATATAGCCTTTGACTCTGCAATATCACTTACATGAATTTCTACTAAGGAAATTGTTAAGGATATGTCCCAGTAATCATCCTCCAGGTGGTTGATGGACAACCCTGTTGAAGATTTCAAAAATCAGAAAGGAGCTGTGTGTTAAACAATAAAAGTTGTGTTAAAAGATTGTCCGTCTAGTAAATAAAGTATTATCCAGTCATTAAAAATGTTGTTGATTAATATCTATTGCCATGGGAGGATGTTCGTGATATATTGTTAAGTGGAAATAGAGGTAAGAAAATAGTAAATGCAGGCCGGGTGTGGTGGCTCACGCCTGTAATCCCAGCACTTTGGGAGGCCGAGGTGGGCGGGTCACGAGGTCAGGAGATTGAGACCATCCTGGCTAACACAGTGAAACCCCATCTCTACTAAAAATACAAAAAATTAGCTGGGCGTGGTGGTGGCCGCCTGTAGTCCCAGCTACTGGAGAGGCTGAGGCAGGAGAATGGCGTGAACCCAGGAGGCGGAGCTTGCAGTGAGCAGAGATTGTGCCACTGCACTCCAGCCTGGGTGACAGAGCAAGGCTCCATCTCAAGAAAAAAAGAAAAGAAAAGAAAAGAAAATAGTAAATGCAGTGTGAGCCAACTTTTGTCATAAAAGCTGTATATGGGATGTAAAAGATCCAGAGGGCAGTACACTTAGGCATCACAGAGGGTGTCTCTGGATAACGAGAGTAGGATGAGTTTTTCTTCTTTTAAGCTATCTGTTTTTTCTGCAAGTACTGCATAGTGCTTTTGTAATACAGAAGCAATTACTTTCACTTTTTAAAGGAATGGAACACAAAATTGAGGTGGATACTGCATTTTGTGGTATGACACTGATGCACAGAAAATGGAGACCAGGAGCAATGCTGCAAACCACACAAGAAAATAGGGATGGCCTTAGGAGTCCCATTCCTTCTGCTCTATTCCTACAGTAATAGCCCATGATTCTGCCAGCCAAAGATGCTCTGCTCCTGAGAAAGCTTGTCAACTTTAAGGAAAAGATGCTAAAGAGTTATCATGTGTTCTTAGAGAGACTTCTGTTTCTTTGGATAGAATTTAGAGACCCAAAATCACTGAGCAAAGGAGTGGATAACAATATCAAATTTGAGCAGTTTAATGAGATTCAATTTCCACTAACAACAGCTTACAACAGTGGAAATGAGACTCAATTTCCACTAACAGCAGCTAACATTTATTCATCACTTACTACTCGCCAAATATTTCACATATATTAACTCATATATATAATCCTCACCACAACGTATAAGCTAGGTACTGTTACTATCCCTGTCTTAGAATGAGAAACAGACACAAAGAGATTAAGTAACTTGCCCAAGCTCACAAGATTCAAATCTAAGCATTCTGGTTGTAGAGTCTTTTTAGAATCTCTCTCTTTTTTTTTTTTTTTTTTTTTTTTGAGATGGAATTTCGCTCTTGCTGCCCAGGCTGGAGTGCAATGGCACGATCTTGGCTCACCGCAACCTCTGCCTCCCAGGTTCAAGCAATTCTCTTGCCACAGCCTCCCAAGTAGCTGGGATTACAGGCATGCACCACCACGCCCGGCTAATTTTTTTTTTTTTTATTTTTAGTAGAGACAGCGTTACTCCATGTTGGTCAGGATGGTCTCAAACTCCTGACCCCAGGTGATCCGCCCACCTCAGCCTCCCAAAGTGCTCGGATTACAGGTGTGAGCCACCACGCCTGGCCTAGCATCTCTTTAACCACAACTCTAGACTTCTGGGTTCAAACAAACATCTTGCTATTATAATTTGGGCAAGCTTCTTTGCTTCCTCAAGGACTCTTCCTGATTGCCTAGAGAAAGATCCTGCATCATCTCTAATCTATCTGCTCCTGATCCTGGAAATATGGGATTCCTTGGATCCCTGTCTTCTTTACTATCCCCCAATCCCATTGCCCCATGGGTTCACATCTGAGGAGCAAGATCGGGTTGGGAACCACTGGGCTTTTGGGGTGATGAACCTTCACAGGACAGTATCCTGGCAGGGGGAGTGGGGGTATCAGAATTTGCAGATGAAGTCCCCAGTCTCTCTCATCACCTGCAACATGCTGGACACACTGAGAATCAGAGCCCATTATAAATCCCAAGCTGGTCTTGAATTTTCAGTTTTGTCTGAACTTTCAGAAAGTAAATTCATTCCATGACAATGTAGGGGGAGCATGGGAGCAGCCCACCTGGGTTGCAGGGAGTATGAGGCTGCGTTGTCCTGTAGAGAATTTAAAAACAATAAAAGAGCTAACTAAAAGTCTCTCTGCTTTTTATTATCTCCATGCACCAATTCTGAATAATATTAGCAATAAAAGACCACTTCTACCGACCCTTCCCATCTTGGTACACTATGACTTTCATTTCTAGCTTTTCTTTTGTCCTACCGTTTTGTTAGTCTGACCATCAACCCCCAATACCCTCATTCTTCACTGGGGTTCTTGGTATCTGAAGTGATGAATGAAGAGAATACGAGTCTTTATTTGGGAGGAAGAAAGAGGAGTGGTCTTTAAAGCCCATGTCTGCCCTCTTTTCTCCCCACAGAGATGTCTGGGAAAGAGGAGCTGGGAAACCAGGCATGGGGCCCAACTTCTGTCTTTTCCCTGAGGGCAGACATTGTCCCCAAACTTGGAGTGAGGCTCATGCTGGGAAAGGGAGTGTCTCTGAGGCCCAGCCCTGATGTCCCAGCTTTTCTAAAACTTTCCCTGTGCCCCAAGGCAGAGTTAGTCACTTCCTTCTTCTGCTCCCACAGCACTTTGTACATACACCCCTTTGTTGGAGCACTGGGCACATTGAGCACTCTTAGATCACCCCACTCTCCAGGGAGCTCCCTGAGGGCAGGAACTTACGTGTTCATCTTTGTTCCCTGGTTCTGACACACAGCAGATGCTCAAAAATGTTCAGTTGGATAGAAAATGCAATCACAGGCCAGGTGCGGTGGCTCATGCCTGTAATCCTAACACTTCGGGAGACTGAGGTGGGCGGATCACAAGGTCAGGAGATGGAGACCATCCTGGCTAACATGGTGAAACTCCGTTTCTACTAAAAATACAACAAATTAGCTGGGCATGGTGGCACGTGCCTGTAATCCCAGCTACTCAGGAGGCTGAGGCAGGAAAATCGCTTGAACCTGGGAGGCGGAGGTTGCAGTGAGCCAAGATTGCACCACTGCACTCCAGCCTGGCAACAGAGCGAAGACTCCGTCTCCAAAAAAAATAAAAATAAAAAATAAATGAAAAAGAAAATGCAATCATACATTGTATCTATCTTCCCTCATGAAACCCTGTCTGCTATCAGCTCATGATAAATATGGTCCAGAGTGAGGCATCATTCATTCATTCATTTATTCCACTTATACTTGTTTCTTCTTATGTAACTATCATTATAGTAAATTGCTTTTTACTGTTACTGATCTGAGTGATTTCATTTGTTAAAGATAGTAATTTGCAAACTGATAGAGGAATAGCAATTCAATACAAAATGAGGAAGTTTCCGGAAAGAAATTCAGAAATTACAGAAGGGAAGTTGATGATATTAATTTGCCCTGTAGGGACTATGGAGACCTGCAGAGGAAATGGAAGAGGAAATGGAGTTTGGATCATCCTCACCCAGGGGCAAAATCTGATGGGAACTGTTGTGACCCTGTGATAAGGACTTTGTCGAGGCCTCAGTGCAGTAAGAGAATTACTTACTAATAACGGGTGGGGATAAGCTGGGAGGAAAATGTGACAGGACTCGTTCAGCCTTGTCCAGGCCACACCCAGTTTAGTCAATGACTTCTGAACCCTAAAGACATTAAAGGAACACAGTGGAGGTTGTACTTGGGACAAGTGGCAGGTAGTCAAGTGAGAGGCTTAAAAATAAAAATATCACCCTGCTCCTGCAGAGGAATGAATGCAATCCTCTTTACCCAGTAAGAAACATCCCATGCTGCTGCAAAGATTGTCTTGAAAAGAGAGCTGTCCTGAAGAACATTTGATGGTTTTGCTTAAAGAATGAGCAGCTGACCTGATCTACTTCCTTTCCTTTAAACAGAAGAACTTGTACAATAGCTTCAACAATAGCCATGTCAGCAATAATCACTGTGAAAAACTTTTTGCCAAGATGAAATTCAAACCTTCATAGGCATGTGCTGTGGTAGCATTCAAAAATATATTTTCTAGGTATCTGAAAAGAAATGTAAAAACATGTAAAATAAGTACACAAAAGCCAATTAACAATAGCATCTGGGGGAAAGAGAATGGAATGTAGGGGAAATCCTTGGGAAGCACACAGCTGATAGCTTCAGCAGCATTTCCTGAGCTTTGGCTTTGACCTATTCTGAGAACCTTCCGGGGCCTCTCAGGCAATATTACCACAGACAGGTTTTGCAAACCAATGGCTTATGGGCCAAACACAGCTCACAGCTGTGTTTCATTTGGCTGGAACAGTGAATTCATTTTTTAAAAAAATGTTTTTAATTGATATATAATCGTTTTACATATTTTGGGGGTATATGTAGTGAATTCATTTTTTTAAGTTGAAAATCTTTAAATAAGACAGGTGCTTTCCAGTTTACCACAGGTCTTCCCTGCTCCCAGTTGTCTGACACTAACTCATCCACATGACCTGCCAGACCTCTGTGGGCATCTAGGACTGTGACCCCTCCATGCCCTAGACTCTGGTTCTCAAACTTGACTGCCCACTGGAATCATCCACAGGAGCTGTAGGAAATACCCATGTCTGGGTCCCAACCCTGAGATCCTGATATAACTCACCAGGAGTGCAGCCTGGGCAGCAGGAATTTTAAAAGCTCTCCAGGTGATTTGAATGTGCAGCAAAATGTAAGAATCACTACCCTTGAGAAAGGAAACTAGCTGAAAATCTATGACCCAGGGTGTGTTCCACAAGGCACGCTTTTCTCTAAATTAGCTGTTTCCCTTTACCTGACGCTAGGCCACATGGACAATGGAAGGGGCACCTACTTCACCAAGACCCTCACATTCAACCTACCCTGATGGACTCCAGGCCAAACTCCCCAAACTATCCCTGGTGATTTGGGAGATAATGATCCCTTTTGAAATGATGGGTTAGGGCCATTTTCTAGAGCTTTTAGTAGTTGACAGGTGATTTGGCCACAAGCACAGAGTCAATCATCTTGTATTAGGCATGAGGTGCCTTTTCATTTGATTCATATTAGATTTATAACAACATCATGAAGAAGGTATTACTCTCCCATTTTATAGATGGGAAAATGGTGACACTTAGCTCTGGGGCTATAAAAGCTTTACTGTACACTCAGTAAGTCAGGCTATGGTTGATTTTATTTCAATAAACATTTGGTGGCTGTTATGATGCCTGTGGAGAGCTACATCCCAGAACAGCCCCGACAATTGTTTACAGCCAGCATGTGCTCTGATTGTTCAGTTCCTGTGTCACATTGGACAGTAAATACTTGAATTTAGAGTCATTGGACTTGTATTAGGCACCAGGCAGTTTTATCATGTCTTTTATAACTAAAGTGATAAGATGTGGTCCCAGTGCCTCAAGGCTCAAGCATCGAAGGGGAAACAGACACTGAAAACTTTGCAATAGGATGTAATGCATCATAGAAAAAGATGGAAACTGACCAGACGCAGTGGCTCACGCCTGTAATCCCAGCACTTTGGGAGGCTGAGGTGGGCGGATCACCTGAGGTCAGGAGTTCCAGACCAGCCTGACCATCATGGAAAAACCTCGATTCTACTAAAAATACAAAAAAATTAGCCGGGTGCGGTGGCGCATGCCTGTAATCCCAGCTACTGGGGAGGCTGAGGCAGGAGAATCGCTTGAACCCAGGAGGCAGAAGTTGCGGTGAGCCAAGATCGTGCCATTGCACTCCAGCCTAGGCAACAAGAGCGAAACTCCATCTCAGGAAAGAAGGAAGGTAGGAAGGAAGGAAAGAAGGAAGGAAGGAAGGAAGGAAGGAAGGAAGGAAGGAAGGAAGGAAGGAAGGAAGGAAACTGAGTGTTATGAGAGCATCAAGCATCTATCTCTACCTCTGCAACACCAAAGAAGTCTCCACACAGCAAGAGATATTTAGACCTACATCTTGAAGGATGAGTAGGAGTTTCTCAGGCAGAGAAGTGGCTAGGTGGGTGAAGGTACTTGCTGAGCAAAGGCACGGAGGTACACCAACGCACGGCATGTTAGGAAAACTTGGCTTGGAGTCAGGAAAAGAATTGCAGATTCCCTTGAAGGTCAGTTTATCCTGCTTATCTATAAACTTAATGGTTCCGAATGGCCTTAATTATTTTTTCAGTATTTGGACCGTCAGGTCTGTTGTAGATGAGTTTCCCAGCTGCAGAGATAGAACTCACTATTGTGGCAACATCCCTAGTCTTTTACTGAGCACCTTTCTCCTTTCAAATAGCATTCCAGAAATCTGAAAGTGTCCCTTATCTCTAGCAGAAAGTAATCTATTTTTCTCTCCCACTACAGTCAAGAGTACAGTGGCATTGCCAATTATCTTATATTAGCTGGTGCCAATGGCAGCATTATTTTTTAAAAAAATCATAGGAAGAGATGGAAATCTCAGAAAAGGAACACACAATGTAACACTAATACTTTGGATATTTCTTTTTTTTTTTTTTTTTCTTTTGAGATGGAGTCTCGCTCTGTCACCCAGGCTGGAGTGCAGTGGTGCTATCTCGGCTCACTGCAAGCTCCATGTCCCGGGTTCACGCCATTCTCCTGCCTCAGCCTCCTGAGTTGCTGGGACTACAGGCGCCTGCCACCACACCCAGCTAAATTTTTTTTTTTTGTTTGTATTTTTAGTAGAGACAGGTTTTACCGTGTTAGCCAGGATGGCCTCGATCTCCTGACCTCGTGACCTGCCTGCCTCGGCCTCCCAAAGTGCTGGGATTACAGGCGTGAGCCACCGTGCCCGGCCTGGATATTTCTTTAAAATTTTCTTGAGACGACCATAATCTGTCATTCCACTAACACATTAGTGTCTGTAATTCCTCTTAGCATGTCTTTTAAAATCCATCCTTTGTACCTTACTGTGGACATCTTTTTTAATGCTATGGAATACAGAAATTGTGGATTTTTAATATTCAGACTTAGTGAATTATCTAAATGAGCTCACACAAGGCTTTCACTTGATCTAATTATGGTTACACCTTCCAATGCATCATCAGAAGTAGCATTGTCCAAGATCAGCCAAGACATCTGTGCATGAGCCTGCTCTCCCCTTTTCACGTGCATGTGTTTTAGCCTGGAGTGATGTACATGACTTTGATATTCTTCAATATTTTCAAGCGGGAAGGTCTGTACAAGATTAATTACAAACTTAGGGCCTAGTGTAACCCAGTCTCTCATTATCATTAATGAACCTCTTCTTCTGTACTAAGAAGAGACCTCTAATTGGGTTTATTTCTTAGAGTAGATATAAAGGTATCCCTCAGAAGTTTACTGTGATGACCCATTATGTGAAGTCAACCTGCTAATCTATGCAAACTGGAGGATCCACTGAGAATAATAATTTTTTGTCACATTAGTCTGTTGGGGGAAGCCACAATGAAAATCTACTGCATCATAATATATACTTGGTTGATTAATCTGTAAGTACAACTTGGCTTTAAATTATTCATGATAATAGCCCTTAATATACTAGTTTACTGTGGCATATTTTGTATCAGTAATGGAGATCTCAATCCTTTAAGAACATATTACAATTCTCCACTATTAAATCTTCCCTGAGAGGTGGGGTAAGAGCCTGACCAGGACTTTCATGGGAATGTCATGTTTGCAGCATAATAATCAAGCTTTACTGTTCTGAAGAGACTTTCATCCTAAGGATCTCAAAGCACTTTATGAGCCTTCATTAGTGCCAGGAATACCCTGAAGGCACCAGCGTTTTACTATCTTCATTTTATAGGTGAAGAAACAAGACCAGCTGATGAAGTGACTTGCCCAAGGTCACATACCCTATCAAAAGGACATCTTGGAGGGCACAGGTAGATTTAAGTCGTGACTGTTTTTCTTCAGCCTTACAAGACACTATTCATGTGTCTTTTGAGCTAGAGAACCATGGCCATGGCTTTCAACGTTTAGGTGACCTTCATCCATCCTCAATCCCCTTAATAGGCCCTCAGTGCCTGCTGAAGGGAGGAATAAACCATAGTCTTACTGGTGCTTCCAAGTCCAAAAAATTCCTTATTAGTTACTCAAACTCTTTTATTTGAAATTTCTCTCCCACTATGTATGGCTTGAGGAAGACTCTTGTGAAGTATGCTAAATATGCCACTGCTATCACTTTCACATTTGCACACTCTAAGAAGAATGGAGTGTTTGGGAATGCTTATTCTTAAGAAAAGCGATTTCCATCTCCCATACATATTATTATAGGATTGTAATAAAGGACTTTTGCTTAAGTTATATTCTGCTGTTGCGTTGGAAAGTTCTAAATAATTAAGTGGTAGGTTTCTCCTTATAAATCTGGCTCTTCTTTCTAAACCCTCAAGCTTCAAGAAAACTGAGGAGCTTTTTAAAAATTACTTTTTATTGCTGGTGACATCTATAATATGGGTCCTACTTTGAGGTGGGGGAGGGGATCTTTTTTGTTTGTTTTGCTTTAAATGTGTGTATTTGATCCCAGCTCAGCTTTACATTTAAACATTTTAAAAGTGCATGCACTCCCAATTGTGTGGAATGCCAGGAAACGAGTTCATTCTGCGAGGAATGAGCTTTCAGCTCTGTCCTTTGTGACAGATTCCAGAGCGTCTCTACCTTAAGGCAGGCGGGTCACCGGGCCGCTTCAGTGACCCCCCCCTAACCTGTACCAGGCTGCCGGCAAGCACTCCTGTCAGCTCTGTTTACTCTGGCAAGACTGATGGCATCCAGGTGGATTTCCCAACCCCCGTGCCTCCTCATTCTCCGCCCCCACTTCTCCTCTCCAGCCCACGACCACGGCTGCATTTGCCAATGGAATAGTTAGGCAGTGAGTTGCTGTGCAAAACTCCCATCTGTGAAAGCGGCTTTTCTCCTGAGTTAAATCACTTGCTTTGCATTTAATGTGTGTAGGGCCTCCATCTGATTCCCTCCTATCCCCATCCCCACCCTGAAGTGTCCTCTGAGCTTTAGGAAAATGTGTCCTGGTGCTTGTTACTGCTCCTGCATTTCCCTAGATGAAGTCACTCGCCTGGGAGGGCTGTGCTGTTAGGCAGATAATCCTGTTAAGCATCTGGAGGGCCTGGTCAGGAGATGTTCAGCTCAAGAATGTCAGAAGTAGATAGAATGGTGCTGGAGGTGGGCTCCAGGGGCAGTGCTGAGGGTAAACAGGCTGCTTCCCTGCTGGACATCAGCCTTGGGTCTGCCAGCTTCCCATTGCCAGCGACAAGCTGCTGACCATAAGGAATCGTGATTAGTGGATGACTGTTACATGTTAAGCTAGCCCCTCGGATGTGGCACTAAGCCCTAGAGACTCAGACATGAGTAAGACACGGTTCCCAGGTAATGTGTGTGGAGGTGGGGGAGGAAGCGGTGAAGTGAAAGGGCAAGGTAGCAAATGGGAAATGATGTGTTGCGGAATCCAGAAGGGATGATCCCTGAGGAGTGGAGGGGCTAACTGAAGGAACAAAAGTGATCAAGGCCTGGGGAGAATGGGGGTGTTCCGGACAGGAGAAATTACATAAGCAAAGGTGCTGAGGCGGGAATTAATATGCTGTGTTCAGGGAACAAGAGAGGGAGGGATATGGCTGGGGCAAGAGTTCACACGGGGGAGTAATGGAAGAGTAACTCTGGAGCCAGGGTAGGGCCACATGAAAGGGCCTCAAGTGCCAGGCAGAGAGGTTATTCAGCAAGCAAAACTAAAAAAAAAAAAAAGAAGTTCTAGAAGAACTAGCCAGGAAGGTGGGAGGGTGACATGATCCAGGTGGTGTTCTAGAAAAATTAATCTGGCATTAGCTAGAGACTGAAAGCAGGAAGCTGTTTGACTGTGGTAACCCACATAGGGCTTGATATGGGCTGGGCAGTGGCTGCTTAACTTATTCGTGGTCCCCCTTGCTGTCTAGTGTGTCCTTCAGCCCCTACCCTCTATACCCTTCTGTGGCTAACTTCATTCATTCCTTAGATCTTGGCTGAAATGCCACTTCCTCAGGGGAGCCCTCTCTGACTGACCCCAGATATATTCCTACAGAAGCCCACTTGCTTTCTCATAATACCCCATTGTGTTGTTTTGTGTTTTAATTGTTTAAAAAAAATCATAATCTAAAATTTACCATCTTAAACATTTCTAAGTGTAGTCCAGTAGTGTTAACTGTATTCACATTTTTGTGCAACCAATCTCCAGAGCTCCTTCATCTACACCCATTAAAGCACAACTCCTCATTTCCCCCTCCCTCTAAGCCTCTGGCAGCCATCATTCTACTTTCTCTCACTATGAATTTGATTACTCTAGGGACTCATATAGTATTCGTTTTTTTGTGGGTGACTTATTTCACATAGTTCAATGTCCTCAAGGTTCATTCATCTTTAGCATATGACAGGATTTCCTTCCTTTTTAAGGCTGAATAATATTTCGTGGTATGTATATACCACATTTTGTTTATCCATTCATCTGTCAATGGACATTTGCAGACTTTTTTTTTTTAACAAAACAAACTGCTAGATAGGACAGAACAGAATTAAATTATCAGAGTACCTTCTTGTAATAGGGATAAATATTGAGAGGGAGAGTCACTTGTCAGAACTCCAATATAATAAGATTAGCAAAATAGGGAACAAATTTTATATCATATACCCAGAATTTAGGGACACAAACCAATTCCTTTTTCTATCCTGTATATAGTGCAAGTATCAAGGCAGGTATTGACGAACTTATACATCTAACTCTTCTTACCTTAAACTGCCACAGTAGAAAATGAAAGTGAATTGAGGAGTGAAAAGTACTATTTCTCCTGGCCACATTTTCCCAGGCATTTTTCATTCTGTGACGTTCGCATCCTGGCTAGGTAGGCCCAGTCCTCTTAGCTGTATGACTCTAGAGGCTCTCGGAATCAGAATGCAGTTCTCTGTTACTCAGCTTCATTGACCACTGAAGTCTGGGCTTAATTTCTAATATGAGCCCCAAAGTTCTTTCTTTCCCAATGCCCTTCTGATCTGTGCCCCCAGCATCTTATGTTAAACCTTGGACTGGCATCCTCCCATTAGAGGAAGGGGTCTAAGACAACTCTGTGATAAGTTTTTGCCTTGCAGCTACAAGTATTTAATACATAAGCATGAAGGAGGACACACACATTCATACATACACACACACACAGAGGCAGACACGCATACAGCCTGGGGCCTGTGAAGCAAAGAGGAGACGTTGCAACTATTCCTTGGTGACTGTGGGAGGGAAAAGAGAAGATATGGGTGACCATCACCTTAAATCTTTCTTCTATTCATCGGCAGAGACATCATTCTTCTCCACCCCACTCCTATACTACCACCTTGTTCTGGCTGTTACACAGATGTTATAGTGGACACAGAATAACAAATGTGCACTGAGGTCCAGAGGCTTTCTTGGTGCAGAGGAAGCCTCTGCTAACTTATTTCTAGCACACTTGATTGGCCCTAGGCCCTGGTACTTTACTCGTCCAGGAGCAAAGTCATCAACAAACATCTCTGCCTGAGAGACTCAACCAAATCTGTATAAACAAGAAGAACTGCGAGCTTGAAATAACTTACAGTGGTAGTTGTTTAATATAATGGTCACATCCCTGGACATACAGTCACAGTTCAAAGATTCATAAGGCATTTAAGTTTATATCTAAGCAGTGGTTGGGAGGATAATGTGTAATATGATTATGCTAATTTTCAATGCAGATAATAATAAAGTCAAAATTAAAGAATTATATCTAATGCTTATTGTAAGTGAATGCTCAAATTGTTATTGGAAATCAGAACATCTTATTGAAATGTAGAGACACTGAAGATATGAAATTGATACTGAAATTTTAATACAAATTATGCATTTGGAAGCAGGAGTTAGTCAAAGCTGAGTTGTTTCTACTCTGAGCCCCTCTCCAACTCTAAACACATGACAGTGATAGATAAAATGTAAAAATAGAATACTAAAAATTTATAGCCATGCTTGAAAGGAAAATAAGCACCTCCATGGACTAGAAACTTATGAGAAATGTAAGCTTATAAGTGGTAAGCAGAGTTGGTAGGTTGAAAATTACTGCATGAGAGATGGAGAATTGAAGCCAGGATTATTGCAGAACTGCACAGATCCAAACACTGGGCAATGAGATGACTTTTCTCAGGTCCCGGATGTAAGGTGAACTTTTCCCCATCTCCATAGGTATGTTACTTTTTAAGAAACCATAGGTTCTGGTGGCACGCTTAGTATTTTTTTTCAGGCTTAATGAGTAGATAAGAATGTCCCACCTTAATCTCAGTTTTACGTGGTGATCTTGGGTCTGGTCCCCACTCTTGCATGAAGTTCTAAATCAATAATCAGTAGGTGAATTCATTCCAGTGAAATGACAATAATACAGCTCTCTAAAAATGACATTAAAATACCATTTTAAGGACTTCAAAAAAAGTGAAGAAATAACATTCATAAAAGAATAAAAAGTTATGAAACAAAACAGGCAGAAATAACATAACAGAAATATGAAAAATAATTTATAATAAATCTTAGAAGTAAAAAAAAATTCCTTGATGTAAAAAATAATTGGGTCTAATGGACACAAAAAGAAAAGTAGCGGGAGATAGTACCAGAAATTTTTCCAGAATTCAGCACAGAAAGATAAAGATAAAAAATAACCAGCAGCAGTTCAGAAAGCCAAGTAGAGAAGTTCCAGCATATGTCAAGAATAGTTTGGAGTAAGAGGGTAGAGATAATAAGGGAGAGTAATAGTTAAAGAAGTTTTGGCTGAGAATTTTTCCTAATATCGTATAAGCGCACCAAATGCCAATCAGAATAACTCAAAATAAACCATTCCTAAACATATCATTATAAAACTGCAGAAAACCAAGGATATAGAGAAAAACAATAAAGCTATGTAAGAGGCAAGACAGACTACTGGCAACAGAACAATGGTTAGACCAAGAGCAGAGCACTCATCAACAATATCAGAAACCAGAAGATTTTTTTTTTTTTTTTGAGACAGCGTCTCACGCTGTCACCCAGGCTGGAGTGCAATGGTGTGGTCTTGGCTCACCGTAACATCCACCTCCAGGGTTCAAGTGATTCTCGTGCCTCAGCCTCCCAAGTAGCTGGGACTACAGGTGTGTGCCACCATGCCCAGCTAATTTTTGTATTTTTAGTAGAGACAGGGTTTCACCATGTTGGCCAGGCTGGTGTCGAACTCCTGACCTCGTGACCCACCTGCCTCGGCCTCCCAAAGTGCTGGGATTACAGGCATAATCCACATCCGGCCTGGAAGAATTTTAATGGAAGAATTGTCTTCATCAGTGTGCTGAAGAAAAAATACCATCAGCCGGGTACGGTTGCTCATGCTTGTAATGTGAGAACAAAATAAAAATCTACTCAGAGTTATAAACTCTAAGGGCATTTGTCATTCACAGATCCTCACTGAAAAGACTACTAAGGGATTTACTTCAGCAAGAAGAAAAGTAAGCCCAGAGGAATGGAATAGGATGTAAGGAAAGACAGAAAGCCCCAAATAAGAAAAAATATATTGACAGATTAACTATTGACTGTACATTTGGACCTGAAGTTACCTGAAGAACCATAAGATAAAAAGTTGAAACATGAGCCAAAACAAAGAAATAATTCATCAGCATTATTAAGAAAGAACTTGGTATGCTCTAGATTCTCTTTGCTCAGCCATGCGGCAGAGAGATGTGTGACCTGCATCTATTGATTGATATACTCCAGTCTTATTCCCAGAAAGATTTAGGTTAGCTAACCTGCAACTATTCCTAGTCTATCCTTCATTTTCAGAACCAAGTGCTTCCTAGGGGAGTCACTGGCAGCTTTTGATTGAACCTTTGGCACTAGTCCCAGGGAGAGCTCTCCATGTTCAAATGAATCATGGGATGTGGGTTCATTTTTTTTTTCCAACAATCCAGTCCCTCAAGTCTTCCAGACAAATACAGTAAAGACTTTTAGAAAAAAAATATGCAAAGAAAAAGGGAGCATGGGATATATGAAAAAATTTTGCAGAATTAAAGAATATGTAAGACTTCCCCAAAGGAAAATTTTCCTCCTAAAGTAGGTTAACCTGAAGATAAACCTGCTTTATATTTCAATGAGATATAGGAATTCATCACATCAATCAATGAACAGGTCAGCATAAAAGGAGAATGCAACAAAATTATATTCATAATAGCTGGAATTGGGTCTCCATAAAAAGCAGAATTAAAACTACAGAAAATCTTTTCATCCAAATAAATGATAGTGTCAAGAATGTTATGCCAAACACAAAATAAGTCAATAAAATATTTTAAAAGGAATAAAAGAAGACAATAGATATAAAGAACAGGACACTGACCTGATAGCCAACCTGTGGATAAAACATTCCTGATAAAGAGAAAACAAATGGTTAAGACTTAATTATCAAAGTTTTCAGAATTAGGGGTCTGGAGGGGGAATCCTGATATTAGAAATCAAGAGGACTTACTGTATCTGAGATAAGAGCAATAAAAAGGGAACAATATTAATATAAATTCTAGTGAATTCTTAAACCCAAGAGATAAAAATACACCTGTAAGTTGGTAAGAGTTTGGGGAGGGTGAACAAGGATTTAAGATCAATCTTGCTGCCTTATATATCTCTTCTGAAACTGTCAATGTTAAACTATTAGTTGGGAAGTTATGATTGAAAAGAAATAGTGATGGTCACTGATATTAAGTTTCAGAAATAAGTATAAAATGCTCATAATGTTTTTACAAGTAACAGGGAAAGAGTATAATTGGTGTCTAAAATAATTAATACAGATATTGGAATAAAAGGAAAATGACTTTGAAAGAATAGAGACAGGAAGTTTTCTACTGTGGTACGCAGCATCTGAGATGGCTCCCAATGATTCCTTCCTCCTGATGTTCACCCTTTGTGAAATCTCCCCTGCAGGGTGGGCTGGACCTACACCCTCTTCTAACAAATAAAATACAGCAAAAGTGATGGGATGTCACTTCTGAGATTTGGTTACAAAAATATTCTGGTTTCCATCTTGCTTACCATCTCTTGCACTCTCTTGCTTGCGCTCTCACTTGCTCTCTCTTTTTGTATCTCTTCCTGCTTTCTCTCTTGCTTGCTCTAAGCACTGCCATGTTGTGAGCTCCCCCATGGATAGACCCATGTAACAAGAAGCTGATACCTCTGGCAAACAGCCAGCCAGAACCTGATGCCTTCCTGCCAACAGCCATGTGAGTGAGCTTGGAAGTGGATCTTCTGACGCTGCCAACAGCCACATGAGTGAGCTTGGAAGCAAATCCTCTACTTGTTGAGCCTTGAGAAGACTGTAGCCCCAGCCAACACCTTGATTGCAGACTTACTAGCGACCCTGGACCAGAGGACCCAGCAAAGCCACATCCCAAGAGATAATAAATGTTTGTTGTTTTAAGCCACTCAGTTTTAGGATAATTTGTTACACAGCAACATATAACTAAAATACCTATTATCTGATTATATTTTAAATTTTAGAAAAATGGGGAAAGGGAGAAAAAGTAGAGGGAAGCCCTGAGGGGCACAATATTTCTTTTTTCCGTGAAAGTGAGCCAAAAGATACCAGTTTTGATTAAGCACAGAACGAAAAATGTCTAAGATGTTTTAAGAAAATTATTACTAGGTTAGCAATATGGTGATTGGCTTCCAAATAGCTAAAAGTAAACAGAATATATTGCATATGCCAGCATAAAAATAGAAAAGAAACACTGAGAGAACAAGTACCAAAATCTCTGAAGTCAGAGCAAGTGAAACAATTAGGCCAGGTACCAAGGAATCTCAGGTTAGTTTTAAAAAGAGGATCCAATGATATTTACTTATTTGATGAGCAAATAACTACTGAGTGACCACTGAGCTAACTGTGGTAAACAAGTCTGATTCAATCTGATGGAAAATATAAACAAGCAATTATAACACAGAATAGTAAGTGCAACAAGAGGGAAGTACAGGACAAATGAAAAGTTGATCAATGTAACTTTTCCTATCTTAGTATTTTTAACCCCTTTTGTTTTAGACCAAGCTTGTCCCACAAGTGGCCAGGACGACTTTGAATGTGGCCCAACACAAATTCATAAATTTTCTTGAAACATTATGAGACATTTTGCCTTTTTTTTTTTAGTTTATCAGCTATCGTTAATGTAAGTGTATTTTATGTGTGGCCCAAGACAATTCTTCTTCCAATGTGGCCCAGGGAAGCCAAAAGATTAGACACCCCTGTTTTAGATTATGTCCATATCAGCACCCCACTTCCAGGGAGCCTTCCAAGATTCCTAAGCCCTAACTATAAAACACACACACACATACACACACAGATGACTGCAGTGAAAATTTTAATTCATTGTTATTGGGCTGTGTCAGATTAAATAGAGTACGTACCAAAAAAGAATTAGAGAATATGAACAAAATAATTTTAAAGTACAATTAATAAATTATACTTTATTACTTTATGAACAAGAACTTATATTTTTAAATAAGACTCTCTCAATAAATTCAAACAAGTAGAAATTATATTGGTCATAATTTCTGATCATATGTAATAAAGTGAGAAATCATAAAGCTTAAGACAAAAAAGTCATTAAAAGATTGAAAAGCCTTATACCACATCTGGTTCAAAAAAATAATAATAAAGATATTTTAGAAAAAATGATTATGGAAACATTACATAAGCAAATACAGGAAATGTGGTTAAAGATATACTCAAAATTGAATTTATGAAGTGATTTTTTAAAAATAACTTAGCATTCAATTTAAACTTCTAGAAATAGAACACAAAAGAAATCCTAAGAAAATAAGAGTAGGGAAATAATAAAGATAAAAGAAGCAGACTTGTTGAAAGAACAAATAAAACAAGCAATATAGTAGCCCATCTAAGAGAAAAGAAGGAAGCAAAATTAGAATTTAGAAAATTGATATAACAGTAGCTACAATGTTTTTTTTTTTTGAGACAGAGTCTCACTCTGCCACCCAGGCTGGAGTGCAGTGGTGCGATCTCAGCTCACTGCAACCTCCACCTCGCGGGTTCAAGTGATTCTCCTGCCTCAGCCTCCCAAGTAGCTGGGACCACAGGCACATGCCACCACACCCAGCTAATTTTTTGTATTTTTAGCAGAGACAGGGTTTCACCGTGTTATCCAGGATGTTCTTGATCTCCTGACCTTGTGATCTGGCTGCCTCGGCCTCCCAAAGTGCTGGGATTACAGGTGTGAGCCACCACGCCCAGCCTTAGAATATCTCTTTAAGTTGGTATATAATTATGAATTTTGAGTTTTGAATTTAAAAATAGCAATTAGGTGATCATTTCTCCCTAAAAATAAAATAATGAAAGTATAAGAAACAGAAAATTTGGAAAAGTGTAATAGAGGAAAACAAATAGAAAAAAAAAACTATTAAAAAAAAGTTAAAAACACTCTATCCCCACTACCAGTATCAGGAATCCAGGTGAGCGCTGTCAAATCTTAGAGAAAGATGATTTCCATGTTTTAAAAACTTTGCCATAGCATTGGGAAAATGGGAGATGCCAAATGATTTTACAAATTAAACAACAAATTA
This sequence comes from Homo sapiens, assembly GCF_000001405.40. Taxonomy (NCBI): domain Eukaryota; kingdom Metazoa; phylum Chordata; class Mammalia; order Primates; family Hominidae; genus Homo; species Homo sapiens. Next base: position 83,297,312 of record NC_000015.10, on the reverse strand, counting down.
AACATGTCAGTGGACTCCAGGCTTCTTTGACTTGATTATAGACCAATTTCACTTATAAATACAGATACGAAAACCTCAAGTAGGATAGAATTCCACAGGACATTAGAAAGAAAGTCTACAATTCAGTCTTTGAACAATCTTTTCTTGAACAACTATTATTGGGCACAGATGATACACTGAGCACTATGTTAAACCCTGGGAAATAACAAATTAGTAAGATATGGTCCTTGCCCTCAAGGAGTTCAGATTCTATTGGAGAGGGGGACACATAAAAGAACAATTAAAATAGTTAAACGCAAATGAAATCTACTCAGAGTACAGCCATGGACTGGAGTCACGTAGCCCATGAAGGAAAGATAAAACGGGTCTATTAGCAAAGACTTCTCAGAGAACAGTGTGTTTGAACTAAGTTTAAAGGAGGAACAGGAATTAGCTAAAAGGGAAGTGCAGGGAGCATTGTTCCACCTCAGCAGGTGAGGCTATTGCCAGTAGAGGAGATAGGAGTAAAAGCATGGAGGCAAGAGATTGTTTAGTGCTTACAGAGAACTATTAAGTGTTCACTGACTACAGGCCTAGGACTGTGCCTATTTTTCATACTGTACTCATAGGATCTAAACCAATGCCCAGCACCTAGATTTGTGGATCATCAGTTATGGTTGAAATCATACAACAAATGAGATCACCAAGACAGCGTATGAAGTATTTTTTAAAAAAAGAAAAGAAAAAGGTAGCTGAAGATAGAACCTGAGCCTGAGGAACACGAAAAGAGCAAGTGGAGGAAGAGGAGGCCATTAAGGTAATGGAAAATGTCCAGTGAGAGAGAAATGAGGAGAATCAGGAGGCTAGGAGTCATGGAAATCAGGGAAGAAGTCCCCAGAGACTAGTACAGCAGAGAGGGGCAGTGCAAACAGCTGAAGAATGCCTATTAGATTAGAAATTGGGGAATCCAGGCATCATGGATAGACTACTTCCAGGCTGGGCGTGGTGGCTCACGGCTGTAATCCTGGCACTTTGGGAGGCCAAGGCGGGCAGATCACTTGAGGTCAGGAGTTCAAGACCAGCCTGGGCAACATGGTGAGACCCCGCTCCCCCCCACGTCTCTACTAAAAATACAAAAATTAGCCGGGTGTGGTGGAGTGCGCCTGTAGTCCAAGCTACTTGGGAGGCTGAGGCAGGAAAATTGCTTGAACCCAGGAAATGGAGGTTGCAGTGAGCCGAGATGGCGCCATTGCACTCCAGCCAGGGTGACAGACAGAGACTCTGTTTAAAAAAAAAAAAAAAGGATATAGACTATTTCCAGAAGCTTAGCCAAGAACAGATAGAGAGTGAGGTTAAAGGAATGTTGTTTCTTATTTTTAGGATTGCTTCAGTTATCTGCTTCTGCCCAGCAAACCACCTTGAAACATATGACTTTTTAAAACAAAGATTTATTATTTCTCAGAATCCAATCAATTAACTAAGTAGTTTTTCTTCTGGTCTCTCCTTTGGTCACTATTCAGACTACCTTTAGCTGGTAGGCCAACTGTTTGGGCTAGTAGGGACTCGAGGTTTCTCTCCATGTGCTCTCAGAACCTTCCTCTCAAAGTGGTCTCTCACGCTCTGGAGCCGATTCCACATGGCCGTTCTCTCCATCAGGACAGCCTGGACCTCTCACAACATGGTGGCTGGGCTCCAAAGGGAATAATCCAGGAGAGATAAGCTCAGTGTGCAAGCAATTACTAAGCCTCTACTGGCAGCATACCTGCTAATGACCGTTAGCCAAAGCAAATTACATGATCACGGCTAGAGTCTACACAGGAAGGAACACAAGGGATGAATTGCAGGGGGGTGGTTGTTTATCCTTTTAATTGTCCACTATATAAGGGTATTTTAGAATTTAAAATGTTTATAGGCTAAGGAACTAATTGAAAGGGAGATGCTGAATGCACAATAAAGAGAGGCTATTACTACAAGGGTCCCAAAAGGTATGGTGGATGGGAGAGGGGGATGAACACCATCCTCTGAGCCTGGTGGAAGAGAGATTTAAAATGGGTTATGTATGTATTTCAGTTTAATCACTGAGGGGAACAGAAAAGGGAGTTGTTCATGGAAATGTAGCCCTGGGGTAAAGACTTGGAATTTGTGGTAACACCAATTCTGCCATCATTTTGCTTCTCCATCAATACTCAAGTGTGCATGTTGAGGCTGAAAAGCCTGATTACAGCATTGATCCAGGTTTAGAATTTGGTTGGTGGGTGCTGCAGAAGGATAATGGTGCCAGGAATCATGGGTTATTGGCGAGGGTAATTTGATAGAAAATCCAGGAATTGGGTGCAGTGGCTCATGCCTGTAGTCCCAGATACTCAAGAGGCTGAGGGGCAGGAAGATGAGACCACAGCCCCAGATGAGGAGAGAACAATGAGATGTTGGCAAACTGGCTAGAATAACACTACAGGACCAGCTTCCTTGGATGTGCCTTGAAAAGACACGCGGTGTATTTCCAATAAGTAAATCCCTCTAGGCATTGAGTGCAGGAGTTCAAATCCAGCCTGGGCAACTTAGCAAGACTCCACCTCTAAACAAACAAAAATGAATGTTGTTAAAAAAAAATAATAAAATTCAGGAATTAATAAAGGTTGAAGGGGGTTGAGTGTTCTAAGCCAATTCTCAATGACTGCAGTGAATGATGGAAAGTAACCAGGAAGTGATAGTGCTGCTGAAGGGCTGCTCATGAGTACAAGGACTGGGTCCATTGTATCCTCAGATGCAAATACAGTGCACACAGAAGATACTCAATATTAGGCCAGGCGAGGTGGCTCATGCCTATAATCCCAGCACTTTGGGAGGCCGAGGTGGACTAATCACTTGAGGTCAGGAGTTCGAGACCAGCCTGGCCAACATGGTAAAACCCCATCTCTACTAAAAAATACAAAGAAATTAGCCCAGCACGGTGGAGCACACCTGTAGTCCCAGCTACACGAGAGGCTGAGGCAGGAGAATCGCTTGAACCTGGGGGGCAGAGGTTGCAGTGAGCTGAGATTGTGCCACCACACTCCAGCCTGGGTGACAGAGGGAGACTCCATCTCAAAAAATAAATAAATAAAAATAAAAATACAAAAATTAACCGGCATGGTGGTACACACCTGTAGTCCCAGCTACTTGGGAGGCTGAGGCACAAGAATCACTTGAATCTGGGAGGTGGAGGCTACAGTGAGCCGCGATTGTGCCACTGCACTCCAGCCTGGACAACAGAGGAAGACTAAGTTTAGAAAAAAAAAAAAAAAAGTCCCGGCGTGGTGGCTTACGCCTGTAATCCCAGTGCTTTGGGAGGCCGAGGTGAGCAGATCATGAGGTCAGGAGATGGAGACCATCCTGGCTAACATGGTGAAACCCCGTCTCTACTAAAAATACAAAAATTAGCCGGGCGTGGTGGCGGGCGCCTGTAGTCCCAGCTACTTGGGAGGCTGAGGCAGGAGAATGGTGTGAACCCAGGAGGCGGAGCTTGCAGTGAGCTGAGATCATGCCACTGCACTCCAGCCTGCATGACAGAGCGAGACTCCATCTCAAAAAAAAAGAAAAAAAAAAAAGAAAAAAAAGATGCTGTTCAATATTAGTAATAATTTGTGGAATAAACAAATAACTTTAATTCATCTCCTTCATTTTACAGATGAGAAAACTGAGGCCCCCAAAAGGGTAAATGTATTGCTCAGTCACCAAAGCTAGTGTACACCTAGCCAAGGCTTCCTACTTCCTGACAAAACCATACCCAATGTGGAAGTCCTTCTCAGCATTCCCAGAGGCAGCTCATTATTTTATTATCTCACAACCATTTAAGTGGCATTTGTCATTGTTTGGTTGATGGGATGAAATATCTTTGAATGAATACAGTTGAATGAATAAAGGGAGTGGTGAAAATGTTCCTTGAGGCCTAGAGGGATTTACTTATTGGAAATACACCACATGTCTTTTCAAGGCACATCCAAGGAATCTGGTCCTGTAGTGTTATTCTAGCCAGTTTGCCAACATCTCATTGTTCTCTCCTCTTCTGGTACTGTGGTCTCATTTTAAGACTCAGAAAATCGGGAAGAAACACACACACACATATCAGCTATCTACCCATATTCACTATGGATTTTTCCAGACTCCCTAGGATTAAAGAAATTAATGAACTTTCAGCTGAATAGGACAGAGGCTTTTAAAACGTTACCAACTACTATCCTTAAAGAAAAATGGAAACATCTCCCCCAAAGGCTATTGTCAGTTATGGAATTCAACTTAAGGAGGAAGGTGGTGACATGCTCCTCTTTCCCACTGGACCAAAATTTCAAAGCTTCAAATGTGTGGTAAATCCAACCAAAGATAAAGATTTGCAGGTGTTTTTTGCATAAAAGCAAGAAGGGCAGATGTATCTGAAACGTGCTTCTAACCAAATACGACATCTGCAATCCATTAGGGGTGTCCTGATGAAGGAAAGTGAGAGGAGAGGTTCAGGCAGAAAGCCTGCTCTGCACAAACATCAGCCTGAGGATGTGTCCAACCCTCTGTCAGAATCTCAGGACACCAAGGTCCTAAAAAAGGTGACCTTTCCGGGGGAAACTTACATTTCTGCCAAATAACCCAGTTCCTCTTCTTTCTTGCCTTCTATCAAGTTATCTTTGAAATGTCAGTGCTTTCTCTTTACTCAAGTACACCTACATGTTTTAGTATTTAAGACTTGGCAGCCACCTCAGATAAAGAGAACACTCCCTGCTTTGAGTGTGCAGACCTTCCTTTCCCAACACTCACGGAGAGCGATCTGTGTCCTGATTCAGCTACTTACACTCCCACAGAACAAAGCAGAATTGTCACCACGAACATTACTTGCAGGTTACTCAGTGGTTGTTATACGCCTGTCCTGGACTCCCAAGAAAAACCACTAACTTTTATTAAAGTGTTTGTAGCAAAGCCTGTTGCAAAACATCCATGGCTGTGAAAATGACTCCAAGTTATGTGATTCCTAGAATGGACGTTCAGAAGGACCCTCAATTTTGTTCATATGTAGGATCCATGGTCAGGGCTTGCTTCAGACCTCCCTTTGCAAGTCTTACCTTGAGCTTCAGCAACTGGGCTCAAATTAAACATAGCATGTAATTGGAGTGCTCCTTAAATGAATTCTCTCAATGAGCATACCAAGTCTGTTTCCTGTATAATGTCTCTTACTTGCTTACTGGCCTTTTGATAAACCATTAGAGATGGAGCATTTTGTTAATTACTAAACTCCTGGTGACAGACAAAACTGGCCTGTTAAAACCTGTGCTGTAATTTGAGGATTAAAAGCCACACCTCTGGGAAACATCAGTATCAAAACTGATTTGGTGTTGGAGACAAGGTGTAGAAGCCACAGTTTGACAAAGTAGATTTCCAAGCACAGTTACCAATTACATTTTTAGAAGTCTTCTATTATGCCATTTACAAGAAGGTACTTTTAAGGAGCTACAAGTCAGGAATATGTGTTTAAATCTCTTCATTTATAAATGTATAGGTAAAGCCCACATTTAAGAAGCACCTACAGTGTACAGAAGAGCACTGTGCTAGATATAGCAAAAATCAGCAGTCCTGGGCCGGGTGCGGTGGCTCATGCCTATAATCCCAGCACTTTGGGAGGCCGAGGCAGGCAGATCACTTGAGGCCAGGAGTTAAAGACCAGCCTGGGCAACAGGGTGAAACCCCACTTCTACTAAAAACACAAAAATTAGCTGAGTGTGGTGGCACACACCTGTAATCTCAGCTACGTGGGAGGCTGAGGCATGAGAATCGCTTGAACCCAGGAGGCAGAGGTTGCAGTAAACCAAGATCACACCACTGCACTCCAGCCTGGGTGACAGAGCAAGACTCTGTCTCAAAAAAAAAGGCCGGGCGCGGTGGCTTATGCCTGTAATCCCAGCACCCAGCACTCTGGGAGACCGAGGTGGGCAGATCATGAGGTCAGGAGTTCAAGACCAGCCTGGCCAACATGGTGAAACCCCATCTATACTAAAAACACAAAAATTGGCCGGGTGTGGTGCTGGGCGCCTGTAATACCAGCTACTCCAGAGGCTGAGGCAGAATTACTTGAACCTGGGATGCAGAGGTTGCAGTGAGCCCAGATCGCACCACTGCACTCCAGCCTGGGTGACAGAGCAAGACTCTGTCTTGGAAAAAAAAAACAAAAAAACACAGTCCCTAACCTCCTAAATTTCATAATCCAATGAAGAAAATGTTATTAAAAAATCAAAGTATGTGGTCAGTGCATTTCTGGAAAATATTTTACTTAATAGTAAGGAAAAAACTAATGATTACAGCATCAATGTACTTTGATTGGAAAAATCTCTTCACTTGACCCAGCGTTTGTGGATTGAAGGTCTGTGTCAGGAGGTTCTCTCCTAATCCTCCATCACCAATGTCATCTAAAAATGCAAATAATGAACAAAGACTGTTATGACAGAGAACAGTTGGTATGTCACTTATCCTTCCTTCATCCAGAATAATCTTCCAGTAAAACTGAAGGTAAGTTTCTATATCAGTTGAGAAGCTTTCTCTTAAAAATAAAAAAAAAAAATCTCAAACTGGCTTAAGTGACAAAAGTGATTTAATTTTTCACAGATCCATGAAGCCCAAAGGCTTCAGGCGTGAATCAGAGCTCCAGCTGAATTTCTCTACAATTCTCTGAGCTCTCATCTCCACATGTCAGCTCTATTCCCAGCCCGATTTCCCTTTATTATTCACAAGATGCCAGGAACAACAGGGATTACATGTTATCCTTCTTCACCCCCTATGGGAAAAAAAGAACTCGGCATTTCATGCCCATCAAACAAAAGTTCTGAGTTTTAAGCTGATTGGACGACCTGGAACCAATTCCTGTGCCCAGGAAAATACCTTGGTGCTGATTGGTTTAGGCATGGGTCACCTGAGCCAATCACCTCTGGGACTGGGGTTGATTACCCAGAGAACATAGCTGCTACACTGCGGAGAAGGAATGAAAGGAAGGGTGAAGAGGCCAGTCACACATCATACTGCCTGCTATAATCTTTTTTCATGCACAGCCTGGATTGCTAATTAATTTTTTTATTCAATATCAGACATAAACTCTATAAAGGGGAATCTGTTTTCTATAAAATTTCTAAGTCAGACATTTAAAGTGGTTTTACTTTTTCAAAAACAACAAAATGGGTAACTCAAATTTTTTTTGCAGAGTTCTCTCTTCCCTTAAGAATATACAAAAATTATCCCCCTAAAAATGTTTTTACCATTTGATATCAGTGAGTGAGAATGATTCAAAATTTGTCCTATAGCCCATCTTCCCTAACCCTTTTATCCTCAGTTTCCGAAAGCAATATGACCTAACCAAATATATCCTCCTTCACCTTGGATAATGGATCATTAAATCTGCAGAAGACACCATGTTCCAAGGCATAATGAACTTTAAAAGTTTTCTGATATATGTTCACCAGCCTCCCAAAACCCATCCAAGCAGGACCTGTCCTGTCCTCATGAAACTCGCCCCAAATTCACCAACTCAATCTGTAAAGTGCCTAGTTTAAGGGATTTTCACCAACTAAGTATTTCTTCCACATGTGTAGTACTAAATCAGGGATGTCCAATCTTTTGGCTTCCCTGGACCACATTGGAAGAAGAATTGTCTTGGGCCACACATCAAATACACTAACACTAATGATAGCTGATGAGCAAAAACCAAAACAAAACAAAAAACAAAAAAACTCGTAATGTTTTAAGAAAGTTTAAGAATTTAAACTTTGAATGTTGGGCTGCATTCAAAGCTCTCCTGGACCACATGTGGCCCACAGAACTTAGATTGGACAAGCTTATTACTAAACAAAGTGTCCAGGGATAAGTTAACCTGTGGTATTTTCTTCCCACTGCCTTGGTGATGAAAGAATGAGTTGTCTGGAAGGCAAGCCATTGCCTTCTTGTGACTGTTGCTGACTGTTTAAAGGCCATGGACAACAGCCTAAATGAGAAGCTAACTTCACACACCCCAGACATACCAAAACAATGGTAGCCAAACTTTCAATATTTGCTCCAAGCATTCCACTTGAAAAAATCATTATAAGCCTTCGTCTGTTTCAGAAATGAGAATTTTCTGGTTGCAGAAGATGCCACTGAGGCTCACAAGTTGCATCACTGGCAGCCACATTCAGGCAAGCAGTAATTACGAATCAGGCCTGGGTTTGTTTTCACTTTGGAATTTACTATTGTATTTATCACTTCCTCGCTGACACCAACTCCCACCACCCCCTTGAGATCTGGCAATCTTTGGCAAAACCCAAAATGCCAGGCACAGTGCATTCGCCTCTGTGTAGCACGACCTGCAGGGTATTTTGCTCCCTTCAACCCCAGGCCTTGTGTGAGAAATTGAGGAACAGGAACAATCTTTTGCCACCAAAACCCTGGGCCACATTTGGGATGGCCTCATGTCCTCTCCCTCAAAAGGGAGCAGCCCTGGAGCTGAAGAGGGGAAATTGTGACACCTGTGCCAGGTTTGTGGTAGGCCAGCCTGTCCCCCAGCAGACAGCTGCGTGGGGGGGCCAGTTTGGCCCAAGTGCTGCTTAGTCAGGCTCTAACACCGAGCCAAGCTGCAGATGTGCCCAGACCTGCCGCCACCAGGTGTATGTCTCTGGGCCGGGAGGTGACGGCACAAATGTGACTCTTGCCTCCTGCTGTTTCCTGACACCTCAGAGGAATGTGGAGGACTCAGGAGAGGACACCACAGAAGGCCGACAGGGCCACTGCTCTCTGCCCACCCTGCTATTTCAAAAGGCCTGCCCTGACCCTTTGGCCCTCACCCTGTCTTTCTGCCAACAGCCCCAGGGCTGGCTCCTCCTCCAGGCCACTGGTGGGCTCAAGTGAGAGGCGGCTACCTCCTTAGGCAGATTACCTGCTTGCCTGACCTGCTGTAGTATCATGATGTTCCCACTGTTAGTGCCCAAACCTCTACAGCTAAAAGGTGCTTTTTTTTCTAATACGATTTCCATGATTAAAAATATTCTTTAAAATTTTTTTCAAGCTCATCTGTCCCCACTGGGGAAAAACTGCTTGTGAGATTTAGTTTCCTAAGAAGAGGCTATTCTGTATTTAACAGAATTATTTATTGACAACCAGAGGGGGTCTTCTAGGGTGTAAATATTAGAAAGGTTTACCTGCCCATTTGCGGACTTCAGATCCAACACAAAAGGTTGTGTCTAATCTCAGTGTGTTTTTCGAGAATTCCATTTAAAACTTAGGGAAGTTATAAGCTGTTCTCCATCAGGAGTGATGTTCACACTACAAATATTTATTGCACGTCTATTATGTGCTACAATCCCAGGCCTCAAGAAGACATCACTATATAGCAGAGTGTGGAAATGAATAGCACATTGGCCAGATTCAGCTCGCAAACATTTTCTTTGACTCATACTGTATTTATCAAAAATTTGAATTGGTTGCCAACTTTTAAACATCAGAACATTTACAGTTTCTCTTGAAAACGCAAGAAATCTGGCAAAACTGAGCCCACATTCCTGGCTGATGACAAGTAGAGTTAACTACTGCCCACTTCAGACAGGCACTGGCTCTGGGTTCACATGGCCCCCCACCTCCCCACTTCCCCCTGACTCAGCCTGCCCAGCCCCTCAGCATTTGTCATTGATTCTCAGGATGGAGAGTGACAACACATTCACTCTGGGAAATGCCTCAGTCAGAGACACAGCAACCTAATCAAGCCCTGCATCTCAGAAGAGCTGATTCTTACCTCCTTATCATCAGGTCACAAAGATTTCATTATTTTGTATCTTCTCAATCTTTCCAATTTTAATAAAGTTTCTTTTAGTACTTGATAATGTAAAGTTAGGGAAGACAATCTGTTTTTATCACTTGCCAAGACAAAGAACTTGCCACAAAAGAAAATGGCAAGGTTGAAACATAGAAGCAAAACGTGAGGACTTTGCAAGAGCAGGATGGGCTCTCAGAGATGCTCTCATTTGCCAGATGAAAAAGGTGAGGTCTAGAGGAGGGAAAGGCCATACCAGACCCCACTGGTAACCAGCAGGAAAACAGGAAGATGGTCTGGGTAGTCTTTACCCAGCCAGTACCACACTCCTGTCTACAGGCACAGGTGGTTTCTCTGTTCCTGTTTCTACTTAACATTTCCAGGGAATGGCAGAGAAGCCCATCAGACCTGAGAAATAAATTTGAGGACTGATGTCAGAGGTCACATGGTACTATCAGGTACATGATTTAAAATGAAACTGCAAAAGATTAATTAGTAATTTTTATCTCGACCTACTGATTCCCTATATGTCGGTCCAAATTGTCACATTTGAAAAAAATGTATCTGTCGATCCCAACAGTACATGTTGGAAGAGGCAGCTTGTTTTCATGTTTTCAAATTATGTACTGCCAGAATCCTTCTTGTGTTTGTAGCCAGGAATAGAGTTACACAGTTGATTCTGATATTTGTTGCTAGCAGAAAGTTTTACTAAAACACATATAATTTAGTTGCAATTAATATAAAGATAATGACCAAAACTTTCAATTGGACAGATTAAAGTTATTGAAGTGGGCCACCGCCTGGGACATAGACATTGTGGTGTATTTATAATAGGCATAGGTGGCATTCAGTAATATTGTCATCAAGGATCTCTCTTGGTTACAATATTATTGTAGGTAACAAATTTAAGTTAATCCAGAAATTGGTTTTAGATGCAGCAGAAAGGAAAGGGGGAGAGGGTTTGCAGAACAGAGACTATTTTATTTAGTCCTACCAATCTGGCCTGAGACAGGCTTTCATATCTGCTTTTATAGAGAAGAAAAGAGGGGCCAAGAAGGCTGACTTCCTCAGCCAGTTTCCAGTTGCTAGGAATGAGCTATCCCTGGGTCACTATGACTGCAAAACCAGAGGTTTATCTGCTACCGTATCTCATAGCACAGAAGCCACTAAGATGAGTAACCACCAAAGGAATTAAGACAAGCACACATCACAACTAGGCTACACAATGCTACTGGCACGATGAAAGAGGCAGAAAAAAGTGCCTGGGGGTCACAACAGGGCAAAAGCACATCGAGTGGAGGCTTGGTGGATCAGGGAAGGTTTCTGAGATGTGGTGACATTCCAGAAAGTCCTTCAAAGATGCACTGTGTTACAACAAACAGAGAAGGAGGTGTTAGAAGAAAGGCCTCAATACGGGGGCACGGAGGAATGAGAGGTAAGCAGTTTAGATGCGGAATGAATCTAGCAAAGCTACATCAAGAAGTTAGCCACGTGAAAAAAAAAAAAAAGAATCTCCTCCCACGGCAAGGTCCATCACGTGAGGCCAGGAGACTTCAAGCCTACAAGGAAAGGCGCCACACATCAGGCCCAGGACACTCACCTGTGTGTCCACCCCAGGAGAGGCAGAAGGACCCGCTGGACCCCAGGACGCCAGGACGCCCAGACACCCACACATTCTTCCTCGTACACCTTGTTCCCTCCTTTCCCTTCTCTTCCCTTCAGAAGCCTTCCACCTGCCTGTGCCTTCCATAGCCACAACCAGGCACACTCTGGGTGGCTGAGGGCAACTCACTTCATCTTCCTTTTCCTCTCAGAGAGGGAAGGAAGAGCTTTGTTTCCTTTTCAAGGATCCCCACCAGCAGCAAGGCAGGTGGAAGAAACTGAGGGAAGAGGAAGCAGGACCCCCGCCGCCCCCCCAGTCTAGCCTTTACAGACTCCTTTTAAGGAGCTGAAGAGGTTGGGAGAGGCTTGCCCTGCCCCGGGGCAGCAGAAACCCGGGCGCTGCTGCAGCAGCTGTGGGCGATCTCCGTCAGCTCCTGGGCTCCAGGATCCTGCGGCCTCAGCCCCTCCGCGTCTACTCTCGGGGCCACCACCTCCAGTTGGCTTCTCCAGGGCACTTCATTTCATTCCGTCCCTAGCATCCAATAAGACGCGAAAAACTTAATCCCATTTTACAACTGAAGCCACTGAGGCCCAGAGAGCAAAGCCATTTGTCCTGGGAAAGTGGTCAAGCTGGGACTTTGACTCTTCAGACCACCCAAGGGAAGGGGTGTGTGTGTGTGTGTGTGTGTGTGTGCGTGTGCGGTGGGGGGCGCTTGTTTTGAGTTCTTAAGAAAACCTCCTGGCGACCCCCTTCTTCCACATCCCAAGACGCTCGTCCCGCACTTTCTCGGGAATGAGGTTTCTGCAGGCGAGGGCGGCGCTGCCTTCTTCCTCCGCGGCAGTGAGACCCCGAGGGCGCCCCAGGGTAGGAGGGGAGGCCGAATCATCTCCTGAGAAGAGCGCCAGAGAACTTCAGAGCGTTTCGCCCTTCCCCGGGAGAGGCAAACACCGACACGTCTGTGTCTTTTACCAACAAGTGCCTTCAAGCCCGGCGGGGGCAGACACCTCCGCGCCGGCCGCCGGCGAGGTCTCCGCGGTCTGCGGGGGCCACGGCCTCGCCTCAGCTGCGCTGATTTAGGGCGTTATCCGGTCCCGGGGCGGGAGGCGGCCTCCCGGGCGGCGAAGCAGCGCCCGCGGCGTGGGGCGACCGCGCGGTGGGCGGAGGGGCAGGGGGAGGGGCGGAGAGGCGTCCCCGGGGCGCAGGGGGCGGGCGTGCGGGCACACGCGGTGCGCGGCGGGGGCGGCCATCGTGCTGCGCAGCCTGGGCGCTTGGGGAGCCGCCCACTTCGCCGGGTCGCGCCCCGACGGCCGGAGCGTGGATGCGGCGGCGCCCGCCGAGCCGGGGCGGACGCGGGGCGGCCCGGGCCCGGGAGACGCGCCGGCAGCCCCGGCACCGCAGCGGTCGCAGGATGGCCGAGGTAAGCGCGGCGCCCTCCGCGGGCGCGGGGATTCTCTGTGCGCGGAGCAGGCGGCCCGGGACGCCGCTGGGCTCCGGCTCCCGTGGGTACCCGAGGGCCACCTCCCGAGGGCCAGCTGGCTACCTGCGCGGCAGCGCGGCCCCGAGGCGCGGCGGGAGGGACCGTGGTCTCCGGCCGGGAGGCGGCGGCGGGGGGGTTGGGGCTCTGGGACCCGTCCCTGCCCGACGTCCCGGAGCTGGCAAACGGTCTCCGCGCCGGATCTGCGGGCGCGTCGGAGGTGCCGGCGGGCCAGCCTGTGGAAATCGGCGGCGGCACTCGGCGGGTACCCTACACGCCACTCTCTGCCGCCCGCACCCCAGGCTTCAGCCCAGGACGTTAGGACTTGCTGTTTCCACCTGTGGGGGTCGACCCCTTCTTTTTTTTTTTTTCTTTTACCTCAGAATTTGTGAAACAGCTGATATTTCACACTGGCCGTCTTTCTCTCCGGGGATTGTTTCTCTGGAGAACGGGGCGCGCGGCAGCCTCCGGTCACTGAGGAGAACTGCGGAGACGGGCGGGCGGCCGTGAGGAGGCTCCCGTCCACTGCGGGACAAATCTTTTGTAGAGCAACAACAACAACAAAAAACAAAACAAACCCACAAGAACAAAAAACCCACGACTGAAAGTCGCTATTTAGACAGGTCCGGTCCGAAAGCTTCCGGGACACAGACCGAGCGTTGACCGTGTGCGGGGCAGATTTGACCAGCTTCACTGCGGACCCTGGAGTCCTTGTCGCGGCTCCGCGCGAGGTGGCCCGTCTTTCAGAAAGCGCTGGGACGGGGCTAAGGCGCTTGGGCTCTGGGCTGGAAGCCGGGCCGAGCCGCGTCCGCCGCTCCGAGGTTTTCCTGGAGTGACAGGAAGTGGGCCTGGGCTGCGGAGCCCGCGGCTGCGCCTGCCGCTTCCTTCAGGGGTTTGCATGGGAAGCGCCGGGACGGGAAGCCCCCGGCCCCCGACTTCGAGCTCCCTTAACAGTCCCGCCCAGCCTGGCCTTGGGACCTGCGAGCGCGTGGCTCGCCCGTCTCGGGAGCGCCCCGTCGGTTCCGTGCTGGGAGCCGGGCGGCGGCGGCGAGGCTGGGGGCCGCGGGCGGAGAAGGAGGAGGCCGCTGCGGGGTCTCCCGCTGCTCCTCCGGAGCCGCCGCCCAGACCCGGAGCCCCGCCGCCGCCTGGCTTTGCCGGAGTTCCTCGGGATTTGTCAGCCAGATGTGACAAGATTGTGGCGAGGCGAGTGAAGGAGATCTGATATTAATCAGCGCGTAGCTCCGAGCCAAACTTTCACAAATGCGGTGTAGAAACATGTTCTTCTCATTTAAGGCATCTCTTTGTGGCTGCGGGGCTGCCACCGCTCCGAGTCTGACAGTTAAGTGGAATGCCATCTCCCAGCCTTAATTGTGTGAGTGAAGTTGTGTGTGGTTGGGGGGCGGGGGGCATCAGACGCTCGGGGGTTCGGTAACGTCCCCTGGTTTTATGGCTGTGCTCGCCTCAGTCCTCTGAAGGCCAGGGCATTTAAAGCGGCCCAGACGCCTGGTCTCAGCCAGGCCTCTTGCTGTTAACACTTAAGGGGCCTAAAAGAGGCCCCACCGGTGTCCTGGGAATCCCTGTCAGGGAGAGAGAGAGTGTGTGTGTGAGGGAGAGAGAACATGTGTTACTGCATAGGACCACAGAGCAGATGTAGCAACAATTTTTTTAAAAATATATTCTTTTCATCAAAGCGACAAGATTTTGGCTTGACAGTAAGTGAATTGAAAAACAGCATTTGGCAGATTTTTTTTCATTCGCTGTTTATTTAATTTGCTATTCGATTTTATGGGATCTCTTGATAAGATTCTAAGTCTTCGACCCTGAGTTTGCAAATACGTGTTAATGTATTGAAACTTTTGTTCAGTGATGGATACACTGACTCTCTTTTCATTGATCCCTTCCCAGATTCGTTGATACATATTAAAACCTTGTTAAAATAGTTTGTCAAAATAAAATTTTGTACATCATATAAAAGAACATTACTTCAGATGTTACAAATTGTACTGGATTTGATTTGCTCTTTAAAGAGGTGTGAAAAGATGGCTTCTCCTTTTGTGATGATGAATTTTAAGAAATAACTTTATTCTTTTTGGCATACTTTCAGATGGTTAAAACGAATAAGATACGAGTCATCGTTTGATTTCTCATCTAATAAGTTTGCTAACTAATTTCACCAAGAAACTATTACTATTTCAAGTCAACTGTTGGTTGAACGTGTTCCTGTTGTAGTTAAATGCTGAGAAGAGGTGGTGAAATCTTCACCTAGCACACATGATGCTCACACTTTGGGAACTCGTAATTATGTTCAGGCATCTGCATAATTTAATTTGAATATCATCTGTACCTATAGTGTCCCTTCAGACTAGTAAGGATTTAGGGACATTCTCCTCCTTCAGAAAGTGGTTAAAGTTCTTTGGCCATTGATACCTACAGTGATCTGTTTGCTGTGGTTATAATTCTCATTAGAAATATTGACTAACATGAAGTAATTGCCTTGGAAGCATGAGATTTACTGGAGGGCTATTTTATGTTTTATTGCATCTCCCCCATGTAGCAGTTAGGCCTGCATCCCAGGCCCATGCCCACTTTCTGTACCTCAAGATCATCAGATTGGAAAGACGATCCAACCCGATAGATGAGAGAGAAAAGCCATACAGGTTTCCCTGTGGAACAAAGTAGTTGTCCCTAAGCACACATTTGTCATTTATGAATGCCTAGGGATAAGTATAAACAGGGAAACATTTTAAAAGTTCAATTTGTCAGTAAAATTAAACTGCAGCTTATGGAGTGGGGGGCAGAAGTGTCTTTTAGCTTCTGTATGTGGCTTTAGAAGTAATTTTGATGTGGCCATTAAAAGGGATGCCCTGAAGGTTCCACAGGGTAAATTACTTACAGGAGTGTGCTTCACCCCAGGGTGAATTTTCTCCTCTACAGATGTCATTTAGAGTGGGTTACTTTTGTCAGAAACTGTCCTTTTTAGAAGGAACTGAAAATACCTTAGCTAAGGTAAAATCTCAATGATGAGCCACCCATCTTTTTAGTATCTAAAATCAAGATTTTAGGGAGTTGGTACTTTTCTTTTAATTACGTAATTCCAAGTGTTCTACTGCAGAGTTTTTGTTTCTTTATTTTTGATGACTTCTCTGAGAGATGTTAAAGATAACTGGATTCTGCTCAAAAGAAGCATCTGGAAAGCATTTCTTTTTCCTTTTAAACTGGTTTCCACCTGAAAACCTTATTTCTGCATATCTTGTCATTCTTTGAAGTCCTTTTCCTAATTCTGGAAATTCCAAGCTTCCACTGTGGCACCATTTCTCTGCACGGACACATGCCTATTTCAGCCGAAGAGGGTGGGTATAAACAGAGAACAGACTTGTTTCTCCAGGGTCCAATTTTGGGCCTTCTCAAACCTCACATAGTTAGTTATCGGCAAACAGACTGTCACTCTTGCCGTCTACACATGGACTCATTATTATAAACCAGCCTAACAAATCACAGGAGGACTCTGCCTTGGGGAAATGATAATTTCATTCAACTAATGTGAAACAAAAGAGAGATGGAGAAATAAAATGTGAGGGTCAGGTCCAAACAGCCCTGTCCATAGGGAAATAGTTGCCTCAGGTAAACTCTTAATTCAGGGTTCTAACATTTTTTCATATAGTTAGATTAGTTTGATGGTCTCCTACAGATTATTTGTGTGATCCTACCAAATACTCAAACCTCAAATTTCTTTTCTAGTTGTACATCAGCTTCCGGAAGTGTTGTCCTTTTTCTGTAGTCCTCTAATTGTTTCTTGCATTATTCATTATGAAGGTAAAATTTTTATACTGTCAACTCTTAGCATTTCATGATACTTCACACTGAATTTGAAGCAAGGGATCAGGATGGCATAATTAACTAAGTTTGATCTTTTCTTTTTAAAAACTTAGTTTCAAAAACCTAGTTCTCAATGAGTCCCCAAAAGAATGTTTTACAAAATCTTACTTAGAAATGTTCACAATTTCGTCTTTATTTTGTATCAGCAGCAGTAGTGAAGTTGCATTGCTTATGTAACTTAGGTAAAATTATGCTAAAGTGTAAGTGTTTTGCTCTGTATTTTTTTCCTCAGGCTGATTCAACTATGTTCGGAAAGTTCCCTTTACATGCAATTAATATCTTTTGGTTTTTTGTTATCAAAGGTTTCTAAAGATTACCTCTGAGGTTTCCCAAATTAGGTTATAAAGGAAAAAATATATCCATATAATTTACATTTCTGTACAGTTCTTAAATTTTTTTAAAGAAGAAATATTTGGCTTGGCTTTTAAGGTAGTGTTTGCATGTTTTTCAGCTATTTCATAGATTTTCAGTTTTTGAAACTAATAATTTTAAGAAAAAAAGCACAGACATTAAATTATTTTGGCACACAGTTTATACTTTGATTCATAGACATCAAAAGAACAAGTATTTTCCCCATCACAGTCTTTGAACTAAGCAGCTAGAGAACACTACAAATGTGTCATGCATACTTTAAACTCACAGGTAGACTCAGCCCAATCAATATCTGTCACTTGAAGGAGCTCTACCTCCCACCTGCCCTTTCTCTGCCAGACCCTTCTCCATGCCCTCAGTCTTTGGTCTCTCATTTCATCCTCATACTTGGAGTGAGAAACCAGATTTTGTCCATTCTCCTTTAGTGTTGTGTTTATATTGCAAATGCTGACTACCTGGTTTCTGAGGCTCCCCACATCTCCTTTTAACCATGCTTGTGGTAAACAGTGCCTCCCCATTGTAGAAAGCCAATGATCCTATGAACCCAATAAAGAGACTCCTGGCTGCTCATCTGGACAGCCCAGGCCCACCTTATTTTGTCTTTCAAGGTAGGTCTCACTGCCCGTAACAGAGACCTGTGCTCTGTGGCCCAGGCTCCTTGGCCTGACACATATGTACATGTTAAGCTTTACATTGTACCTAGGCTTGTGGTATTTCTTGCATGCACTGATGAGAGCATGCCTTCTTCCTGGAGGAAGCCCTCTCTGGCCTCTCTGTACAACCTTGACTTCTCCATTTCTCCTATCCCACTCAAACTATTTAATTTGGGGGAGAGTAGGAGTTTGACTTATTTTTTTCACTTTTTATTATAGAAGATTTCAAACAATCAAAATTAGAATGAAACTTGATGTAATATGTGCTTGGGGATTCAACAGTTACCAACTTTGGGCCAGTCTCATTTCATCTGTATTTCCTACCCATCATAACCAACACTAGATTACTTTAAAGCAAATCCTAGGCATTATATAATTTCATTCATATATATTATAATATGAAGCTCTAAAATACAAAGGCTCTTTTTTAAAAAACCAGGGCAATATACCATAGAGCACCTAAAAAATTAACAATAACTGTAATGTCATTAAATTTCTAATTGGTGTTCAAATTTCCTTGATTACCTGACAAACTTTATATTACAGTTGGTTTCTTCAAATCAGGATTCAAGTAAGGTCCGTACATTGTCTTTTTTAATATATAGGTTCATACTTTACTTTTTTCCTTGCAATTTATTTGTTGAAAAAGCTGGATCATTTGTCCTGTAGAGTGCTCCCTGGTCTGAATTTCAATGATTATTTCCTTGTAGTATCATTTAAACATTCCTGTATCTCCTGTATATTCTTAAATTGGAGTTGAGTAAGAGGCTTGATCCAATTCAGGTTTGAACTTTTTTATCAAGAACACCATATGTGTGGTGGTATGTATCCTTCAGTCCAGAGACAAATGGCCTCCTATTTTTCATTAGGAGTTGCGGAATGGTGATACTCCAGTTCTTCATTTATTTGATCCACATTCAGAGATAATCTTTGTCTCATCAATGATTTTTTTACCCTGAAATACAGGTTATATAGCAAAGGATACACATTTGATTTTTTTCCTTTGTTTACCAATTTTCAGAATAGTTAGTTGGTTTCCTAGCATTTTCTAAAAGTGGCCAATGAGTTTTGTTTGTTTTGAGTATATTTTGAATTCCTAGATTTTAACACAGTGAATGACTCATGCTAATTTTTGACAAATCATATTCTCTACTCTGCTGTTTTTGACCAACCCAGTTGTGTGATTTTTTCTTGCAGTCATTCAAGTCTTCCCTAGTGTCAGACACTGGCAATTACTCATCTTTGTATCTCCATGAAGCTCCCCATGGTTACCAAGTACATAGTAGATGCTTTAGAAACAAACAAATAAAAACCTTGTTAAATAAATGATTATCATTTTCTTAAACTATTAGTGGAAGATGATGGCATGATGTGTTGAGTGTCTGCCCCATGTGTGTTTCTCAAGGTCAGCTAAAGTCCGACACTCTCACCTGCAGATAAGCTGCCTCACATTAAAGGACTTAGTGGGCTTCACCTCTCTTCTTCCCGGTTGTCCTTATTACCTATTTGGCAAAGGGTGATACTATTTTTCAGAATCCTAGTTGTACCTCTGTGGGTTTTCATATGTAAGAAAAACAATGGGAAACTTAAAAAGAAAAAGTGAAAGGAGTGAAAAGTGAGAGGTGGGAAGGTAAGGAGAAAAAAAAAATCCAGTTCTAATAAGGAAAGTAAGAAGTGCAGAGGCAAAGTAGCTCCAAAGAGCAGTGGGGTAGAGAATTAACTCCCACCCTTGAATGATGCAGTTTCCTAAACCAGGAAGGCTAGCTCTGCAGCCACAGAAAGAGTAAGAATGACAATTTCACAACAGGTTAAGTGAAGCCAGGCTCTCCACCTAGACACCAAAGGTAGCCCAGCTGCTTTAAAAGATGTCTTGTTTTATGTGTCCTGATTGGCAGTTTTTGATATGCACGTTAGCAACAATTATCTATATTCAACATTTAAAAAGTACTACTTAGAAAAAACTGGCCAGGCGCGGTGGCTCATGCCTGTAATCCCAGCACATTGGGAGGCCGAAGTGGGCAGATCATGAGGTCAGGAGATAGAGACCATCCTGACTAACATGGTGAAACCCCATCTCTACTAAAAATACAAAAAGTTAGCCGGGTGTGGTGGCATACATCTGTAGTCCCAGCTACTCAGGAAGCTGAGGCAGGAGAATCACTTGAACCCGGGAGGCAGAAGTTGTAGTGAGCCAAGATCCCACCACAGCACTCCAGCCTGGGCGACAGAGCCACACTGTCTCCAAAAAAGAAAAAAAGTGAATCAGGAGTTCAAGACCAGCCTAAGCAACATAGTGAGACCCCCGTCTCTATAAAAACATTTTTTTAAAAATTAGCTGGTTATGGTGGCATGCGCCTATGTGAGATTTGGGAGGGCGAATAAAGTGGGAGGATCCCTTGATCCCGGGAGGTAGAGACTGCTGTGAACAGTGATCACTGTCCTCCAGCCTGGGTGACAGAACAAGACCCTGTCTCAAAAAAAGAAAATCCTGAAGCATTTTTATTGTAAACTTGGTGGCTGTTAAAAAGTGATTTGTGGTTTGCCAGACTGGGTTTTTAAATTTAAAGTTGAAGAGTTACGATTTTTTTCCACTGAGAATCTGGCATAGCCTTAGAATCTCACACGTAAGAGAGGACCACAGACTCTAAAACTTAACTTCGGTGATCTCTGCTAGTGAGTCATTTTCCACGTGGTTTT